>NC_000006.12:27635757-27938787 GCF_000001405.40 Homo sapiens
CCAGTCAATGCTGTCACTTTAATAGTAGACACCTGGTGAGGCTACGCATGCATCTTTCATTGCAGGTCAGCCACTTGCATGGTAAGAGCTTGTGTCTGTTTTTCCACAATGTCAGCTCTTTCTCTACAGGAGATAAGACTCTCACTCAGGGCAATCTTAGCAGATTTGAGGCTCAGTATCTGCTTCTGAAGCCGGGAGACAGAATCCTTGAGTTCATCATTTTCTTTCATCACTTTGTCCACTGAACTTAGAAGCAACCAACCAGTCTCATTATGTTCCTTGGTTCTCCACATATGGTCAAAGGTATTACGTATAAAGTCGCTAAACTTGCTTCTCAGGAGTGGTGAATCAGGAGTGTCAAATGTATTTATTTTGCATAACTGTCTAAACAGTTCATGCCAAGGACTACCAGTGTTCGCCATACTATCAGAAGTAGAGTCCTTAGCATTTCTGGGCTGAACCATATTAAGCAGCCAACTCCAGAAACTCCAAAACCAATGAAAGAACTCCATCCTTAATATTCTGTTCCTCTAGAACCACTCCTGGTACAAAAATCTGTATTAGTCAGGGTTCTCCAGAGGGACAGAACTTTTTGTTTTCCCCTTTTCTTCTCTTTGTTTGCCTCCATTTCTTCCAGTGGTGATCACTTGCTTATCCTTCAGGTTATGGTGGGAACTTCACATCCAACAGTTTGGATCAGACACACTCCTGTGAGCTTCATCTGTTGTGCTAGGTACTTGATATGTTATTTCAATCTTCTTTTTACTTCACTCTCTCATCTATTGGATCATGAGCTCTTTGGTGGGGAAGAAAAAGATGATATCTTAATTGTGTTTGTTTCTTAAGTACCAAGCTCAATTTCTGACTCTGAATGGATTGTAACTCTCAGAATTCTCTCTACCTGTGATATCAGGAAGTGTTTGCACCCTTTATACCAGGTGTCCCAACCCTGGGCGGCGGAGTGGTGCTGGTCCATGGCCTGTTACACAGCAGGAGATGAGTGGCGGTTGAGCATTACTGCCTGAGCTCTGCCTCCTGTCAGGTCAGCCGGGGCATTAGATTCTCATAGAAGTGCCAACTCAATTGTGAACTGTGCATGCAAGGGATCTAGGTTGCAGGCTCCTTATGCGAATCTAATGCCTGATGATCTGAGGTGGAACAGTTTCATCCCAGAACCATACCCCACCCCCGCCCCCTACAGGCTGTGAAAACATTGTCTTCCACTAAACTGGTCCTTGATGCCAAAAAGGTTGGGGACCACTGCTTTACATCTTTTGTCTCCCCCATTTTCACCTCTTAGGATGAACATTAATTTTATTTATTTTTATTTTTTATTTTATTTTTTTTTTTGAGACGGAGTCTTGCTCTGTCGCCCAGGCTGGAGTACAGTGGCATGACCTCAGCTCACTGCAAGCTCCACTTCCCGGGTTCACACCGTTCTCCTGTCTCAGCCTCCCAAGTAGCTGGGACTGCAGGCGCTCGCCACCACGCCCGGATAATTTTTTTGTATTTTTAGTAGAGACAAGGTTTCACCATGTTAGCCAGGATGGTCTCGATCTCCTGACCTTGTGATCCGCCCACCTCGGCCTCCCAAAGTGCTGGGATTACAGGCGTGAGTCACCACACCCGGCCAATTTTATTTATTTTTAGCAAACTAAAGGTTAAGCATAGGTACTGAGAAATAAATATTAAAGGAGAGTGTTGTCTATCGTGTAGGTTCTCACTGAAGACTGTGAAGGTCAAAGGTCAGAGAAGGGGCTTCCTCCTGCAGATAATAAAGTAGCAGTAGCCGCGCTGTCTCCAGTTCTTCTCTGCACCTAGAATGCTCTTCATCTTGTCTACACAACAGATTTCTACTCATTTTTCATAGTCCGGGGGGAAAAAAATCAATGAATTCTTGTTTTTTACTATAAGATACTTCAGGTGGCTCACACTTGTAATCCCAGTGCTTTGGGAGGCCTAGATTGGAGGATCCCTTGAGCCCAGGAGTTTGAGACCAGCCTGAGCAACACAGGGAGACCCCATCTCTACAAAAACTAAATTAATTAATTGGGCATGTCTCAGCTACTCAGGAGGCTGAGGTGGGAGGATCCCTCGAGCCCAGAAGGTCAAGGCTGCAGTGAGCTATGATCACTCTCACTGCACTCCAGCCTGAACAACAAAGTGAGACTCTGTCTCAAAGAAAAAAACAACAACAACAACTTCATTACACTTAATTCACATTTATCTCACTGTAAAAAAAGATATATTTATATATAGAACTGCCTTTCCTACTAGTTTGCTTATCAAGAAGAATGTAACCATATCAGATTCGTTACCCAGTGCATGGCAAATCAATACACTGAGACATGAGATTGCAGCAGAGGAATAGGTTTAATCATGGACAGCCCAACAAGGAGATGGAGGAAAACCTCAAATCTGCCTCCCTGAGGAGTTTGAAGTAGGGATTTTAAGGGATTTGGAGTGGATCAAGGAGTGGGGATCGTTGATTGGCCCAAGAGTGTTGGGTGGGACAGGCGTGGTGGTTCAGGCCTGTAATCCTAGTGCTCTGGGAGGCTGAGGCAGAAGGATCATTTGAGGTCAGGAGTTCGAAACAAGCCTGGCCAACATGGTAAAACCCCTTCTCTACTAAAAAAAAAATACAAAAAAATTAGCCGGGTGTGGTGGCGGGTGCCTGTAATCCTAGCTACTCAGCAGGCTGAGGCAAGAGAATTGCTTGAACCCAGGAGGCAGAGGTTGCAGTAAACCAAGACTGCGCCATTGCGCTCCAGCCTGGGTGACAGAGCAAGACTCTGTCTCCAAAAAAAAAAAAAAAAAAAAAAAAAAAACGTGTAGGGTAAAGTCATGGGATGAGGAGATGAAAAAACTGCATTTTCTTTTTTTTTTTTTTTTAATTTTAGAAGGAGTCTCACTCTGTTGTCCAGGCTGGAGTGCAGCGGCACCATCTTGGCTCACTGCAACCTCTGCTTCCCAGGTTCAAGTGATTCTTCTGCTTCAGCCTCCTGAGTAGCTAGAATTACAGGCATGTGGCACCATGGCCACCACGCCTAGCTAATTTTTGTATTTTTAGTACAGACGGGGTTTCACCATGTTGCCCAGGCTGGTCTCAAACTCCTGACCGCGAGTGATCCATCCACTTTGGCCTCCCAAAGTGCTGGGATTACAAGCATGAGCCACCGCACCTGGCCCTTTTTTGTAAAATTAAAAAATTGTTGCTGTCATTGTTAGAGAGAGAGTCTCCCTATGTTGCCCAGGCTGATCTTGAACTCCTGGCCTCAAGTGATCTTCCAATTTTGGCCTCCCAAAGTGCTGGGATTACAGGTGTGCACCACTGTGCTCTGCCTGAAACTGCATTTTCACACTGATTCAGTTCCTTTATGAATGTCAGCGCTAGTTGGTGTTGGCCTTTCTGCTGGAATTCAGGATCTGAAAAGCATCTTAAAAACGCTTATGATTTTCTGAGTGCAGTGGCTCACATCTGTAATCCCAGCACTTTGGGAGGCTGAGGCGGGTGGATCACAAGGTCAAGAGATCAAGACCATCCTGGCCAACATGGTGAAACCCCATCTCTACTTAAAAAAAAAAAAAAATACAAAAATTAGCTGGGCATGGTGGCGTGTGCCTGTAGTCCAAGCTACTCGGGACGCTGAGGCAGGAGAATCGCTTGAAGCCGGCAGCCAGAGGTTGCAGTGAGCTGAGAGCGGACCACTGCACCCCAGCCTGGGTGACAGAGTGAGACTCTGTCTCAAAACAAAAACAAAAACAAAACAAAACAAAAAAAAACCTTTCAAATAATTAGTCCAATGTAATGATACTTAGTAGATGCTCAAAAATATTCTTAGAAGGTCAAAACAGTACAGCGGAGTAAAGTCAGAACTATGGGGAGAGATAAGAAGAATAGAAAGGAAAGGAGGAAAAAATAAGGTGATTTGGATGTGGATGATGAGAAGGGGAAAAAAATGTAAAATGTATCTCTTTTTGGTTATTCCAGATGAGAATATTGGAAATTTTAAGCATTAAAAACTCCAAGGTTCTCCTAGATTTGGCATATACTCCTGCCAAATGAAAGATTGATATATATGCTTGGCTAACAACTAGAATTTGAAATGAGTTTGTTTTAGTCCCCATGTTGGGTAACATCTACTGTGAGATATCACACCACCACCAAAAGGGGCTAAGTATTCTACTTTTAAAATTTTTATCTTCATGTGAAAATGAATCCAATAATTTTTTTTTTTGAGACAGAGTGTCTCTCTGTCACCCAGGCTGGAGTGCAGTGGTGCGATCTCGGCTCACTGCAAGCTCTGCCCCCCGGGTTTACACCATTCTCCTGCCTCAGCCTCCCGAGTAGCTGGGACTACAGGTGCCCACCACCACGCCCGGATAATTTTTTGTATTTTTAGTAGAGACGGGGTTTCACCGTGTCAGGATGGTCTCGATCTCCTGACCTTGTGATCTGCCCGTCTCGGCCTCCCAAAGTGCTGGGATTACAGGTGTGAGCCACCGTGCCCGGCCAGAGTCCAATAATTTTTTAGATTATTTATGGAATATAATTTCAATAGTAGAAAAATTTTCTTTCTCCCTCTTTTTTTTTTTTTCCATTTTGATCTTCTGGATTTCTTTATTGTTTGTTTACTTTTGTTCACCCCTATTTCCATTTCTATTTCTGGTATAAACTGAGAAGATCTGTATCCTTAAAATGCTCCCCTAAGTGATTTTATCCAGAGCATAAATATAGTCTTTTCCATCTCTTGTCATTTCTAAACTGTATTTCATGTAATAGTTTGTTAATTCTTTAAAATTTTGCATAGATAATATGCATGGTTTAAAATATTTTTTGTGTAAAGCTTACCATTTTTCTTATATCCTAGCCACCCAGTTCTCCTCAGAACAGGCTATTGGTTTCTGTTATTAGTTTCCTAGAAAAGCAGAATTATTTATGTTCTGTTCTTTGTCAGATGTCATTCTAGATTAGTTTCTGAGGACGAGCCCATCTCTTCCTGTGTAATGAAAAGCTGGACCACCTAACAGTAGTGTTTTGTTTGTTTTAAGAGATAGCATTTCACTATGTTGCCCAGGCTGGATTCAAGCTCCTAGGCTGAAGGGATCCTCCTGCCTCCGCTTCTCAAGTAGCTAGGACTATAAGTGCCCACCACCCCGCTTGGGTATAGTGTATTTTTTTTTAAGATGAGGCTGGCCACACCCCATAACCTCGTCAGAAATACCAATCATGTGATTTGAATCATGCATTATCAGTCAACCTGAAGACTGAGTTCAAGCAAGACCCTGTCTCAACATAAGAAAAAAACAACACCATCAAAAGCATCCAAATTGGAAAGGAAGAAGTAAAATTGAGCCTGTTTGAAGATAACATGACTTTTTATAGAGACACTCCTAAAGACTCCATTAAAAAGAAGTGTTAATACTAATGAAAAAATTCAATATATTTGCAGAATATAAAATCAACATTCAGAAATCACTTGCATTACTATACAGTAACAATAAACTACATGAAATAATAAACAATAAACTACATAAAAAGAAAAATTAAAGGACAATCCCATTTATAGTAGCACCCCTCCCCCTTAAAAAAGAATTAAACTTAATCATGAAGGTGAAATGTTGTTAATGTTTGTTAAAATTTTCAGTGATGTACAATTAATGCAATCCGTATCCAAATCTATCTGGCAGTTTTTATGAAACAGAAAAAAAGACCATAAAATTCATATAAAACTCATATGAAACTACAAAGAACCCAAAGTCACCAAGTCAATCTTGAGAAAGAACAACAAAGCTGAAGACATCACACTTCCTGATTTCAGCATATACTACAGAGCTACAGTTATTAAAACAGTCTGGTACTAGCATAAAGACAGGTATATAAACCAAAATAACAGAATAGAGAGTCCAGAGATTAATCCATAAATATATGGCCAACTGATCTTTAACAAAGTTGCCAAGAACACACAATGGGAAAAAAACGATCTCTTCAACAAATGATGTTGAGAAAACTAGATATTCACATGAAAAAGAATGAAATTAGACCCTTGTTTACACCATTCACAAAAATTAACTAAAATGGATTAATGACTTAAATCTAAGATCTGCAAATATAAAACTCTGGGAGGAAAGCTTTAGGACATTGGTCTTGGCAATGATTTAATTACTATGACATCAAAATCATAGCCCAAAATAGCAAAAATAGAAAAATGGGATTACATCAAACAAAAGAGTTTCTTTTTCTTTGTTTGTTTGTTTTTTTTTGAGATGGAGTTTCGTTCTTGTTGCCCTGGCAGAAGTGCAATGGTGCAATCTTGGCTCACCGCAACCTCCACCTCACGGGTTCAAGTGATTCTCCTGCCTCAGACATGTGCCACCATACCCAGCTAATTTTGTATTTTTAGTAGATACAGAGTTTCTCCATGTTGGTCAGGTTGGTCTCAAACTCCCGACCTCAGATGATCCACCCACCTCGGCCTCCCGAAGTGCTGGTATTATAGGCCTTCTGCACAGCAAAAAAAAAAAAAAAAAGCAACCTATTAAATGGGAAAACAAATTTGCAAACCATATATCTGATAAGGGGTTAATTTCCAAGATACATAACTCTTACAATTCAGTAGTTAATCAAAACAAATAAAAACAAAAACCTGGTTAAAAATAAAAATGGGCCCGGTGTGGTGTCTCACACCTGTAATCCTAGCACTTTGGGAGGCTGAGGCGGGCAGATCACCTGAGATCGGGAGTTTGAGACCAGCCTGACCAACATGGAGAAAACCCGTCTCTACTAAAAATACAAAATTAGTTGGGCGTGGTGGCGCATGCCTGTAATCCCAGCTGCTCTGGAGGCTGAGGCAGGAGAATCACTTCAACCCCGGAGGCAGAGGTTGCAGTGAGCCAAGATTGCGCCATTGCACTCCAGCCTGGGAAACAAGAGCAAAATTCCGTCTCAAAAAACAATAATAGTAATAAAAATGTACTAAGGACTTGCATAGACATTTCTCCAAAGACGATATACAAATAGCCAACAACCATATGAAAAGACGCTCAATGTCACTAATCATCGAGGGAATGCAAATCAAACCAAAAGTGAGATATCATCTTATACCTGTTAGGATAACTATTATCAAAAAAACAAAAGACAAGTGTTGGTGAGTTCGTAGAGAAATTGGAACTTTCTACCCTGTTAATGAGATTGCGAAATGGTGCAGCCACTGTGGAAAACAGCATGAAGTTTCTTCAAAAAATTAAAAATAGAACTACCAGGCCGGGTGCAGTGGCTCATCCCTATAATCCCAGCACTTTGGGAGGCCAAGGTGCATGGATCATTTGAGGTCAGGAGTTCGACACCAGCCTGAGCAACATGGCGAAACCCCGTCTCTACTAAAAATACAAAATTAGCTGGTTGTGGTGGTGCCCAGCTGTAATCCCAGTCATTCGCGAAGCTAAGGCAGGAGAATCACTGGAAGCCAGGAGGCAGAGGTTGCAGTGAGCCAAGATTGCGTCACTGCCCTCCAGCCTGGGTGACAGAGCAAGACTGCATCTCAAAAAAAAAAAAAAAAAAAAAAAAAAAATAGAACTACCATATATGATTCAGCAACCCCACTTCTGGGTATATACCCAAAAAAATTGAATTCAGAATCTCAAGGACATATTAGCACACCTATGTTCCTTACAGCATTATTCACAATATCAAAGATGAGGAAGCAACCTAAATGTTCATCAGTGGAGGGATTAATATAGAAAATATGGTATATACATACAATGGAATATTATTCAGCCTTTAAAATAAAGGAAATTCTGGCCAGGCATGGTGGCTCACGCCTATAATTCCAGCACTTTGGGAGGCTGAGGTGGGAGGATCGCTTGAGCAATATAGTGAGAGCAAAAAATTAAAATATTAGCCAAGCATGGTGGTGTGCAGTCCTAGCTACTCAGGAGATTGAGGTGGGAGGATCATTTGAGCCCAGGAGGTTGAGGCTGTAGTGAGCCAACATCATACCATTGCACTCGATCCTGAAAGGCAAAGCAAGACCCTGTCTCAAAAGAAAAAAAAAAAAGGAAATTCTGCAACATGCAACAGCATGGATCAACTTTGAGGACATTATTGTAAGTGAAATGAGCTCCCACAAATGGACAAATACTGCTTGATTCCACTTGAGATGTCTGAAACAACCAAACTCGTTGAATCAGAAAGCAGAATGGTGGTTGCCTGTGGTTGGGGCAAGGGGAAAATGGGAATTTCATTTATGCAAGGTAAGTTCTAGAGATCTGCTGTACAACATTGTGCCTGTAGTTAACAATACTGTATTGTACTCTTAAATTTTTGTAGCCGGGCGTGGTCGCTCACGCCTGTAATCCCAGCACTTTGGGAGGCTGAGGTGGGTGGATCACCTGAGGTCAGGAGTTCAAGACCAGCCTGACAAACATGGAGAAACCCCTGTCTCTACTAAAAATACAAAATTAGCCTTGGCTTGGTGGCACATGCCTGTAATCCCAGCTACTGGAGAGGCTGAAGCAGGAGAATAGCTTGAACCTGGGAGGTGGAGGTTGTGGTGAGCCGAGATTGCGCCATTGCACTCCAGCCTGGGCAACAAGAGCAAAACTCCATCTCAAAAAAAAAAATTTTTTTTTTGTCAAGGGAGTAAATCTCATGGCAAGCTCTTTTTGCCTCAATACTTTTTTTAATCAAAAGAAAAATGGACTTACCTTTACTCTCTAGCAAAATATGTGATAATACTTGCACATTACATCAAATAACTACAACTTAAAATCTTTTCTTCCTCAATTCCAATAAATTCTGCTACTAGCCCCACAAATTAGGGCCCCACCAATCTAGTGTGTACAGGCACCACTGGAACTGCCAGAAAGGTTGGGCTCCCACCTCCAGCTCTAGACTGTCTTGAATTTCTGACCCCCCACCTCTGATTGACCTCAATTTCGAGTCCCAGGGGACTTCCCATTCCACCCACTAAGGAAGAGCTTTCTGACAGCGTAGGATGGCTCCTAGCAGCGACTGAGCGCCTAACTGATAGGACCTTATGGCTCGAGCACCTAACTGGTAGGCTGTTTTGGCTGGAAAGGCCAATCTGACTCCAGTAACTCTCCCTTTGTCCCAGAGAGATGCAGCCCACATTGACCCCTAGTAAAACCATCTGGAGCCGAAGAGATGTAGATCAAATGCAGCTATGAAGTAAGTCTCAGGATTGGAGGAATGGAGCAAACTGAAAAAGAAAGGGAGATCAGCAGAATCACATTAAGCAGAGCTTCTGAAGGGCAGATATTCCTGAAAATCCTGAAGGCAGAAACCTTGTCTTATCTCCATCTGCGACCCACCTCAAATCATGCTTCCACCCCTCCCCCAGAAAAACACAACCTTCACGGAAGAGTTTTGAAAAGATTTCCGGCAAGAAAATAATGTTACCAGAGACCGTTGAGGTCTTTTGTCTGGTCACCACTGGTTAAAATAAAGAAATCAGTAAACTTTTTATTGCTGTCAAAACATATGCTCATGTGCTCATTGGCCATTAACATATTCTGCTTTGGAAGTGCCTGTTCAGGTTTTTTGCTCATAACTCTAAAAGTGAAAGATAAATAAAGTTATGAGGGGGATAAAAAAGAATTGAATATTTATGTGAGCTTGGGGAAAGAAAAATTTCTTAGGGAGACACAAAAATAACTAAACCAAAGTTAAATAAATTGGACTTCATAAAAATTAACAATTTCTTCTTCTAATTATTATTTTTGAGACGGAGTCTTGCTGGGTTGCCCAGGCTGCAGTACAGTGGTGCGATCTCGGCTCACTGTAGCCTCTACCTCCCAGGTTCAAGCAGTTCTCCCGCCTCAGCCTCCCAAGTAGCTGGGATTATAGACATGTGCCACCAAAATTAACAATTTCATCACAAGAGATCATTAAACTGTTTCCCAGACTCAAGTGACAAGAAGATATATGCAATACAAATATCTGGCAAAGAACTCTTAAGTGATATATATGGATCAATGATAAAAAGATAGCACAATGAAATGTGCGCAGATGTGATTCAAAGGGAAGCTCTGCCAGGCGTGGTGGCTCATGCCTGTAATCCCAACACTCTGAGAGGCTGAGGCGGGAGGATCTCTTGAGCCCTTGAGTTCGAGACCAGCCTGGGCAATATAGTGAGACATTCCTTCCCCCGCCTTCAACAAAACATTAAAATTTTAGCCTGGCATGGTGGCATGAGCTTGTGGTCCCAGCTACTCTGGGGGCTGAGGTGGGAGAATTGCTTGAGCCCGGGGAGTCCAGGCAGCCGTGAGCCCTGATTGTGCCACTACACTCCAGCTTGGGCGACAGAGTGAGACCCTGTCTCAAAAACAAAAAGAAAACAAACAAAAAAACCCAAACAAACAAACAACAAACCCCAAAGGGAGTTCTGCTCCGTTTGATAAACCTTGAGAGCCTCACTCTTTCCTAATTGTGAAGAGTGGCGAACCAGGTAGGTGGGACCTGTGCCACCTGCGCCTCAGCCCAGGTCAGAAGCTGCGCAACTGTAGAGACCAAAGTTAGGGCCCCACAGCGATACTAGTTTTGCAACAATGTTCAGTGTTCACCTTTGGTGTTGACGTTTGTGTTGACGACTGGAGTCGAGTTTAGTGAAAGAAGAATTAACTAAGCTAAAGTGGAGAGAGAAGAAAAAAAACAATACTGGCAGGATATATTTCTGCCCAGTTTCAGGAGAGGATTTTTCTTGTGTGTGGCAAACGTGAGAACCACTACTCTGTGGAAACTACCGTACACCCAAGAGTCACCTCTAAAAATTAAAATGGAGGTTTCTTGGATGTCCTGTATTTAGTATTGTGAAATGTATTTTTTCCTTTAGAGCATTTTCATATTTGAGGCAAGTTTTTCCTTTCCTTGTATCTTCCATTTATCAAAACCAGCAATACCAAAACTCCACAACCCAAGACCCAGGAAGGGGTTTCCCCAGTGACCCAAATACTTCACAAATGCTGGGCCAGGTGAAGAAGGAAAGGTATTTTGACAGAGGAAATTTTTTTTTTTTTTTTTTTTTTTTTTTTTGAGACGGAGTCTCGCTCTGTCGCCTAGGCTGGAGTGCAGTGGTGCGATCTCGGCTCACTGCAACCTCCGCCTCCCGAGTTCAAGCAATTCTCCCAGATTCAAGCAATTCTCCTGTCGCAGCCTCCTGAGTAGCTGGGACTACAGGCACACGCCACCATGCCCAGCTAATTTTCGTGGAGTTTTTTTAGTAGAGGTGGCTTTTCGCTGTATTGGTCAGGCTGGTCTCGAACTCCTGACCTCAGGCGATCCACCTGTCTCGGCCTCCCAAAGTGCTGGGATTACAGGCATGAGACACCGCGCCGGACCGAGCAGAGGAAACTTTTAAAGTTGACTGACTTCTTTGCTATTAATAAACTTTAAACTTTTTTTTTTGCCTTTATGAAACCACTGCAAAATTATAACTGAGACAGTGAAAGAGATCTGACCTAACCATCTTTCTTCTAACCTCCAAGCTGTCCTTGTTCATTCCTGGATGTAGGCTGAACTAACTTTGGGAGGAACTTAGTTTATAGTTTATAGTTGTTTATAGTTTAGAACAAAGACCATAACGGCTTTTTCCCAAAAGAAACTCCCTTCTTGCCTGGGGACCAGTCGCCTGTGTAGGACTAACAAATTAGCTACAAGATTACAAATTATGGTTTAGGGGTCCGTCATGCATCCTCTGGCTGCAAGAATCTGAAGCTCCCCATATTGCTCCTGGGGATAACATCACTACTGTAAAACCTAATATCGGTGCTTGAGATATTTTGCAGACCCTACATTTGATGGATCAGCTACCACCACCCAGTTCTGCAATCCCACCCAGGAGCAGAAGACAGCAAGAAAACCTCACTTCGACCCCTGCTATAATTCCATCTCCAACCCGACCAATCAGCAAGCCCCTTACCCGCTAAATTATTTTTTAATTAATTTATTTATTTTTGTTTGTTTGAGACCAACTGTCGCTCTTGTTGCCCAGGCTGGAGTGCAATGGCACAATCTCGGCACAGTGAAACCTCCGCCTCCCGGGTTCAAGCGATTCTCCTGCCTCAGCCTCCCGAGTAGCTGGGATTACAGGCTCCCCTCCCGCCACTAAGCCCAGCTAATGTTTGTATTTTTAGTAGAAATGGGATTTCACCATGTTGGCCAGGCTGGTCTCCAACTCCTGACCTCAGATAATCTGCAAACCTTGGCCTCCCAAAGTCCTGGGATTACAGGTATGAGCCACCGCGCTCGACGCTAAATTATCTTTTAAAATTACCATCCCCCAGTGCTCCAATGCTCAGGGAGACGGATTTGAGAAATAATAAAACTCCGTTCTCCCACGCAGCTGGCTCTGAGTGAATTACTTTCTCCATTGCAATTTCCCTGTCTTGATAAATTGGCTCTGTCTAGGCAGCAGGCAAGGTGAACTCGTTGGGCAATTACATTTAGTGACCTGAAAAATTTTTTTTTAATAATCTCAATATTTTGTGATTTGGTCATTTCAGAGTAATGCAGCATTTCAGAGTAAAGCAGGAAAACCTGTTTCATAGAATCTTATAACAAATTCTTCTGCATGCGAGGAAGATCAGTGAATTTCTCAGTAATTCTGTTCCTAGAAAAAGCCTGGGCCCCAACTGTGGATGTTCCATTAGTGCAGACTCTATGCCTTTCTTCTTAGTTTGGTACAGTTTCAGATACAATAGTCCCTTTACTCATGGGGGATATATTCCAAGACCCCTAGTGGATGCTTGAGACTGCTGATAGTACTAAACCCTATAATAACTGTTTTTTTCTTCTATACACGCTGTGAAAGGAAAATAAATCTTAGAACCCTAAAATCACTAAGTCAACAGAAAAGTCAAGTTGGGAACTACACGCAAAACTGCCTCTCATTTTATTCCTAAACAAGATAGCTAAAAAGATAAAAGAGCCACACACCTCCCTCACAATTTGCCCACAAGGAAATTCCTTGTGGGCTTTAAGGTATTTATCCTAAAACAATTCTGTTGAATTTCACCCTGGCAATGTAAACTAATAGCTTACCTTCACAGGTGTGGGACAGAAAGTCATCCCTCTGGCCGGGTGCGGTTGTTCACGCCTATAATCCCAGCACTTTGGGAAGCCAAGGTGGGTGGATCACCTCAGGTCAGGAGTTCGAGACCAGCCTGGCCAACATGGCAAAACCCTGTCTCTGCTAAAAATACAAAAATTAGCCAGGCGTAGTGGCATGCGCCTGTAATCCTAGCTACTGAGGAGGCTGAGACAGGAGAATCGCTTGAACCCAGGAGGCGGAGGTTGTTGCAGTGAGCCAAGATCGCACCACTGCACTTTAGTCTGGGTGACAGAGTGAGACTCTGTCTCAAAAAAAAAAAAAAAAAAAAAAAAACTGTCCTCCCTCTGCTCACCTGAGACAAATGCATATCTGATTGTTTCCTCTGCCTTATTGTTTATGTAAAAATGCAGATTCACGGAGCCAGACTAAATTGTGTATTCAGTGAAAGGTTGATCAAGGACTTAAAGGAATGCAACCTTTGTCTTTTGTGTCTTTTCTGCCTGTGACCTGGAAGACCCCACCACCACTTTGAGTTGTCCAGTCCTACTGGATTGAACCAATGTACATCTTACACATACTGATTGATGTCTCATGTCTCCTTAAAATGTATAAAAGCAAGCTGTACCCTGACCACCTTGGGCACAGGTCGTCAGGACCTCCTGAGCCTGTGTAACAGGCGTATCCTTAACCTTAGCAAAATAAACTCTCTAAATTGGTTGGGATCTGTCTCAGATATTTTGGGTTTACAACACATACCTATAATGGTTTAATTGATAAAATAGCCAGGGTAAATAACAGCAACTAATAATAAAATATAACAATTATAACAATATACTGTAATGAAAGTTACATGAATGTGGTCCTCCTCTTTTTCCCTATATCAAGCTTTTTTTTTTTTTATTGTTGCTCTTTGGTTTTGTTGTTAAAACAAGTAATTTACAACCATTTGGTTGGAGAGTTTATTAAAAAACTCAGTGAGGCACTACAGGTAGATTACAGAAGGTGGATATTAGGAGTTAGGGAATCATCTGCTTTATTACAGTGAAATTTAAAGTGACAATGCTGGTTTAGCACACTTTTTTTTTTTTTTGGCAGAGTCTCACTCTGTTGCCCAGGCTGGAGTGCAGTGGCACAATCTTGGCTCACTACAACCTCCTCCTCCAAGATTCAAGCAATTCTCATACCTCAGCCTCCCAAGTAGCTGGGACTACAGGTGCGTGCCACCACGCCCAGCTAATTTTTGTAATTTTGTAGAGATGGGGGTTTCGCCATGTTGGCCAAGCTGGTCTTGAACTCCTGACCTCAAGTAATCCACCCGCCTCGGCCTCCCAGAGTGTTGGGATTACAGACCTGAGCCACTGTGGCGTCCAGCCTAGCACACTCTTAAGTTTAAGAAAGAAATCAGTTTCTCTGTTATTGATCAGTTCAGTTGATTGGCACATCTTACCAATAATGCCGACATCTGGCATTGAGTACCCATAGAGGCCAGGCCAGTATCTAATTTTTTATTATTTATTGATTTATTTATTTTAACACTTAACAGTTTCTAAGTATCCACTTGAAATTGCCTCTTACCTATTTTGTGAAAAATTCTCTCTGCACTTAGGGGTAAAGGGCAGACAATAGAATATTAGTTATTCACTTGGCTCAAAGCATGGCCCTGTTTCTTTTTTTATTTTTTTCTCACGGGTCTGTGTCCTAAGCATTGCTTATTTTTAGAAACTCCTGAGGAAAATCTCTTTGCGAAGAACCTGCACAAGTGGCTTTGGAAATTTCAAGGAAGCCAGTCTCGCCTGCACAGTATAGCGGGGTCCTGCACCACGAGAGCTTGCTTTGGGCCCTAGAACCTACAGGCCATGCAGAGCATAAGGGGAGGGAGCTGGGACAGCGACATGCTGGGGCGCGGGAAGATGGGGCGATGTGGGCCTCGCCGCGGCTCAGGACAAAGGAGGGAGCAAAAATGTTCCTGAGGTGGCTCAAATAAAAAAAAAGGAAGATATAAGATCCTTTGATTTAGGTGCTTGTTCATATACAAAAGTCCTATCTGGTTCAAATAGAGACTCTCAGGATCAGGAACAAGACGTAAGAAGGGTAACCACTTGTTTCCGCCTGGTTTTGATCCAGGGACCTTTCGCGTGTTAGGCGAACGTGATAACCACTACACTACGGAAACAACCCTGCTGGTGGGAGTGAGAATTGAAGCACCTAGGGTGAGACAATCCAGGTTTGGCTGTAGAAAATCTATATTTTTTACTCAGATTTTTTTTTTCTGGTAGTTTCTTTCCATATCTTTCAGACTTTCCACTTATTGAAATCAAAGATATCACATCCTGACAGTTGTTATTTGCCTACCACAAATTGGTACATATATTCACCAAATATATTTACCAGAATGCCCAGTAACCTATTCAGAATAATAAAAACTACTGGAAACTTCCCAAGCACCCATCAGCAGATGCAGGAATGAACTCACATGAAATAATCTATTGCAACAAGAATGAACAATCTACAACTATGTGGATGAATCTCACAGAGATGTCGACTAAAGTAAACCAGACAGAAAAGGACGTACTCTGTGGCTCCACTGATTTAAATTATAAAGCAGGCAACATTCCGCTGTCCAGCCAGAAGTCACAATAGTACTTCCATCTGGGGAGAGTGGGTCGTAACTGAAAAGGAACTGGAAATGCTCTGGTTTCCCAGGTGTGTTCCTTTTGTGTGTACTGAAGGGGTGTGTGTGTGTGTGTGTGTGTGTGTGCCTGTAAGAGGCGGGGAGGGTGGGAGAGAGAGGCGGAGACAGAGAAGGAGGGAGGGAGAGGGAGAGAGAGGGAGAGAGAGGGAGAGATTGAGAGAGAGGTGCACAGGAATAGACGGATAAATTGAAGAAGTAATACGCTTATGCAATTGTGGAGACTGGTTAGAAAGTGCTAAATCCATAGGGCAGGCTGTAATAAAAGGCCATCAGAAAAGGCAGGCTGAAAACAATACAGACGATTCAATAAAACCAGAAGTTCTTTGAAAAGTTGTCTACATTGTCTATATTGTCAGCAAACTTGACTTTTAGCTAGACTGACTAAGGAAAAACAAAAAAAAGACAAGAGACTCAAATTATTAAAATTGGAAGCGAAAGCGGTGATATTATCACTGAATTTACAAAAATAAAAAGAATTATAAGAGTACACTATGAAAAATTGTATGCCAGCAAATTGGATGACCTAGATTAAATGAACAAACTCCTAGTAACACACAATCTACAAAGATTGAATCATAGAGAATTATAAATCTGAATAGACCTATAACTAGTAAGGATATTGAAGCAGTAATCAAAAACCTACCGTGAAAAAAAGCCCTGGACCAGCTGGCTTAACTGATGAATTCTATCAAACATTTAAATACTTAAGCAGTCCATCTCACACTTTTCCACAAAACTGAAGAGTAGGAAACACTTCCTAACTCATTTTATGAAGCTAGCATTATTCTGATACCAAAGCCAGACAAAGCCATTACAAAAAAGAAAGCTACAGGCCAATATTTTTTTATGAATATTGATGCTAAATTCCTCAACAAAATACTGGCAAACTAAATTCAACAACATATTAAAAGGATTATACACCATAGCAAAGTAGGATTTATTCCTGAAATGGAAGGATTCAGCATATAAAACAAGTAATTAATATAATGTATACATAAACAGAATGAAAGAAAAAACACAGTTCTTTGCATTAATGCAAAAAAGCATTTGACAAACTTCAAACACCTTCATGATGATGAAGGGCTTGCCAATGTGCTGGGGGTTGCCACCTTCAAAAGGATGCTCCACAGGGTTCATGGCCACACCCCGTACTCGTGGCCTACAGTTCCTCTTTGCCTTATATTTGTGGTAGGCCCGGCCAGCCTTCAAGATGGATGCCCCTGCTGGCCGCAAAGTGGGTCTCATTGCTCCCCGCCGGACTGGACGTCTCCGGGGAACGAAGACTGTGCAGGAGAAAGAGAGCTAGTGCTGAGGGGCTCAATAAAGTTTGTCTTTATGCAAAAATAAAAGAAAAGCCCCTGTCCCTCTGCCTCTGCCCCTGCCCCTGCCTCTGCCTCTGCCACTGCCTCTCCACGGTCTCCCTCTGATGCCGACCCAAGGCTGGACTGTACTGCAACCATCTCGACTCACTGCAACCTCCCTGCCTGATTCTCCTGCCTCAGCCTGCCGAGTGCCTGGGATTGCAGGCGCGCGCCGCCACGCCTGACTGGTTTTCGTATTTTTTGGTGGAGACGGGGTTTCGCCGTGCTGGCCGGGCTGGTCTCCAGCTCCTGACCGCGAGTGATCTGCCAGCCTCGGCCTCCCGAGGTGCCGGGATTGCAGACGGAGTCTCGCTCACTCAGTGCTCAGTGTTGCCCAGGCTGGACTGCAGTGGCGTGATCTCGGCTCGCTACAACCTCCACCTCCCAGCCGCCTGTCTTGGCCTCCCAAAGTGCCGAGTTTGCAGCCTCTGCCCGGCCGCCACCCCGTCTAGGAAGTGAGGAGCGTCTCTGCCTGGCCGCCCATCGTCTGGGATGTGAGGAGCCCCTCTGCCCGGCCGCCCAGTCTGGGAAGTGCGGAGCGCCTCTTCCCTGCCGTCATCCCGTCTAGGAAGTGAGGAGCGTCTCTGCCCGGCCGCCCATCGTCTGGGATGTGGGGAGCGCCTCTGCCCCGCCGCCCCGTCCGAGATGTGAAGAGCGCCTCTGCCCGGCCGCGACCCCGTCTGGGAACTGAGGAGTGTCTCTGCCCCACCACCACCCCGTCTGGGAGGTGAGGAGCGTCTCTGACCGGCCGCCCCGCCTGAGAAGTGAGGAGCCCCTCCGCTCAACAGCCGCCCCGTCTGGGAAGTGAGGAGTGTCTCCGCCCGGCAGCCGCCCCGTCCGGGAGGTGGGGGGCAGCCCCCGCCCGGCCAGGCGCCTCGTCCGGGAGGTGGGGGGCAGCCCCCGCCCGGCCAGCCGCCCCGTCCGGGAGGTGGGTGGGGGGCGCCTCTGCCCGGCCGCCCCGTCTGGGAAGTGAGGAGCCCCTCTGCCCGGCCGCCACGCCGTCTGGGAGGTGTACCCAATAGCTCATTGAGAACGGGCCATGATGACGATGGCGGTTTTGTCGAATAGAAAAGGCGGAAATGTGGGGAAAACAGAGACCAGATTGTTACTGTGTCTGTGTAGAGAGAAGTAGACATAGGAGACTCCATTTTGTTCTGTACTAAGAAAAATTCTTCTGCCTTGGGATGCTGTTAATCTATAACCTTACCCCCAACCCCGTGCTCTCTGAAACATGTGCTGTGTCCACTAAGGGTTAAACGGATTAAGGGCGGTGCAAGATGTGCTTTGTTAAACAGATGCTTGAAGGCAGCATACTCGTTAAGAGTCATCACCACTCCCTAATCGCAAGTACCCAGGGACACAAACAGTGCGGAAGGCGGCAGGGCCCTCTGCCTAGGAAAACCAGAGACCTTTGTTCACATGTTTATCTGCTGACCTTCTCTCCACTATTGTCCTATGACCCTGCCAAATCCCCCTCTCCGAGAAACACCCAAGAATGATCAATGAATACTAAAAAAAAAAAGAAAAAGAAAAAAGAAAGAAAAAGAAAAAGAAGAACAAAGTTGGAGGCTTCATACTTCCTGACCTCAACATTTACTTTAAAGCTACAGTAATCAAAACAGTATGGTACTGGCATAAGGAGAGACATACAGACACAAGCGAATAGAGGGCCCAGAAATAAACTATGGCTTATATGGCCAACTGATTTGTGACAAGGGTGCCAGGGCCATTTAATGGAGAAAGAACAGACTTTTCAACAAATGGTGCTGGGAAAACTGGATATCTACATGCAAAAGAATGAAGTTGGATGTTTACCTTATAATACAGGGAAAAACTAACTTAAAAACAGATCAAAGACCTAAACATAGGTGCTAAAAACCTTAAAATTCTTAGATGAAAACATTGGAGAAAATCTTCATGACATATGGCAATGATTTTTTGGATATCATACCAAAAGCACAGAGAACAATGACAAAAATAGATAAATTAGACTTCATCAAATTGATAACATTTGTAGGCTGGGCACGGTGGCTCACTTCTGTAATCCCAGCACTTTGGGAGCCCAAGGCGGGTGGATCACCTGAGGTCAGGCGCTCAAGATCAGCCTGACCAATATGGTGACACCCCATCTCTACTAAAATTACAAAAATTAGCCAGGCGTGGTGTCGTGTGCCTGTAGTCCCAGCTACTTGGGAGGCTGAGGCAGGAGAATCACTTGAACCCGAGAGGCGGAGGTTCAAGTGAGCCAAGATCGTGCCACTGCACTCTAGCCTGGGCGACAGAGCGAGACTCTTGTCTCAAAAAATAAATAAATAAATAAATAATAAAAATAAAATAAAAACATTTATAGTCAGGACACTGTTTAGTCAGATTTTATTGAATTATTTATTGAATTAGGACACTATCAAAAGAGTGAAAAGACAATCCATGGAATAGAAGAAAATATTTGTGAAGCATATGTCTGACAAAGAATTAATATCCAGAATATGTAAAGAACTACTACAACTCAACAACAACAACACAACCCAGTTCAAATTGGGCAAAGGACTTGGATCATTTCTCCAAAGAAGATACAAGCACAAATAGCCAATAAGCACATAAAGAAATGCTCAACTTCACTAACCATTAGGAAAATGCGAATCAAAACCACAGTGAGATAGCATCTGAGGTCCCTTAGGATGGCTATTAGAAAAAAAGAAAAAGAAAACAAAAAGCAAAATAAATACCAGCAAGGATATGGAAAATTATTATTCTGGTGCATTGCTGGTGGGAATGTAAAATAGTACAGCCACTGTAGAAAACAGTATGGCAGTTTCTAAAAAAATTAAACATATTATTACCATACGGTCCAACAATTCCACTTCTAGGTGTTTATCTAAACGAATTGAAAGCAGAAGCTCAGCCGGGCCCTGTGGCTCACGCCTGTAATCCCAGCACTTTGGGAGGCCGAGGTGGGCAGATCACGAGGTCAGGAGAGTCAGGAGATCGAGACCATCCTGGCTAACATGGTGAAACCCCGTCTCTACTAAAAATACAAAAAAATTAGCCGGGCGTGGTGGCGGGCTTCTGTAGTCCCAGCTACTCGGGAGGCTGAGGCAGGAGAATGGCATGAACCCGGGTGGCGGAGCTTGCATTAACCCAAGATCAGGCCACTGCATTCCAGCCTGGGTGACAGAGCGAGACTCCGTCTCAAAAAAAAAAAAAAAAAAAAAAAGAAAGCAAAAGCTCAGATACTTGCACGCCAGTTGTTCCCAGCAGCATTATTCACAATAGTCAAAAGATGGGGCTGGGCATGCTGGGTCACATCTGTAATTCCAGCAGTTTGGGAGGCTGAGGCTGAAGGAACCCTTGAGGCAAGGAGTTCAAGACAGGATTGGGCAAAATGCAAGACCGCTACTTCTACAAAAAAAATTTAAAATTAGCTGCCATTGCACTCCAGCCTGGTGACAGTGTGAGACCTTTTCATCCCCTCCCCCCCAAAAAAGATAGATTTAACCCAATGTCCATTGACAGATAAATGTGTGATATATACATGCAATGGGATATACTTAAGCCTTAGAAAAAATGAAATTCTCATAAATACCATGACGTGAATGAACTTTGAGGACATTAAACTAAGTGAAAAAAGCCAAACAGGACAAGTATTGTATAATCCACTTCTATTAGATACATAAAAGCACAAGCAAAATTTATAGAGATAGACAATGGGTACCAAGGGCTGAAGGGGAGCAGATGGGGAGTTTTTGTTTAATGGTTATAGAGTTTCAGTTTGGGATGCTAAAAAAGTTCTGGAGATGGATGATGGTGATGGTTCCACCACACTGAATTTATTTAATTTTACCAAAATGTACTCTTAAAATGATAAAAATGGCAAATTTTATATTATGCATGTTTTACCACAATTTAAAAAATGCCATGGGGGAAAATATGCATAAGGATATAAAGTAAGTGATCTAGAAGAGAAATGTTAAAAATATACAAAACAAAAGCTAATCCTATGTTTAGTTTTTTACCTGGTGTGGCTATATTAACTTTACTATTTGTTTGTTTATTTTTATTTATTTATTTTTTGAGATGGAGTCTCACACCGTCACCCATACTGGAGTTTAGTGGCATGATCTCAGCTCACTGCAACTTCCATCTCCCAGGTTCAAGCGATTCTCCTGCCTCAGCCTCCAGAGTAGCTGGGATTCCAGGCGTGCACCACCATGCCCAGCTAATTTTTGTATTTTTAGTAGAGACAGGGTTTCACCATGTTGGCCAGCTGGGTTTCAAATTCCTGACATCAAGTGGTCCTCCTGCCTCCACCTCCCCAAGTTATAGGATCACACCTATAATCCAAAGTGGGATTATAGGTGTGAGCCACCACATCCGGCCAACATTTTTTAAAATGTAGAATTTAAGACAAGAAGCATTACCACAGAGATATTTCATAACAATAAGGTATGCATTTTATAGTAATAGGAGACATTTTATAAAAGAGAAACATAAACATTCTAAATGTGTATGCATCCAATAACATGGTTTCAAAATATATAGACCAAAAATGATGTGAAAACTTATGTCCACACAAAAATCTGTATACAATTGTTAATAGCAGCTTTATTTGTAATAGCAAAACACTGGAAAGCATCAAAATGTCTTTCAGTATGTGAATGGTTAAATAAACAGTTGTCCATCCATACCATGGAATACTCAACAATAAAAAGTCAGGAGCTATTGATATCATGAGTTGGACGGATCTTGAGGGAACTAGGCTGTGGAAAAGGCCAATCTTTAAAGGTCATCTATTATATGATTCTATTTCTATAACATTCTCAAAACAAAAAAGAATGGTAGAATTTTTGTCAAGGCCGGGCACAGTGGCTTACGTCTGTAATCCGAGAACTGTGGGAGGCCGAGGCGAGAGGATCACTTGAAGTCAGGAGTTTGAGACCAGCCTAGCCAACATGGTGAAACCTCATCTCTACTAAAAATAGAAAAAGTAGCCAGGCCTGGCAACTGACACCTGTAATCCCAGCTACTCGGGAGGCAGAGGCAGAGGCAGGAGAATCACTTGAACGCGGGAGGCAGAGGTTGCAGTGAGCCGAGATTGCACTCCAGCCTGGGTGACAGAGCGAGACTCTATCTTAAACAAAAAAAAAAAAAAGAATTTTTGTTAAGAGGAGAGGTAAGTTGGTATGACTAATTAAGGGGTGGCATTAACAGGGAGATATTTATGGTGCTGGAATTGTTTTAGTGTCTTGTTTCCAGTGTTAGGTACACAAACCTACACATGTGATAAAAATGATTTAGAACCATACACACATGTCATACCAATATTAAATTCCTGTGTTCGATATTGTGTTATATAAGAAGTAACCATTGGGCTGGCACATTGAGTGGCTCACCCATGTAATCCCAGCACTTTGGGAGGCTGAGATGGGTGGATCACCTGAGGTCAGGAATTTAAGATTAGCTAGGCCAACATGGCGAAACCTTGTCTCTACTTAAAATACAAAAATTAGCCTGGTGTGCTGGTGGGTGCCCGTAATCCCAGCTACTCCGGAGCCTGAGGCAGGAGAATCGCTTGAACCCAAGAGGGGAGGTTGCAGTGAGCCGAGATCACGCCACTGGACTCCCTCCTGGGCGACAGAGCGAGACTCCGTCTCAAAAAAAAAAAAAAAAAAAAAAAAAGAAGTAATCATTGTAGGAAACTGGGTTAAGGGTACAGGGGAGTTCTCTACTTTCTTTGTAACTCCTTGTTAATCTATAATAATTTCAAAATTAAAAGTTAAGATGACCTGATGGTTCACAGGAACTAAATAGTGAAAAGAAAAACAGGCTGGGCACGGTGGCTCACGCCTGTAATCCCAGCACTTTGGGAGGCCGAGGCGGGCGGATCATGAGGTCAGGAGATTGAGACCATCCTGGCTAACACGGTGAAACCCCCGTCTCTACTAAAAATACAAAAAATTAGCCGGGCGTGGTGACGGGCACCTGTAGTCCCAGCTACTCAGGAGGCTGAGGCAGGAGAATGGCGTGAACCCGGGAGGCGGAGCTAGCAGTGAGCCGAGACCGCGCTACTGCACTCCAGCCTGGGCAACAGAGTAAGACTCCGTCTCAAAAAAAAAAAAAAAAGAAAGAAAAAAAGAAAACAACAAAACCACGATGGAACTAAAAATAGGAAAATCCACACTCATGGCTGAAGGTTTTCCATACTTCCTGTGAGGTCACAGGGCAAACCACTGCCCCCAAAATTGGAGAGACAGAAAGGCAAATACGGAGTACTACAACTTACCAGACCGGAAACCCAAAGAGCAAAATCCTCCACCTGAATCAGTGCTAGAGGAGGGACACCTGAGCTGTAATTAAGAAACTGCTTGAGGCTTTCTGTGGACAAATCTCAGGGAAAAACCTCCAGCTACAAATTTGTGAATTTTATCTCAGGAGCTCAACCAAGTTCTCACAATGAGGGAGAAAAATCTCCTCTGGTAGCGGGTAGGGCAAGAACCAGTTTGCAACAGGCCAGATCATTCTGTTCTTTTTTTTTTTTTTTTTTTTTTTTTTAGGACGGAGTCTCGCTCTATCGCCCAGACTGGCGTGCAGCGGCGCGATCTCAGCTTACTGCAACCTCCGCCTCCTGGGTTTTAAGCAGTTCTCTCTGCCTCAGCCTCCTGAGCAGCTGGGATCACAGGCGCCTGCCACCACGCCCGGCTGATTTTTGTATCTTTAGTAGAGACGGGGTTTCGCCATGTTGGCCAAGCTGATCTTGAACTCCTGATCTCAGGTGATCCACCTGCCTCGGCCTCCCAAAGCGCTGGGATTACAGGCTTGAGCCACCGCGCCCGGCCCATTCTGTTCTTAACAAGGTCTGCCCTCAGAAGAAACCATTTAATCTCGATCTAACCTGCTGGGGTTTTATCAAGAGCCCGATGGATCTGCGGGAAGGGAAATAACCAACTCCAGCCCACTCTAGCCATCCAGTACCACCGAAAGTGGGGAAAAACCTAAAAAGCATGTTTAAAGCTCACAGTCCACTGATACAGGCTCACTAATAGACTGAGACCTACTTGTGGGACTACAGAATGCTTTTCTCCCTCCACACTTTGCCACCACATTACTAAAGGCCTGCTTATAGCAGCTCATTTTATCCAGCACAGCATGTCCTGCTATCAAGAAAAACATAAGATATAAAAAAAGACAAAATACACAGTTTAAAGAGAGAGAGCAAACATCAGAACCAGACTCGGATATGACAGGGATGTTGGAATTCTCAAACCAGGAATTTGAAACAACTGATTAAGATGCTAAGAATAAGATGACAGCATACAAGAACACATGGGCAATGTAAGCAGAGAGATGGAAATTCTAAGAAAGAACCAAAAAGACATGCTAGTGATCAAAAACACTATAACACCAAGACAATGAAAATACAAGCTGCAGACTGAGAGAAAATACATGCAAAAGACCTATCGGATAAAGTACTGTTATTCAAAATACACAAAGAGCTCTTAAAACTCATCAGTAAGAACACAAACAACCCCATGAAAAAATGGCCAAAGACCTTAACAGTCACTTCACCAAAGAAGATATACAGATGATTAATATGCATATGAAAAGATGGTCCACAGCATATGTTTAGGGAAATTCAAATTTTAAAAAAATGAGATAACACAACATACCTATTAAAATGGCCGAAATCCAGAACACTGACAACACCAAATGCTGATGAGGATGTGGAGCGACACCAACTCTCATTCATTGCTGGTGGAAATGCAAAATTGTACCATCTCTTTGAAAGACAATTTGGCAGTTTCTTTAAAAGCTAAATATACTTTTACCATAACATTCAGCAATTGCACTCCTTAATATTTACCCAAAGAATTAAAGAGCTTAAGTCCACAAAAAACCTGCACATGAGTGTTTATAACAACTTTATTCATAATTTTCAAAACTTGGAAGCAACCAAGCTGTCCTTCAATAGGTGAATAGATGAACAAACTGTGGTATATCCATACAATGAAATATTGTTCAATGACAAAAAGAAATCAGCTATAAAGTCATTAAAAGACATAGAGGAACTTTACATGCATTTTTTTTATTTTGTATTTTGTTGTTGTTGTTGTTGTTTTTGAGACAGAGTCTCTGTTGCCCAGGCTAGAGTGCAATGGCACGATCTCGGCTCACTGCAACCTCCACCTCCCGGGTTCAAGCTATTCTCATGTCTCAGCCTCCCTAGTAGCTGGGATTACAGGCGCCCACCACCGCGCCCAGCTAGTTTTTGTATTTTTAGTAGAGACGGGGTTTCACCATGTTGGTCAGGTTGGTCTCGAACTCCCGACCTCAGGTGATCCGCCCGCCTCGGCCTCCCCAAGTGCTGGGATTACAGGCGTGAGCCACGGCGCCTAGCTACGTGCATATTTTGTTTGTTTGTTTTTTGTCTTTTATTTTCAAGACGGAGTCTTGCTCTGTTGCCCAGGCTGGAATACAGTGGCACGATCTCGGCTCACTGCAACCTCTGCCTCCCGGGTTCAAGCAATTCTCCTGCCTCAGCCTCCCGAGTAGCTGGGATTATAGGCACCGGCCACCACGCCCAGCTAATTTTTGTTTTTTCAATAGAGACGGGTTCCTCCATGTTGGCCAGGCTGGTCTCAAACTCCGCCCACCTTGGCCTCCCAACGTGCTGGGATTACAGGCATGAGCCACTGTGCCTGGTCGATATTGTATTAATATTGATTCATTCATTGTAACCACTGTACCACATTAATGCAAGATGTTAATGTTAAAAACACTTTGCACACTAGCTCAAAATGAAGTTAGGGAAGGGATTATATGGGAATTCTGTATTTTCTGCACAATTTTTATATACATCTAAAAATGGTCTAAAATATAAAGTTTATTTAAAAAGGTAAACATGGCCTGGCATGGTGGCTCAAGCCTGTAATTTCAAAAGCCAGCACTTTGGGAGGCCAAGGTGGGAGGATCACTTAAGGCCAGGAGTTCCAGACTAGCCTGGGCAACGTAGTGAGACCCTGTCTCTACAAAAATTTAAAAAATTAGCAAGACATAGTGGGACTACACATCTGTAGTCCCAGCCACTCAAGAGGTTGAGGTGGGAGGATTGCTTGAACCCAAGAGTTCAAGGTTGCAGAGAGCTACACTTCAGCTTGGGAAACAGAGACCCTGTCTCAAGAAAGGAAAAGAATAATAATAATAATAATAATAATAATAATAATAATAAAAGTAAACACAATTTCTTAGAGCTGCTAGCAGCTGTAGTTAAAAAAAAAAAAAAAAGAAAAGAAAAGAAAAAAGGCGGCCGGGTGCAGTGTCTCAAGCCTGTAGTCTCAGCACTTTGGGAGGCCAAGGCAGGCTGATCACCTGAGGTCAGGAGTTTGAGACCAGCCTTGCCAACATGGTGAAACCCCATCTCTACAAAAATACAAAAATTAGCTAGGTGTGGTGGTGGGCACCTGTAATCCCAGCTACCTGGGAGGCTGAGGCAGGAGAATTGCTTGAACACGGGAGGCGCAGGCTGCAGTGAGCTGAGATGGCGCCACTGCACTCCAGCTTGGCGGACAAAGCAAGACTCCATCTCAAAGAAAGAAAAAAAAAAGGTAAACATAGGCGGATAGGGGATAACATAATTGTAAATGACCTTAGCTGTTTAAAACATGGACTTCAATTATCTTAAATTATCAAGGAATTAGAAGAGCTACTCCTAATAGTTAAATTCTGCCATTTTTTAAAGGTAATTAACTGAATTGTTATCACAGTGGCAAAGCATGAGAGGTAATTAACTGAATTATTAGCACAGTGGCAAAGCATGAGAGGTAATTAACTGAATTGTTAGCACAGTGGCAAAGCGTGAGAGCTTTTGAAAGGGGTTGAGGCGTGGATTTAGATTTATCCATAATACCAAGTTAAACAAAAGCCACCAACAAAACCAAACCAAGGGAGCCCTCAAAGAATCAAAATCAAATCCTTACTGTGCTACCACAGACAGATGCCTGTAGCTCAGGGGTCAGGAGCTGGCCTCAGTGTGAAATCCCCAAGTTGCCAGTCAGGGGAGGACCAGAACAAGCTAGAGAGGATTTAGTGCCTGAGTGAAGAAGATGGATGTCTGAGGGAGGCTTTCACTCCTTTGTGACTCACAGCACTAACACAAAGACCAAACTCGGTAAGTGAGGAGGTTGATTTCTGTCTTTGGTTATTACAACTGGGAGAGCACTCTGGATCTGAAGATCAGAGTGTACTCTGCAGGATGGTTTTGCTTAGACTTTTATAAAGAGAGGTAGATAGTAAAAAAGATCAGTGGTTGCCAGGGAGTTGGGGAAGGTGTGGTACAAATAGGTGGAGGAAGGTGAGGTAAAAATATAACTTCAAAAGTTATAGGTGACGTTATTTACATTTGGAATTACTTGTGAGGATGATTATATGCTGAGTCCTGTGAGCCCTTCTAGCCAATCATTGAACCTAGGAGTGAGTCTTGGAGACCTGCAACACAGAGACAAACAGTTCTAATTTTAGCTAATCACTCATGAAACAGAGAACTGGATTGGCTAGGAAATAAAAGGGAACGGTCTGCCTATCAGCAGGTTCAGGCAAAAGGGGAAGGTTTGTGTCCGGGCGTGGTGGCTCACGCCTGTAATCCCAGCACTTTGGGAGGCCGACGCGGATGGATCATGAGGTCAGGAGATCGAGACCATCCTGGCTAACACGGTGAAACCCCCGTCTCTACTAAAAATACAAAAAGTTAGCCGGGCGTGGTGCGGGCGCCTATAGTCTCAGCTACTCGGGAGGCTGAGGCAGGAGAATGGCGTGAACCCTGGAGGCGGAGCTTGCAGTGAGCCGAGATCGCGCCACTGCACTGCAGGACTGGGAGAGTGGGAGAGAGAGCGAGACTCCGTCCCAAAAAAAAAAAAAAAAAAAAAAAGAGGAAGGTTGTGTTTGGCTTTGTCAATAACTAAATAGTATAAAGTTTTACATTACGTAGGAGGTAAGGTTTGTCGACTTCAACTATCTCATGTATTTTAATATAGTATATGCCAAATTATTATTCTTTTAATTATCCAAATAATGGCTATTTTCTGAATATAAATATTCTACACAATACAGGAAAAACAGCAAAAATATCTCCTCACCTGCAATGCCACTCCCTTTCTCAGAAATAATTACTATTCCTAGATTAGTGTGTTTAGCCTTATATTAGGTAGAATTTGCCAAAAAGAAATGTATATTCTCAAGTAAATATATGTGCATAATACTTCATTTTTCCTAAAACTCAATACTTCCGGCCAGGCGTGGTGGCTCACGCCTGTAATACCAGCACTTTGGGAGACGAGGCGGGCGGATCACCTGAGGTCGGGAGTTCGAGACCAGCCTGACCAACATGGAGAAACCCCATCTGTACTAAAAATACAAAAAAAAAAAAAAAAAAAAAAAATCTTGGCGTGGTACCGCATGTCTGTAATCTCAGCTACTTGGGAGGCTGAGGCAGGAGAATCGCTTGAACCCGGGAGGGGGAGGTTGCGGTGAGCCAAGATCGCGCCATTGCACTCCAGCCTGGGCAACAAGAGCAAAACTGTCTCAGAAAAACAAAAAAAAAAAAAAAAAGAAAAAAAAAAGAAAAGAAATTATCCCAGATGGTGGTGTCTGGTGGTGTCTTCAATTCTAGGAAGCATCCCATTTCAGCAGGAAGTTTTGAATCACAAAATCCCTATGCCCATCCAATTAATTTCCTAAGGAACCACATATGTTTTACTTTCTCTGAAATATAGCACCCAGAAGGGAAACTAGGAGGGTGTTCATGAAGGGCGATTTGAAAGCAACTGACAAAAAAAAAAAAAAAAAAAAAAAAAAAAAAAGAATAAAAAAAAAAACCAACTCATTCCTTATAGATGGCCGAAATAGCTCAATTGGGAGAGTGTTAGACTGAAGATCTTCTGCAGGTCTCTGGTTCAATTCCGGGTTTCGACAGCTGTTTCCGGACTCTTTTGTACATGTCGACTCTGCTAAATTAATGTTTGGCCGCGTTAACTGTGTAATACTGGCCCTCCACCAAATGTCAGCCATCTACCAATATGTAAGTCCATATTGACATTTAATTTATATGGTAAGGGAATACATGCATTTGCCTTTATAATGAAAAGGGCTCTTGTAAGTCATTTCACAAAACGCAGTTCCACGCCCATAAACATGAGCTCCTCCACAGGTTTTAGTAATTCGTTGAGGGGAAGAAAGCAATCTTATTCAGTACCTCATTCAGTGTGCACTTACATGTTTTTTTGCTTGTTTGTTTTTCAGATGGAGTCTCGCTCTGTCGCCCAGGTTGGAGTGCAGTGGCGTGATCTCGGCTCACTGCAACCTCCGTCTGTTGGGTTCAAGCAATTTTTTTGTATTTTTAGTAGAGACGGGGTTTCACCATGTTGGCTAGGATGGTCTCGGTCACCTGACCTCGTGATCCCCTCACCTCGGCCTCCCAAAGCGTTGGGATTACAGGCGTGAGCCACCATGCCCGGCCACACTTACATGTCATGATGTTATGAAACACATAAGAATCAGGGCATAAGCACTTTTTTTTTTTTTAAGACGGAGTATCGCCCAGGCTGGAGTAGCCCAGGCTGGAGTGCGGTGGCTTGATCTCGGCTTACTGCAAACTCCGCCTCCCGGATTCAAGCGATTCTCCTGCCTCAGCCTCCCGAGTAACTGGGATTACAGGGGCCCTCCGCCACACCAGGCTAATTTTTGTATTTTTTTAGTAGAGACGGGGTTTCGCCTTGTTGGCCAGGCTGGTCTCAAACTCCTGACCTTAGGTGATCTGCCCGCCTCGGCCTCCCAAGGTGCTGGGATTACCGGAGTGAGTCACGGCGCCTGGCCAAGCACTTTCAGTTCTATGCTTAACTCCCTGTGTTTCTACTTTCACTCAGAATTTGGTCTGTTAAATCCTTAAATTATTATCAGCACTTTGAATTTTTTTAGAAGCTTTGCTTGTTTTGTACAGCATTTTAGTTGTTTTCAGTTGCAGGGACAGTCCCAGTGCATAGCTAGTCATTTTTACTGTGCAGAGACGCAAGAGAGGACATATTAAAAATAACCTGAATTTTAGTAATACTAAGGCTATATGTGATTACACACACACACACACACACACACACACATATATGCGCATATATATATTCACATTGTAAAATAAATGAGCTGGGCACAGTGGCAGGTGCGGGAGCACAGTGGCCCCAGATACTTGGGAGGCTCAGGCGAGAGGATCACTTGGTTCTATAAATCAAGGCCAGCCTGGACAACACGGTGAGGTCATCCACATTTCTTTAAAAAAAAATTGTTAGTATTGATTCAGTATTTTTCCTGAGGCAGTCTTAGAAAATTAAAATAACCTAATCTGGAATATAACATAAATATTTTGAAATTATCTTACATGGTCAAGATCGGTGGCTCATGCCGGTAATCCCAACACTTTGGAAGGCTGAGGCGGCCGGATCACCTGAGGTCAGGAGTTCGATAGCGGCCTGGACAACATGGTGAAACCCCGTCTCTACTAAAAATACAAAAAATAGACGGGTGTGGTGGCGGGCGCCTGTAATCCCCGCTACTTGGGGAGGGCTGAGGCAGGAGAATCGCTTGAGCCCAGGAGGCGGAGGCTGCAGTGAGCCGAGATCGCTCCACTGCACTCCAGCCTGGGCGACAGAGACTCCGTCTCAAAAAAAAAAAAAAAAAAAAAAAAGAAAGAAAAAGAAAACAATACATATATCTTACAAGACACTTGTGACAGATGTTCCGCTGTGTTGCCTATAATGCAGGTGAAGATAGTAATGATATGCTTGATTATGCATAGATTATTTTAGGGAAGATAAGAAAGTAAGAAATTCGATAGTCTCTGAGGAGGATATGGGGATAGTTAGGATCTAGGATTAACGGAGATTTGATCCTCATTTTATATCATGTTTACGGTTAAGGAAGGACAGAAAACCTTGTATTGAACTCCTCTTTTTGTCTGGAATTACTGCTGGTAACGTTAACACATAGTATTTCATTTGAAGCAAAGTAAAGAATAATACGGTTTTTGGATCCGGGAAACACAATTGAAGGTGGGGGTGGGGTAGAAGAACAGATTTTAATCTTAGGTGTTACTAGCAAAAAATGTGATTTCTCTAGTCCCAGGTGCAGATTTTCTTCAATAGTATTTGGTTTTCGTTACAAAAGAAAGAGCAAGTACCCAGGCTGGTGCTGTTAGAGTCAGGACAGCATGAAGAGCTCTGCCTACCAACAAGCCTCAGGACAGAGTACAGGAATGTTAGAAGATTAGCTCCCATTTATCTGAAGGAGAAAAAAGGGTAATCCTTCCGGTGTTGATGTCATATATGACAAGTTCATTCCCTTGGTATGGCTTTACATGTGAACTTCGGAGGTATATAAACACCAGTCAGAATGTGCAAGAGGGATCCTCAAAAGCCAGAATGTAATTCCTTGCGACCGGTGAAGAGGATGTGTTACTGCAGGAACTGTATCAGAGAGTTTACTTTCAGGTGATTTTTGAGCAAGTAGAAGCCTCAGTTCTTGACACCTAGGATAAAACCTCTTGAGGACTAGAAGAATGAAAAACATCGAAGCTCCTGGTGGTACTTCGGTCTTTAACCGTTGAATACATTAAGAGTAACACTGGAATTCCAACACTTCCTCGCGCCAGCGTCAGTTTTAGAATCAACAAAATCGTTACTTGCTGATTCATTTAACTGCTAATATATTCGTTAAAAGTTTATTAGGCGTCAGTGATCTTGAAAGTTCCAAAAACACGAAGGAAACCCCAGGCACATGTAGAGAGATAGTTCCTGACGCTGCAGGAGGTTTCTTTCAACTTGTCTCCAGGTGATGAAACCAGTAGCCTGACCAAGGATGAAAGAGCGTATCTCACTTATTCTGGCCTCTCCAACTCGGGCTGAAATCCTTCGGTTCCCAAGTTAGAATTTGAGTGACACACAGCAAGTGCTGTTAAATGAGACTTAATACCTAGCGGGGTGCCACCACAACCTTGCCCTTCTGCAAACCTCTGTAGCCCTTTTCTACCACCCTCAAAAAACATACCAGATTTACTATGTAATTCCGGTACTGCTGGGCTACCTCAGTTTCCACCCCTGAATATCTTCGCCGATTACATCAGTGCTTATGTTTGTGACTTCAGAGACACTGAGAAGGCGCGGCTCTTTCCCTCAACCCCATTCGCCTTCCTTTCGGCGGCGTTGTCTTGAACCAACCTGAAAATAATAAGTCCTTAAGTTACAAGTCACTAAAGGGAAGTTTGCAACTTGCGATCCAGTACACTGACATGACTCTAAAAAGAGAAGGCTGCCGACTCTGGGCGTACTGCCTTTGAATTAGCCATACTCCGCAAGGAGCAGTGCCGTTCAAAAAAAAAAATTTGTTGTCTAACAACAACAAAAATAAAATAAAAAGAGGAGGTTCCCTTCACTCACCATTGAAAATCCTATTACAGCGCTTTTTCCACATCCTCTGTCAAAAATTTCTCCGTGAATTTTCTAGTCTGGCTCAGAGTTAAAATAGTTTGGACTTCCTTGCTAAAGTCTGTAAATATAGTCTCAAAGGTCTCTTGAAAGGAGTAAGAAAGAAAAAAGTTCTGTTTTATTTAGAAAAACAAAAATATCAACGAATTTATATATGGTTTCCTTTAAAACAGCAGCGCATTCGTGTGGCCGGTTAGCTCAGTCGGCTAGAGCGTGGTGCTAATAACGCCAAGGTCGCGGGTTCGATCCCCGTACGGGCCACTGGATGCCATAGTGGGGCCCTTCACTTACCTGAAGGGAGGCCTTTTAATTTAAGCCTGTCGAATCACAGGTGCTCCGAATCGAATCCCAGGTGCTCTGAATCCGAAATTAAGACGCCCTCTTATTCGTCAAGCGAGAAGGCTATTTACGTTCGTTTCCCTTTATTGTGAAAAATGAAAAGAACAGGCCGGGCACGGTGGCTCGAATCTGTAATCCCAGCACTTTGGGGGGCCGAGGCGGGGTGATCATTTGAGGTCGGGAATTGGAGACCAGCCTGACCAATATGGTGAAACCCCGTCTCTATTAAAAATACAAAATAAGCTGGGCTCATGCCTGTAATCCCAGCTACTAGGGAGGCTGAGGCAGGAGAATCACTTGAGCCCGGGAGGCGGAGGTTGCGGTGAGCTGAGGCCGTGCCATAGTACCCCAGCCTGGGCCTGGGCAACAAGAGCGAAACTCCGTCTCAAAACAAACAAAGAACAACAAAAAAGATGCAAGCATTAGGAAGAATGTACTGAAGAAAATTGGGTTGGAGTAGTGCGGCAGCTAGGTGGGTGTGTTTTAGGGAATGGGGAATTAAGAAGAGATATGACATTTGCCTGTTTAGTTTTTAGTGAAACGTTAGGAAGCAATATATACTTTTTTCTATTTTTTTCATTCTCAATATTGAAAGGGAGACAATATTATTTTGACGCTTTAAACGAGTTTCGATAGGGAAAGGAAAGCAGGCTCAGCGTGGCCAGTGACTTGGTGAGAGTGTGATACTAATAGCAGCAAGATACGAGGTTTTGTTCCTCGCAATGGCTGTGCTTCATTCTTTTTTTCTGATCCCAGGCAGTTTCCAAGGCAAATAAATGCCCACACCACGTGAGGCTGCCACTGGCTTTCACGGAAAATTTCTCCCCTTTAGCTTAAAGAGTATATAAGTGAATGCGGTGTTTTAAGAATCGCCAGTTCTCCGTTCAACTTGGCCACAGCCCAACACATTTGGACTACCAGGTTTGTGGTTTCATTCGTTTACCCGCAGTGCCCCTGACAGCGCATACTGGTAAGTGACTAAAGTAAACTCACCTGAGATGCAGAGCGAAGATCCAAGCTACACGTTCGGAAACCGAGCCACATATTAAGATGCTCTTTTGGTTTAGTTTGAGGAATTTTCCCCCGCTTGACTGTGGTTGCCTCCCAGCCTCTCTCTCCTCCACCATCTTCCTGGTCGCTGAGAAAGGAGGTCCTTCTGTTCAGACACCGCCCCAAAGCTGCCACCTTCCACACTCATCTTCTTCTGGGATATCTGTCTATCTGTCTGTCTGTCTGTCTGTCTATCTCTGTCCCTGCCGATTCTCCTGTCTTCTATTTCTCTAGGATCTCAGGGCGGAGGAAAAGTGGTGGGAACCTGGGAGGCAGAGAAGAGGCCCGTGGCGGGAGTGGTGGATTGGGGCGATGTTGAGGCTGAGGTGGGTCCACCGACTTCAGGGTTGAGCTCTGTGTAGGGGGCCCAGCTGATGCAAGGAGCAGCTTGCATCCTGCATCCCCACAGCCCTGCCTTTATGATTCAACGTTTCTTCAGATGTCCCCTTTCTTTTTGACAACAGTCATGCCCAGGGAAAGAGCTGTGCCTCAGAGACGCCAGGAATGTGGACTTCTCCCAATGGAAAAAAATACCGATGAAGAAGATATACGTGAAAAAACATTTTTTTAAAGCTTCTTTGATTTTTAAGCTTTCTAATGGTCTTTTTCTCCTTTCTCCTTTCTCCAGTTGAGAATGAGATGAAAGGTAGAAACAAAATCCTGTAAGTTGGCTCTTTCGACGCTTGTCTCTTTCACGTTCAAGTAACAGCACCACTCTGGAAAAGGACATTCACAGGATTGTTAATACGGCTTTGAAGAAGGAAAAAGTGAGAGCACAAGCGAGCCAGCCAGGAGTCGAACCTAGAATCTTCTGATCCGTAGTCAGACGCGTTATCCATTGCGCCACTGGCCCCTGCCTGTAACGCTGTCTTAACTGTTACTCTTTTCATAATTATATTGTATTATACTATTGGGGCCAGAAAAAAAAAAGATTGTTTCTTTATTTAGGTAGGGATTAAAACCCCAAACCACACTGATTCAAGGAAAGCATGTTTTCTTTTGTGGTTTGTTGGCATAATAGACATTCACATAAAGTGTCTTTATTGAAAATAATGACCATTTTTCATCTTTGAAACATTATATATGAGCTAAGATGAATGTCTTTCCTTCAAAGCAATATTGGTGTTTCTATCTTCTCTTTCATGTGTGTGCCTACTTTTTAGCTTTTTGTTACTTATTTTTCAGGCCAATCAGCTGCTTTTACCTGAATTTGATTTTTTTTTTTTTTTTTTTTTTTTTTGAGTCGGAGTTTCGCTCTTGTTGCCCAGGCTGGAGTGCAGCGGCGCGATCTCGGCTCACTGCAACCACCGCCTCCTGGGTTCAAGTGATTCTCATGCCTCAGCCTCCCAAGTAGCTGGGATTACAGGCATGTGCCTCCATGCACGGCTAATTTTGTATTTTTAGTAAAGACGGGGTTTCTCCGTGTTGGTCAGGCTGATCTCGAACTTCCTACTTCAGGTGACTCGCCCGCCTCGGCCTCCCGAAGTGCTGGGATTACAGGCGTGAGCCACCGTGTCTGGCCTGAATTTCATTTTTAATATACTTACATTGGGCACTAATGATGTATGTGGATCAGTAATGAGCAATATGTATTATTTTAAATTTAGATATTGCCAAAAGTAAAGTGCTTTGTAATACATTTCTGGAAGTATTAATCATAGTTTTTCCCTCTTCTCGTCCAAAAGGAAAAAACAAGTACCCACTCACTAGGGAGAAGTTTATTGTAAAATGGTATTACAACTCAAAGTAGCAGATGAAGACACTCAAATTTAACGAGGAGTCAAGAATTCGGGAAAGTACACATTTTTCAGAATCACATTTGACATAGAAACTTAGAAAAAGGAACTTTACTTGCATAGCTGTTCAAAGTAAGCAAAATAGTGGAAAATGAAGAAGTGCTTATAAGGAGACGAAGTTTCGTATGGGTTTAAGAAGGTGGTCAGAAGCCAAAATATATCCTCTTTGTGCCTCTGTTTCCTCGTTTATACAAAACGCTTTGAAGAGCAACTAATGCATATGACGGATTGTTATCATCCTAATTTTTTTGGCTCCCACCAGCTGTGAGATCAGGACAAATACAAAGTAAAGATTGCTGCCTGAGAATGCTTTAAGAAAGCTGTCATACTAGTAATCTAAAAGGGAAATTGTATTCCTAATATTTTCAACGTTGCACCTGTCTTGTATTTGCCATTATGATTAGATGTAAGACAACTAGTATCTTCTTTTTCTTTGAGACAGTCTCACTCTGTCTCCCAGGCTGGAGTGCAGTGGCGCGATCTCGGCTCACTGCAACCTTCGCCTCCCAGGTTCAAGCGATTCTTCTGCCTCAGGCTCCCAAGTAGCTGGGACTACAGGCGTGCGCCAGTAAGCCCGGCTAATTTTTCTGCATTTTTAGTAGAGACGGGGTTTCACCGTGTTGGTCAGGCTGGTCTCCAACCCCTGACCTCAAATGATCCGCCCGTTTCGGCCTCCCCAAGTGCGGGGATTGCAGAAGTGAGCCACCGCGCCCGGCCTTCAAATGTACATATTTCTTGATGTACATTTCCACAAGTGTGCGCGCGCTGTAAAAGCCACAGCGATAGCACTCACAACTTTCTATCCTAGTGAACTAATGAAAGCTAACTGATGAAAGTAGCAAATTGGAAATCTAACCAGAAAATGGCGACGCTGTGAGCAGGATTTGAACCTGCGCGGGGAACCCCCATTGGATTTCGAGTCCAACACCTTAACCACTCGGCCATCACAGCTCCGAGGACACTTTTTGTTTCAGAGGAAGTCGTGTTAGGCTCTTTGACTCTCTCGCTTTTTAATGTTCCCACGGCAGGTTAATGCTTCCGTGTTTGTATTTGTCACTTTTTATATATTTGTCTCTCTCTTTCAATAAGAAGTTCCTGGGAAACATAATAGTGTCTTAATCTTTACTTGTTATCTGACTCTCTATGCATCAGAAACTTATTTGGTGCTTAGTGGCTGCTTTTGTTGCTGGAACAAATCCCCGGAGACTCAGTTGTCTGTTCCCTATTCCTCCCTCCAGTTCATGAATTTTCTTCTCTCTTTACCCAGCACATGTTAGAGTCACGTTCTTGCTGCACTCTCAATTTCCCTGCCTCTCTCACTTTGTACTCCTTTGGCAAAGCCACAACCAGGGCAGCTAAACATGGCGGAAGAAAAACAATCAGTTGACAGACCTCACTTTAAATTCATGACAATGAATGTCAAGTAGGTGCTCAAGGCTACCAGGCAAATTGTACCATACGCGATTAGATTAGTCCACTCCCAATCCTCTTGTTCTAAGTCACTGTTTCAGCCGGATGCAGTGGTCCAAGCCTGTAATCCTAGCACTTTGGAGGCCGAGGCGGGGGGGGAGATCACCTGAGGTTAGGAGTTCGAGACCAGCCTGGCCAACATGGCGAAACCCCATCTCTACTAAAAAAAAAAAAAAAAAAAAGCCAGATGTGATGGCTCGCGCCTGTAATCCCAGCTACTCGGGAGGCTGAGGCAGGAGAATAACTTGAACCTGGGAGGCGGAGTTGCAGTGAGCTGAGATGGCGCCACTGCCCTCCAGCCTGGGTGACAGACAGTGAGACTCCGTCTCAAAAAAAAAAAAAATAAGTCACTATTTCATATCTCTCATGCCAATGCTCCAACACCTCCTCTCCCATCCTTGTGTTCAATTGATGACTTTACTTCCTACTTCACAATCAGAAGAGACCTTCCACGCACATCTATCACCACATTAATCCACCTACCAGCCTCTGAAGGACTGTCAGTGATCCTATAATGCCTTGACAAGGTCGCCGATTATCTCCACATGGCTAAAATCATTTCCCAGTCCTCACCTTACTTGGGATAGCTGCAGCTATTAATACATTCTCCTTCTTACAACACTTTCTTCAATTGACTTTAGGGTAACAATTTTCCTGGTTGTCTTCCACTTAGTAATAAGCATTTAAGATTCCTCCGTGTCTTTTCATGCTTTAATAACTCATTTATTTTTAGGGCTGAATAATATTCCATTGTCTGAGGTACCGTAGTATATTTATTCATTTACCTACTGAAAGACATATTGGTTACTTCCAACTTTTGGCAATTATGAATAAAGCTTCTATAAACATTTATGTGCAGGTTTTGTGTAGACATGTTTTCAGCTCCTTTGCATAGTTGCCAAGGGGTGTGATTGCTGGATCATATAATAAAAGTATGTCTAGTGTTGTAAGAAACCACCAAACTGTCTTCCAAAGTAGCTGTACCATTTTTCATTCCCACCAACAATGAATGAGAGTTTCTGTTGCTCCATAACCTCACCAGTGTAGGTGTGGTCAGTGTTCCAGATTTTGGCCATTCTAATAGGTGGGTAGTGAGTGGTATAATACAATTAAAACAATAATACATCTGTCTGTTTACATATAATGTGGAGCATCTTTTCTTATGCTCATTGGCCATCTGTATATCTTCTTTAGCAATATCTGTTAGGGTCTTTAGCCTATTTTTTTATTGGGTTGTGTTCCTGCTGTTTAGTTTTAAGAGTCCTTTGCATATTTTGAATAAGTTGTTCATTACATAAGCTTTTTGCAAATATTTTCTTTAATCTGTGTCTTCTCACTCTTCTGATATTATCTCTAGCAGAGTAGAATTTTAAATTTTAATGACGTTTATTACTTCTTTCATGGGACATATCTTTGATGTTTTATCTAAAATGTGATTGCTTAGTCATGTGTGGTGGAACACGCCTGTAGCCCCAGCTACTTGGGAGGCTGATGTGGAAGGATTGCTTGAGCCTGGGAGTCAGAGGTTGCAATGAGCCATAATCACATCACTGCACTAGGATGACAGAGTGAAACCTTGTCTTTAAAGAAAACAAAAAACCAGAGGTGACAATGACACTCTTTGGAACATTGCATAACTTTTGTACATTCTGGAGCACATAGATTTCTCTCGAATTGTATGATACGCATTTGTAGAAAATTTCTATTGAGTTGGATGATAAGCATTTATAGTAAACTATGAACTATAACTGTCTTTTCCTCCAAAACTGTGTATATGTGCATGTTTGTATGCACACAAGAAAAAAGGTTAATAAAGTAAAAATATCAATTAGTTATTCTCTAGAATAGTATCACATCATAATTATTATAGTTCTTTTCTGAAAGATTGTATATAAAAATAAGAATTATTCGAGTCGCCCAACAGAACATCTGTTTATATTTTTCTGCCAACTGGGACCCAAGCTAGGCTCCCGTGGGAGTCCTCCTTTTGACCTGCCCCTAGCGAGAGGAAGTACTGCCCACTCTCTGAGTGGGAGTCTTAGCTTTGTTGCTTTCTTGCTTTCTTTATGAGCAACTGTCTTAGGTTTTTTTTTTTTTTTTTGAAACGGAGTCTCTCGCTCTGTTGCCCAGGCTGGAGTGCAGTGGCGAGATCTCAGCTCACTGCAACCTCCACCTCCTGGGTTCAAGCAATTCCCCTGCCTCAGCCTCCGGAGTAGCTGGGACTACAGGCGCGTGCCACCTCGCCCAGCAAATTTTTTGTATTTTTAGTAGAGACGGGGTTTCACCATGTTAGCCAGGTTGGTCTCGATCTCCTGAACTCGTGATCCGCCCGCCTTGGCCTCCCAAAGTGCTGAGATTGCAGGCGTGAGCCACTGTGCCTGGCCTTTTGTAGGTCTTTTATCTTATTTCTTCTTCCATATGTTACTTCTGACAATCCTAAGATTATTAGAATCATTAGAATCCTCTCATGGGTGCCCATGTAGTTAATAAAAAAAACAAAATAGGTATGTGTCACTTTAATTATTTCTGATTTTAAAAATATCTTTTATTGATACTGAGGTAGTTTATGCTAATATTGGGCCTGATCCTTCATTAACATTTTCTAATTGAGTAATAAAATAAAATAAAATGTCATTGCCATATCCATGGTCATCTAGGTTTTCTCCTGTTATATTTTAGCTTAACAGTTTTGCATTTTATATTTAGAGCTATGATCCATTTTGAGTTAATATTTGTGAAGGGTGTGTCTGTGTCTAGGTTCACTGTTTTGCATGTGGAAGTTCAGTTGTTCAATTGTTTCCATTTGTTGAAAAGACTATCTTTGCTCTATTGTGTTGCCTTTGCTTCTTTGTCAAAGATTGACTACTTGACTACCATGTTTGTACAGGTCTATTTCTGGTCTCTCTAGATCTATTTGTCATTATTGTTTGTCATTGATCTATTTGTCTATTTTTTCACCACTCATTGTCTTTCTCCTTCAATTTCTCTTTTGCTGGTTCCTCCTGCTCTCCTCCATCCTTGTACCAGGATATCTCAGGGCTCAGTTTTTTTTTTTTTTTTTTTTTGACAGAATCTCACTCTGTCTGCCAGGCTGGAATGCACTGGCATGATCTCGGCTCACTGCAACCTCCATCTCCTGGGCTCAAGCAAGTATCCTGCCTCAGTCTCCCGAGTAGCTGGGATTACAGGAGTGTGCCACCACGCCCTGCTACTTTTTGTATTTTTAATAGAGATGGGGTTTTGCCATGTTGGCCAGGCTTGTCTTGAACTGCTGATCTCAGGTGATCCACCTGCCTCGGCCTCCCAAAGTGCTGGGATTACAGACATGAGCCACGACGCCTGGCCCACTTACGATCATTTTAAAAACACACTATATAACTTATTTATTTTGTATATTCTCTGTCTTCCCTATGAGAATGCAAACTCCATGAGGGCAAGATATTTGTTTCCTGTCAGATTACTAATACCTAGAAGAGATATGGGTGACATTCAATAAATATTTGTTGAAAATACATTAGAATACAGGTTTCATTATCCCATTTCACAGATTAGAAAATAAAATTCAGAGAGGTCACTGAGTTTCCCAAGGACACAACATAATAAACACTAAGACTGAAGCTCAGATATTCAGATTTCCTGCCTAGAGATCTTTCTAGTCTTCCAGGGAGACTTAGAGGAAGACAGTGTATTTGAGGAGGGCAAGGAGGCAAATTCGTCTGAAGTGTGGAAAGAGAAAGGACTCTAAGGGAAGTGGGATGGTTCTTGCTACCAAAACAAACAGCTTTCACCAAAAGAACCATGTATCTGACTAGAATTTCTTTTCTTTTCTTTTTTTTTTTTTGAGGCAGAGTCTCACCCTGTTGCCCAGGCTGGAGTGCAGTGGTGTGATCTCCGTTCATTTCAACATCTGCCTCTCGGGTTCAAGCAATTCTCCTGCCTCAGCCTCCTGAGTAGCTGGAATTGGCGCCACCAAGCCTGGCTAATTTGTTTTTGTATTTTTAGTAGAGACCAGGTTTTGCCATGTTGGCCAGGCTGATCTTGAACTCCTGACCTCAGGTGATCTGCCCAACTCAGCCTCTCAAAGTGCTGGGATTACAGGCATGAGCCACCGCGCCCGGCAGACTAGTATTTCTCTAATGCCCGCATCCAAGGGTAGCAATACATTTAATTTGCATTAGGGAATATTTCCTGGGCCATTGTTCATACCCATTCTCTTAAATGAAAAATGTCCTCCTTTTACTTTGAAATATGCACTTCCCATTTTCTCCAGGAAGTAGTACCAATTACAAGCATAATATTTGTACGAGTTATCTCTGGCAACTCTCCATATACTCAGAGTGTCTCTATATTGAGCTTTTTCTGCCTCTCCCTATATTGTAAAAATCATTTTCATATTATATGCTCAGTTTCACCCTCTTAATACCAGTGTCTTTTCATAGAACCTTCCTTTTTCCTGAAAACTGCAATAGTGAGGAATACTTTTTTTTTTGAGACAGAGTCTCACTCTGTTGTCTGAGCTGGAGTGCAGTGGCACAATCTAGGCTCACTGCAACCTCCGCCTCCTGGGTTCAAGCAATTCTCCTGCCTCAGCCTCCCAAGTAGCTGGGATCACAGGTGCCTGCCACTACGCCCAGTTAATTTTTTGTATTTTTAGTAGAGATGGGGTTTCATCATGTTGGCCTGGCTGGTCTCAAACTCCTGACCTCGTGATTTGTCCGCCTCAGCCTCCCAAAGTGCTGGGATTACAGGTATGAGCCACCTTGCCCGGCTGTGAGGAATACTTTGACCTCAGACACACATGGATAGAAATATTGGTTCCAAGTTCTATAACTTGTGTGAGCTTGAGGAAGTTATTTACATTATTTAACGTCCCTGCTCCTCAACTTCTGCATCTATAAGACAGGGAAATGATTGTAAGCAACAATTGCACCTACACCTTAGGCTTGCTTTGTTCGTTTACATATGAAAAATCATTAAATACTTGATTTAATGGCTGGTAATAAATTGTAGCTATTACTATTGTTCTAGTGATTTCTTTTTCATTATTAGTTTATAGGGAATTACAAAGATCAGAACTTTGGAGATTTGTTAAAAATATACCCACATCCAATAGTATATTAAGGAATGAGCAAGACTGTAAAGCCAGGAATATCTGTGTGTGAGCCATAACTCACATACTAGCTCCACACTTAGGCAAGACAGATGATCGCTGCAAGCCTCGGTGCTTCAACTTAAAATTAGGAAAATAATAGTTTACTCAGAGAATCAGGGTAAGGGTTCAGTCTTATATTCAAAGGTATTCATTGAGCGCAAGGCAGTATGGATTCATTGATGAGCAAGAACAGACACTGTTCCTGTCCAAATGCAGCTTATATTCTAGGGAGACAGACATCAATCTAGTTATTATGCTCATAAATGTAAAGGTGGCAAGGGAACAAAGTTCATGGTATTACGAGGAATACAGGACTTTCACTGATGTAGTTTAAGGAAGTCTTTCCTAAAGAAAAAATAGTTTCCCTGAGATACAGTCACGAGGTAAAGATAACTAACTAGGCAAAGCCAAGCGCAAAGCTTTTCAGCTAGAGGGAACCTCAGGTGAAAAGTCCAGTCATGAAAAAGAGACTGATTGCGTGGAGTTCATGGAGTATGAGGCATAGACTGCAGGAGACATCAAACCATGACTTGCAGATGAAGAAGCATTTTAAAAGTTAGACACGCACAGCATTTCAGGAAGTTATATATAAGGAGTGTTATAGAAGATAACACCTCTAAAATGTGTAGTATATATATCAGGGGTTTTTTTTGAGACAGAGTTTTGCTCTTGTTGCCTAGGCTGGAGTGCAATGGCGTGATCTCGGCTCACTGCGAACTCCTCCTCCCGGGTTCAAGCGGTTCTCCTGCCTCAGCCTCCCAAGTAGCTGGGATTGCAGGCGTGTGCCACCACGCCGAGATATTGTTTGTATTTTTAGTAGAGATGGGGTTTTGCCCTGCAGGCCAGGCTGGTCTCAAACTTCTGACCTCAGGTGATCAGCCTGCCTCGGCCTCCCAAAGTGCTAAGACTACAGGCGTGAGCAACCGCGCCAGGCTAATTTTTGTATTTTTAGTAGAGACAGGGTTTCGCCATGTTCGAACTTCTGACAGGTGATCTGCCCACCTCGGTCTCCCAAAGTGCTGGGATTACAGGCTTAAGTCACCGCGCCCGGCCCAGATTCTTAAAATGTTAGTTTCTGCCTCCTCTTTCCTTTACCTTGTCAAATTAACCAGGGTCTGAGGGCTGGGCGCGGTAGCTCGCGCCTTTAATACCAGCACTTTCGGAGGCTGAGGCGGGTGGATCACCTGAGGTCAGGATTTCGAGACCACCCTAACACGGTGAAGCCCCGTCTCTACTAAAAATTAGTCGGGCGTGGTGGCACATTCCTGTAATCCCAGCTACTTGGGAGGCTAAGGCAGAGAGAATCGCTTGAAACCGAGAGGCGGACCGAGAGGCGGAGCTTGCAATAAGCCAAGAACGTGCCATTGCAGTCCAGCATGGGCAACAAGAGTGAAATTACGACTCAAAAAATAAAACAACCAGAATCTGAGATCTGGTGTGAGTTAACCTCTAAGGAAGTCATTTAAATTTCTTTCAATAAGTTTGAAAGAATTCATGTATCAGCATGATCGTGAGAGTTCTCTTAGTGCACTGGGGGTAGGGGTTGGCGATCGACCATCAGGAGAGCCCAGTCTTTGCCACTTGCGGGGAGTCACTTATTGCAGGCAGGGTGTTAACTGAGTTTAACACTAGGAGACAAAATGAGGAAATAATCTCTCAGAATGTAGGTTAGGAAAGTAGAAACGCCCTCCGAGTGTATGTCTATCCCAGAAGAAAACCTGTCTTAAAGTTCGCGATTTTTACCAAAATAGGCCACGAAACACACAAAGTCGCTAAACTTTTTAACCCTTTCCTCTTTTTCTTTCTTATTTCCGAGAAATCTCGCAAACGGCGTGAACACTACGCTGATTCCAGAAATGGTCGGGTTCCCTTCCTTCACTCAGGATGGTCGCCTGCTGGGAGCTCATTTCGAACCGAGCTGAACGCTCATTGCTGAGTCCTGGGAGAAGGTCGCGTTTGTACAGAAGGCTCCTGGCAGCGAGCAAGGCCGGGAGTGGGCCCAGTGCGCACGAAGTCGCGCCCCGAATTCCCACTGGGAGGAACGCACTGGAATTGAAATGTCTGAGATCAAGCCCCGCTGAGAATCAAGTCCCAGAGGATCTTCTCGGCTGGTGGAAACGTGGAGGGGAAAGGCGGTCACGAAAATTGAAGTCTCCTAGTCCAATACAGATTATCCAGGCCGTTGACGGCAGGAATATATTTTTATTTATTCCTTTACCCTTCTCTCCTCACAGCTCTTCCTTCTCGTCCACGCTTGATGGGTTTTAGAAATATTGTGTGGCACTAACAGTACCGATAGTACTACTACTAATAATTGCCCGAGAGGTCTGCTATCCGTTAACTGACACTCGGTAGCGGCCGCTGCGGAATTTCGAATTGCGGGAAACCCGCAGACTTAGTAAGGTAAAAGCGCAGTAACACGAGGTTTCCGTAGTGTAGTGGTTGTCACGTTTGTCTAACACGCGAAAGGCTTATATTATTTTTCGTTGCTGCTAGGTTTCTATTCCCTCTTACGCACAAACCCGTTTGCGGTTCTGGACTTTAAAAATACACAATTCTGAGTTCAATTTGTGGTCCAGAAATCTAAGATGGAATTCCAAGGAAGCCAGTCTCACCTGAGCTGCGTAGGCCGAGTCCTGGGCCGTGGGCGTCTCCTGGGATTGACACCTCCTAGGGTTCTGAAGCCCAGAAGAGGAGGAAAAGCGATGGGAAACTTACTGGGGCGAGAGGAGGTGGGGTGACACGGGCTTCTGTGTCAGTGGCGTGAGAAATCTTTCATCTTAGACTTCTGGACCACAAATTGAGCTCAGAACTGCGTATTTTTAAAGTCCAGAACCGCAAACTGGTTCGTGCGTAAGAAGGAATAGAAACTAAGCAGCAACCAAGAATATCATAAGCCTACCTGTTTCCGCCCGGTTTCGAACCGCGGACCTTTCGCGTGTTAGGCGAACGTGATAACCACTACACTACGGAAACACCCTCTTTCTGCTCCCTTACCTTGAAACATGGAAGTATATATTCCCTGATCCCCAAGTTTAGAAATTTTGGAATTGTTCTTTCCTTGTAGAAAATTTTCCGATTGTAGTATTGTTCTCACCCTCACTTTTCCCATTAATTGGAATCACCAATATCACATACCGATGACAGATACGAGCAGAAATGCGTTCGCCAAATATATCGACTATATTGTTCGGAGTGTTCAGAGTAGCCTGTTGACAACAGTCAAAAAACTGGGGGCCGGGCGCTGTGGCTCGCGCCCGCAATCCCAGCACTTTGGGAGGCCAAGGAGGGGCGGATCAGCTGAGGTCAGGAGTTCGAGATCAGCCTGAGCAACATGGAGAAACCTCGTCTCTACTGAAAAAAAAAAAAAAAATTAGCCAGGCGTGGTGGCGCATGCCTGTAATCCCAGCTACTCGGGAGGCTGAGGCAGGAGAATCGCTTGAATCCGGGAGGCGGAGGTTGCGGTGAGCCTAGATCGCGCCATTGCATTCCAGCCCGGGCAACAAGAACCAAACTCCGTCTCAAAAAAACAAACAAACAAAAAACTAAAAAATGCCCCAGTGCCCATCAAGGAAGACCTCCTGGAGAAAACGACGGCAGATCTGAGACTTGATCAATGAAAAGAAGAATGATGGTTGTAGATAGGTTTTGTTTTTTTTTTTTTTTTTTTTGCTCCCTCTGGAGCTCTTAGACGAAGAAAATGATTTTTTGTCATTAGGAACTGAATGGAGTGGTCATAATCTTAGGGAGGAAATCCAAGGATTTGAAGCAGGGCTGGAAAGAAATTAGACTAAATGGGACTATATGCGCTGGATCAGAGAAGAAGGGAGGAAGTGTCTCCAAAAGAGGGGAAGATATATTTTAATCTGAATGTGATGAGAGAAATTGGAGAGATTGGGGACTAATCTTTGATTCTTGGCATGTAGATGTCGTCCAGTGAAGAGTTTTGTTTTCTTGGTTTTCTAAAAAATTTATTAAGGTGTACTAGTCAATGAACACATATGACATCAACTCACAAATTTAATTCCATCAACAAATGCCAACAAAGATAAACATAAAGAAAACTATAACTGTTCAAATTATATGAAAATGGTTGAAACCAAAGATTTAAAAAATCTTAGGGAGGCAGAGGCAGGCGGATCACTTCAGGTCAGGAGTTGGAGACCAGCCTGGCCAGCATGGTGACACCCTGTCTCTACTAAATTAAAATGATTGACTCCACAATCCAGTCAAGACGTAAATGTCAGTCCTGAAAAGTGGCAAGATTCTTGAGATTTTTTCATGTGTGATCATGGTTTAGATTTTAATCAAGTTTCAGGGAACTTAAAACAATCTGTGAGTGTTGGACATTCCTAAGTTTGGTGTGCTGCTTATGTGGAATTGTGGACACAGCGTTAGCATTAAACAGTCTTAACAAAGAGAAGAAAGTACTATAGAAGGCAGTAAGAACAGTGGACTCCAGAAAAATCTGTGCTGAGTCTGCCGGATAACAATATTTGGAAGTTGTTTTCTGTAGTGTAGTTGTTAACACGTTCGCCTCACACGCTTAAAGTTCTCTGGTTGGATACCAGATGGAAATGCCTCCTGAGACTATTTCTCCTTCCCAACATTTTCCATCATCGCCATGCCATACCTTTCACCTTTTCAGGAATATTCAAATCAATTTACTGAAGTTTATTCAGTGCCCCGCCGGGCACGGTGGCTCACTCCTGTAATCCCAGCACTTTGAGAGGCCGAGACGGGCGGATCACCTGACATTAGGAGTTTGAGACCAGCCTAGCCAACATGGTGAAACCCCGTCTCTACTAAAAATACAAAAATTAGCCAGGCGTGATGACGGGCTCCTGTAATCCCAGCTATTGGGAAGGCTGACGCAGGAGAATCGCTTGAATGGGGGAGGCGGATTTTGCAGTGAGCCGAGACCGCCACTGCATTCCAGCCTGGGGTACAGAGTGAGACTCCGTCTCAAAAAAATAAATAAATAAAATAAAGTAAAGTTTATTTATGCTCAATGTCAGGATTTAACACCTGGACGTGAAGAAGAAAGAACCACATAGTTAGCTTAAGCCAACACAAGGCTTACATTAAGAGCACACACACACATACACACACACACACACACACACACACACACACAGAGCTGTCCATTTGAGGATCCTAGGAAAAGTGGCATTTTGCCCTTGAAGAAGGAAAGTCTTTTTGAATAAAGAATATGTACCTGTATATGTGAGTAAAGATTGACATATAGTTGATAAGTCTTAGAATACCCAAAGAAACAGAGCAGATAAGACAGAAACACCTTACTCTTTACGTTTGGTGTTTTTCTCAGATCTTTTATGTGAAAATCTGCCTAGAAAAGCCTTCAGATATTAAAATGCATTTTTCATTCGCCTCTAGTCTATTGTTAATAGTTTATCAGTTTTGTCATGAATAATTCTTTAAGATGATATCACAGTCTCTTCTTTTCAGAAACTGTGGTGATATCCTAAGTCCAGAATCATTCAAAGAGGAAGAATAGCTATTACAGTAATCAATTTAAAGTTTAAGGCCGGGCGCGGTGGCTCACGCCTGTAATCCCAGCACTTTGGAAGCCCGAGGTGGGCAGATCAACCGAGGTTGGGAGTTCGAGACTAGCCTGACCAACATGGAGAAACCCCAAAATTAGCCAGGCGTGGTGGCGCATGCCTGTAATCCTAGCTACTCAGGAGGCTGAGGCAGGAGAATCGCTTGAACCCGGGAGGCGGAGGTTGCGGCGAGCCGAGATGGCGCCGTTGCACTCCAGCCTGGGCAACAAGAACCAAACTCCCGTCTCAAAAAAAAAATTAGAAAAGCCATTAGTGGTCTATTGTAAAAAAGTTTTTGAGTGCCATCTGTATTCCAGTTGCGTTCAGGGTTTTTTTTTTGTCTGTTTTTTTGAAACGGGGTCTCTCTGTCGCCCAACCTGGAGTGCAGTGGCGCCATCTCGTCACACTGCAAGCTTCGCCTCCCGGGTTCAAGCGATTCTCCTGCCTCAATCTCCGGAGTGGCTGGGATTATAGGGGCCTGCCACCAAGCCCGGCTAACTGTTGTATTTTTAGTAGAGGCGGGGTTTTGCCATATTGGCTAGGGTGGTCTGGAACTCCTGACCTCAGGTGATCCGCAAGCCTCGGCCTCCCAAAGTGCTGGGATTAAAGGCGACAGCCACCTCGCCCGGCCAAAAGGGCCTATTTCTAAAGCTGTTGAATCTGCATCACTTGCTCTCGAACGGTAGGACAAAGGAGCAAACCTCAGCTATGCTAGGCTACCTAGCCTTACAATAGGACAAATATTGTGTCTTAAAGTTATCATGAATTAGGAATGCTTGCCATGAAACTGTTGGCATTTCCCGCTTCTCGCCTAATGTACCTCCTGTTTTCTAGCAAGGCTTTTAAAAGCCTGAGTATTACAGCATTTATTGGGTGTAAATTCAGTTGCACCGGGTGAAATTACAAAATGTGTAAGGTACAGAAATCAAGGCCCCGCTGGGATTCGAACCCAGGATCTCCTGTTTACTAGACAGGCGCTTTAACCAGCTAAGCCACGGAGCCACAGCCGAGAAAGCCCTCGATCGTATACTACTTGAAAACTATTTCACACTTCCGTAATTTGCAACAATCCCAGCAACTAGTTTGTTAGGTGACTTCACAACAAAAATAGACATTCAGGTCTCAGTGAAAACCAAATAATTTTATTTTGAAAGGATTAATTCATAGGCTGGATTGAAATGACTATTTCCCCTTGAAAAGTTGTCCCGGCCCGGCGCGGTGGCTCACACCTGTAATCCGAGCATTTTGGGAGGCTGAGGCGGGCGGATCACCTGAGGTCAGGAGTTCCAGAACAGACTGGCCAACATGGCGAAACCCCGTCTCTACTAAAAGTACAAAAATTTGCCGGCGTGGTGGCGGGCGCCTGTAATCCCAGCTACTCAGGAGGCTGAGGCAAGAGAATCGCTTGAACCTGGGAGGTGGAGGTTGCAGTGAGCCGAGATCATGCCACTGCACTCCCACTCCAGGCTGGGCGACAAGAGCGAGACTCTGTCTAAAAAAAAAAAAAAAAAGAAAGAAAAAGAAAAAAATAAAAGAAAAGAAAAGTTGTTCCAACATGGATACCGCTAGACTCACTATAGGCTCTGGTGGCCAGGTAGGGACTTTTGCTGAACCTCAAAGGAAAAATGAATTGACTCTTTATTAACCGTCATTTTGTTTTAACCACACCTGTTCTCTTCTCTGTTAGTGTGGAGAAGCAGGGGTTATTGGTGGAAGATTAGCACATGTCTGACACGTGGTTGCTGTAGGAAAAGAACTATGAGGATATGTGGTGCATCTATCAGATCCCCCCCTCCTATCGCTTCTCGGCCGTTTGGCTAAGATCAAGTGTAGATTCACCACCCGGGCCCCCCACGCCCAGGTGGTGGCACTCATTCCTCAACTACAGGAATATTAACTACTGATGGCTCATGTCTGGGTCCGACTCTGGAACCTACCTTCAGTGGAAGGGAAGTCACTTGCTCCAAGTCACACCCCACCACTGGAGCAGCTCAAATCCCATGACTGTTGATGGAGGAATATATAGGTCTGCCCTTCCCGCCTCCCCACTATAATTAAGGACATTTGTGAAGGACCATTCCAGATTTATATACACCTGTGAGATGGGCTGGACGTATGTTGCGCCTGTATTGAATTCAGCTTCTGTCTTTTCTCAGTCCTGCTCACCTCACCCTCTCACAGATGCTGATTTTGAGAGCGTCCCCAATGAACTTCCCGCACACAAATCGCCATCTCAGTGTCTGTTTCCTAGGGAACTGACCGATGACAAAAAGCAAGTGACTGATGCCTACGGTGGTCTCTTGAGGTCAAAGTAAGTCTAAATGTGGCCCAGTCTTTCAGGAATCATTTACCATAACAAGTGTCCTAGTAAAACAACAATGATAATAATAATCTGTGCCACAAACTTTGAGCATTTTCACTACAGAACAAAACAAACGAAGACATCTACTAGTTGATTAAAAAGATGTACAGGCCGGGCACGGTGGCTCACGCCTGTAATCGCGGCACTTTGGGAGGCCGAGGCGGGCGGATCACTTGAGATCAGGAGTTCAAGACCAGCCTGGCCAACATGAAACACTGTCTCTACTAAAAATACAAAAATTAGCCTGGCGTGGCGGCTCGCACTTGTAATCCTAGCTACTCGGGAGGCTGAGGAACGAAAATCGCTTGACCCGGGAGGCGGAGTTTGCAGTGAGCCAAGATCACACCACTGCAATCTAGCCTGGGCAACAGAGCGACACTCTGTCAAAAAATAAATTAATTAAATAAACAAAAATAAAATAGGGCCGGGCACGGTGGCTCACGCCTGTAATCCCAGCACTTTGGGAGGCCGAGAAGGGTGGATCACGAGGTCAGGAAATCGAAACCATCCTGACAAACACGGTGAAACCCAGTCTGTACTAAAAATACAAAAAATTAGCCGGGCATGGTGGCGGGCGCCTGTAGTCCCAGCTACTCCGGAGGCTGAGGCAGGAGAATGGCGTGAACCTGGGAGGCGGAGCTTGCAGTGGGCCAAGATCGCACCACCGCACTTCAGCCTGGGCGACAGAGCGAGACTCCGTCTCAAAAAAAAAAAAAAAAAAAAAAAAAAAAGTGCAACTTTAGTGAAAGGAGCTGAAGGACACGAAAATGTGATTTATTATTTATGATGTTAAACTAATTTTAATTTTTCATATTCAAAGAGTTGAAATGTAAAGTTAGAAAATAAATGGCAAATTTGTCTAGTCAAAGGATATGATTCTCATTTCTAAGGCGAAGACATGAATATAAAGCATTAAACACATATACTAATAGTGCATATCCAAGATAAGACTTTACAATTTATATATATAAATAAGTGTATGCATATACGTCTAAATAGAGGGGGAGGGCATAAGGAGGGCATTTAAAATGTACATAGGCCAATTAACTTTTGAAAATATTACTACCCTTAACTAACAGAAACAGTCGTGGTAGGAAGAGGGGGAAAGTAGAAACTTGTCAAAAAACAGACAGTAAATCATGAATTAGCTGCTCCAGTGGCCCCTTCCTGGGTTGTCACCTGCCAGCAAGAGCATCAGGCTCCGTCTGGAAGCGGGGCACCTCTCAGGGGCAAATGTTTCACGCCTGCTTCCTCTGAGTTGTCGAATCCGGGCCTCGCCTCCTCCTCCCTTTTCAGATCATAGGATTTCTCTCCCCCGCAAATAATGGCCCTTACTTCGTAAACACGCTGGCTCCGTAATCCCTATTATTGTTTTGGGGGTTTGGTTCTGTCCAGGGAGGAGGTGAGGGCAGATGCTCAAGAGAGGCTGTCCCCACCGTCCTTTTGTCTCAGCGAACCGCAGTCCGCGCCCGAGCGCCACTAGCTGTCCTGGGACGGGAACTGCAGCGGCAAGTGTGTGACTTTCTTGAGCCCGGAGCCACAGGCCTGGGAAGCGCCGCTGAGACTTCAGGGTCGTAGTGACAGAGGAACCACCCGAGGCTAGGCGGGGAGAGGGTGCAGTTTCCGGATCCCGAAGGCTTCGAGAAGAGCCGACCTGTCTGGAAGGGTCTCCAAGAACAGAGAGGACTCTGCAACCATCACTCGGGAGCCGCGTCCTTTCATCCTTGAGACAGCTCCGTGGTCCAACGGTTCCCCGATCCGCTGGCCGAGATCTCAAGCTTGGATGCAACTTCGGATTCGCCCCAGGCAGGAGGAAGGAAGCCCCGATTGGAAACGTTGACTTGAATCTTCTCGGATCAGAATTAGCAGGTTAAGAAAAACTGTTTCCCCGTAAGAAGCAGGGTTCTTTGGTGTTCAATGTGGAGCTCCGCCACTCCCAGCCCGGGTGAAGGAAAACTGGGAAACAGAATGAATGTGATTATCTATTCGAAGATAAATTTCCACAAAGCATGCCGTTTGATAGTAGCTTATAATGTGGAAGTAAGGCATCCTGTCATCCGGCCGGTTAGCTCAGTTGGTTAGAGCGTGGTGCTAATAACGCCAAGGTCGCGGGTTCGATCCCCGTACTGGCCAAGTATTCTCTGTGGCTTTTATCACCAGAATGGATAGTAACCCAGACATCGATCTAAACGTGTACCTGTGTGTTTCTCCAGGCTTAACTTTGCCCCGAGAAAACGGATCTGTGAATTTGGTGCGCCCTCGCTTACTCGACAGCGGTTAATTTGAACGGGGACGTTTCTTTCCGCTGCCTCCAAGGCATACCCACATCCTACCCGTAAAACAAAGGGGCTATAGGCACCTTACAGTGACAGAGGTACGTTACGGTTGGAGGCTTTTGTGATTTTTGTCCTCCTCTGCCCCGGGGAAATTTTCTTGGAGTAAAATACTGAATTATTTGATTACTTCCAAAAAAAAAAAAAAAAACGCATGTAAAACCACCCACCGTTTGTATCACTCATGCTGGGTCATTCCGTTTTCTTCATTTCAGTCTAAGAGAAAACAAGATTATAAAGTGAGAAAGAAAAATTTTCAAAAACTTCAACGATAACAATGACAAAGATCTTTGTTTTATATACTCTGAACGCTTATTCCAATGTGAACAGGATACATACCTTTAAAAATATTTTTCTAATTTAAGAGTTTTTTAAAAAATAAATAACACCTTATTATTATACAAAGAAACATTTTAAAGACAATTTAAAAAGATATAGTAAAAAGTTCTCTTTTCTTTCTTTCTTTTTTTTTTTTTTTTTTTTTTTTTTTTTTTTGAGACAGAGTCTTGCTCTGTAGCCCAGGCTGGAGTGCAGTGGGCCGATCTTGGCTCACTGCAGCCCCTGTCTCCCAGGTTCAAGCTATTCTCCTGCCTCAGCCTCCCGAGTAGCTGGGATTATAGGCGTGCAGCACCATGTCTGGCTAATTTTTGTATTTTTAGTAGAGACGGGGTTTCGCCATGTTGGCCAGACTGGTCTCGAACTCCTAAGCTCAGGCGATCCACCCACCTCGGCCTCACAAAGTGCTGGGATTACAGGCGTGAGCCACGCTGCCTGGCCTTTCCTTCCATTTTTATTCTTCATCAGCTCAATTCTCACCACCACCTACTATAGGTAAACTCTGTCCTTAATTTCTCATATATCCCTACTGGGTTTCTTTATTTAAATACTGCATTTATATTGATTATTTTTTCTTCTTTTTCACACAAAAGAGAGCTTAGTTATTTACTCGTTGTTCTGCATTTACACTTTTTCTTAATGTATCTTAGATGTTTTAAATTGCACTTTTCAACTTTGTACACTGTTAAAAGCAGAGCTTATTTGGGAGGCCTAGGCGGGTGGATCACGAGGTCAGGAGATAAAGACCATCCAGCCAACATGGTGAAACCCTGTCTCTACTAAAAATACAAAAATTAACCGGGTGTGGCAGCACGCGCCTGTAGTCCCAGCTACTCGGGAGGCTGAGGCAGGAGAATTGCTTGAACCAGGGAGGCCGAGGCTCCAGTGAGCCAAGATCATGCCACTGCATTCCAGCCTAGGCGACAGAGCGAGACTCCATCTGAAAAAAAAAAAAAATCAGCTTATTTTCAAATGAGTTGATCCTACTAGCCAGGAATTGAATATAGATACTTCTTGTCCACTGTACAAAGTACAGGCTTTTTCATCGTAGGAAAGAGGGTGGTGAAGACGATACCCTTAATTTTCTCTTATAAGGTGAACAAAGCACTTTCTTTCCTAGACCATATGATCATCAAAGAGGTTTGAATATGGGCTCCCAAGCTGTACAATAATCAAAGGAAATTATATATAATTTCAACAAACATTTATTGATCTCTCACTCTTCGGTGTGGCAATCCGCTGTCTCTAGTGAAAAGATATGAAGGAAATAATGTTAAGTAACAAACTAGAGTACAAAAATATGTGTGTGCATGAATATTATATATGTATATATGTGTGTGTGTGCATATGTGTGTGTGTGTGTGTGTGTATATATATATATAGATATAGATATAGATTTTTTTTAGACACTGTAGCTCTATTGCCCAGGCTGGAGTGCAGTGGCATGATCTTGGCCAACTGCAACTGTGCCCAGCTGAAAGCCACTCCATCTTGGATGGTAACCCACCATATTGACTTCTGATTAACCCCAGTTCTGGGAATGCCTCTAAGATTTCTACTTTGAGGTACAATAAATCCTGCAATTAGGTGAAAACAACCTTGGTGTTATTGTAACCACATACTTACCATACACAAATCCTGCCCTTAGGCTAGGCGCGGTATGTCATGCCTATAATCCCAACACTTTGGGAGGCCGAGGTGGGCAGATTACTTGAGGTCCAGAGTTTGAGACCTGCCTGGCCAACATGGTGAAATGCCATCTCTACCAAAAACACAAAAATTAGTTGGGCATGGTGGGGCGTGCCTATAGTCCCAGCTACTCCAGAGGCTGAGGAAAGAGAATCGCTTGACCTGGGAGGCAGAGGTTGCAGTGAGCCAAGATCTGGCCATTCCAGCCTGGGCGACAGAAGGAGACCGTCTCAAAAGAAAAGAAAAAAAAAAATCCTGCCCTTAGGCAAATTCCCTGTGGTTCATAAGCCCTGGGTTTGGCTGGTGACAATGTGGGGATCCATCATCTTGTCTTGCTACCACTCAAGACATGGCTTCTGTTATTAAATGTTTCTTTCTGAGAAACTGAATTTGTCAGCCTCTTTCTTTGGCCTCTCAGCTTCCTCAGCCTTTAGGAGTAGACTTGTATAGACCTGCTCACGGTGGAATAAGACTGAAAGCAAACGACATCAGATTCTAACAGCTTTCAGAGGTAATGGTGGTGGGCAAGAGAAAGATACTCTTTCTGCATCAGACGTCTCATCAGCAACCTCGAATGAATGTTAGGAGAAAACAAAATAATGCCTCAAAATCTGGAGGAAAAATGTTTTAATACAGAATTCTATAGCTATGTGTAACATCAAATGTGAAGTTGGAATAAAGACATTTATAAACCTATCATGACTCAAAAAGCTGACCTACATTTTAAGACGCAAACTGAATATATATACTACAGGGAAAATAGGGGGGAAGACAGAGAAAGACATGGAACTCAGGAAATGATGAATCTGATCTAGGAGCTCAAAAATGAAAAACACAGGATGACAGCTATTCAAGAAACCTAGAATGCAACTAATCCATACGGGAGCAGGAAGCTAAAGGACTCAGAGAAGATTTACCAGATTTACCAGACAGGAGGGGATCATGCAGAATAGATTTAATTGAGAACTTGGTAAGTGTTAAGGATGTTGCATTAGAATGTATCATTCAGCTGCGAAATAAAAAATAAAAATGGGAAAAAGGAAGAATAATCCAATTGGCTTAGGACAGAAATACATCTCACGTGACAGGAACTACAGAGGTACTCTGACTCTTTCTCTGTGATTGGCACTGTTCTACCACATCTGGTGTTGGTATTACCCTTAAGCTGTCTAATCTTACAACTATAGTTAATACTGCTGCCACAAGCAGCAAAGTGGTTTTTCCCCATGCATTGAAGGAAAGTCATAACCCCTCCTCCCAATTATGAAAATATTATTATGCCAATTTAGGTCCCTTAAAGATTACATTGAACCTTAAACTTTTCTATGTAACAAACAAAATGCAGGTACTTTTACAGTGGTCATAGAACCAATTTATATATAATTTTTAAAGAATGATTAATAAGCAAGGCCATGAGATGGATGTTTATATTACACAGGAGATACAACTACATGTTTTGGAATTCTGAATTTAACAGGTGGTTGTTTCCTTTTGTTTTACAGATAGTCCTTCGAGATATTATTACAGTTAGTTAGAGAATTAAGAACAGGAGCTTTCTTAAAGATAATACAGGGACAACTGTGACTTTTCTCTCCATATGAATAAAAATTTACATTTTTCCTATCTTCTATTTTATGGCCAGAGAAAACTCTGAGTATTCAGATTTATCCCAAAAGTTTCTAAAATGACCAAACTGTTCAGAATCATGCTTTTTTCCCTTTTCTTTCTTTCTTTTTTTTTTTTGTTTTTTGTTTTTTGTTTTTTGAGATGGAGTCTTGCTCTGTTGTCCAGGCTGGAGTGCAGTGGTGGGATCTCAGCTCACCGCAACCTCCGCTATCTTGGTTCAAGAGATTCTCTTGCGTCAGCCTCTCCAGTAGCTAGGATTACAGGCACCCGCTACCACACTCAGCTAGTTTTTGTATTTTTAGTAGAGTTGGGGTTTCACCATGTTGGCCAGGCTGGTCTCGAAGTCGTGACCTCAAGTGATCTGCCTGCCTCGGCCTCCCAGAGTGCTGGGATTACAGGCGCGAGCCACCACGCCTGAGCAGAATCATGCTCTTAATTGTACTTGAAAAACAAAACTTTATCTGAAAAAACTTTCTGAGTTTTTGTTTGTATGTTTTTGTTTCTGCTAAAGCTCAAAGTTTCTGACCCTAGGCAAGTTTTTATTAGTCATAGTGCATTAATAACAAATAAATACAAATAGGGCTAATAGGAAAAAAAGGACTAAGAAACTAAGAGGTAAGAAACAGAAGAATGACAGGTTTTGCTTTAAGGAAAAGTGGAGTGGCCCGGCCTTGGTGGCTCATGCCTGTAATCCCAGCACTTTGGGAGGCCGAGGCGGGTGGATCACGAGGTCAGGAGTTTGAGACCAGCCTGGCCAAGGTGGTGAAACCTCGTCTCTACTAAAAATACAAAAATTAGCCAGGTGCGGTGGTGGGTGCCTGTAATCCCAGCTACTCGGGAGGCTGAGGAGGCTGAGGCAGGAGAATCGCTTGAACACGGGAGGTGGAGGTTGCAGTGAGCCGAGGTCGCGCCACTGCACTCTAGCCTGGGCGACAGAGCAAGATTCCGTCAAAAAAAAAAAAAAATTAAAAAGATTTGCTTCCAACCACATAAGGGGAGGAGTGGTTTATAGATTAATAAAATTGCCACGAGTTGGTATTTCTTTTCTTTCATCTTGTTTTCTTTCTTTTTTTTTTTTTTTTGAGGCGCAGTTTCGCTGTTGTTGCCCAGGCTGGAGTGCAATGGCGCTATCTCGGCTAATCACAACCTCCGCCTCCTGGGTTTAAGCGATTCTCCTGCCTCAGCCTCCCTAGTAGCTGGGATTGCAGGCATGCACCACCACATCCGGCTAATTCTTTTTATTTTTAGTAGAAACAAGGTTTCTCCATTTTGGTCAGGCTGGTCTCAAACTCCCAACCTCAGGTGATCCGCCCACCTCGGCCTCCCAAAGTGCTGGGATTACAGGCGTGAGCCACCGCGCCAGGCCTTCTTCTTCTTTTTTTTTTTTTTTTTTTTTTTTTTTTGAGAGGAGTCTTGCACTGTCGCGCGGGCTGGTGTGCAGTGGTGTCATCTCGGCTCGCTGCAACCTCCGCCTCCAAGGTTCAAGCGATTCTCCTGCCTCAGTCTCCCGAGTAGCTAGGATTACAGGCGCCCGCCACCACGCCCAACTAGTTTTTTGTATTTTTAGTACAGACGAGGTTTTACTATGTTGGCCAGGTTGGTTTCGAACTCCTGACCTTGTGATCCGCCCGTCTCGGCCTCCCAAAGTGTTGGGATTACAGGCGTGAGCCACCGCGCCCGGCCGAGTTAGTAATTCTTGAAGGTGTGTCAGGTACATTGGATGCACTGTACTATTCTGTCTACCTTTGTATATATACTTTAAAGGTTTTTCCCCACAATTTCTCTGGGAAACCTGAACCTTTCTTCCCCGTGTGTTTAGAAGGGAAGGTGAGGAGAGTCAAAGGCACATGGAGCATTAACAGTTGGAATAAACGACAGAGACACGGAAACCTCCGAGGTTTCCAGAGCGGACCCGGAAATGACGCCAGGGGATGCAAACCCTTCTGCCCCTTTTTGCTACCCCTGAAGCTTACTGTTAGTGGTCGAGTTTTTCTGGAAGTGGGCTTCCGCGATCGCGGGGACCAACGCCCTGAGCTCTTGTGCCCAAAGGGGATCGCCAGGTTTTTTGATGCGGATCGAAAGGGACTGGCCCCGGAGCCTACAACCTGACGCAGGTGGGACTTGGGGAAATGTCGAGAAACCTAGGTCTGGGACTTGAGTTGGCTTCCAGGGCACACATTCTTGTTCAGAAGAAACACATTGCAAAAATCGGGAGGTGACGGGCAGATGAAGTGTCGGCGCTTCGCCTCGGGACTCCAGTGCAACCTATGGGGCTTTTGGAAATGAGGAAGTCGATGACTCTGCAGGGACTCCTCTGACCCAGGAGCAGATGGCGCTCGTCTGGGCACTCCCCAGGAGAAAAGGTGCATCGGGAAGCAGCCTGGCTTGTGGATGGTAATAAGTCACTGTTGATGGGTTGGGTGCAGGGAGGGATTTAAGTTCTTGAGCGACAGATGCTAGGGAGTTTACCTGCTCTGGATAACAGTATCTTGTGGAGGATAGTCACCTGGAAAACAGAAATGGCGTGACTGTGTTGAATACACTGTTTGATGATTCTGGGCATCAGGTGAATAGGAAATGTGTAACGTTATGGATGAGTGTGTGCTCATCGGACAGTAGCAGTGCATCTTAACAGTCGGCCTCTCAGTCCTCCTCTTCCTTAGAATCACCTATAGAGCTTTAAAATTTCCTGGATAATGTTAATGTGCAGCCAGCGATGATGACCATTGGGCTACAGTCAAATCCAAGAGGCGCATCTCATCCTTTGTTCTGATGGACAGAAACCATTATTCTGACATCGTGCCTGTTGGAGACATTGTACCTTAACTAGCATTTAATTCATGTGTGCTGGATTCGCTGAATGAAACTTACCAGCAGGGTACTGAATCTTGAATAATACAAGGAACGAGTAGAATAAGATAGTTCTCATTTTATCCTTATCTAATCTAAGAAATCTAGCAATATTTCTCTGTTTAAGTTTTTTTTCTTCAACAAAAAACAAAATACATGTAAGAGGATTTTCTGACACTGCTGGGGGCTCATAGAATTCTAGTGTCTAGTGTCTTTTCTGTCAGTTAATGTTACAAAGTTCAGTGGTGCTCCTTTTTTGAGATGGTGTCTAGCTCTGTCACTCAGGCTGGAGTGAAGTGGTGCCAACTTGGCTCACTGCATCCTCTGCTTCCCGGGTTCAAGCGATTCTCCTGCCTCAGCCTCCCAAGTAGTTAGGATTTCAGGTGTGTGCCACAACGCCCAGCTACTTAGTAGAGCCGAGGTTTCCCCATGTTGGCCAGGCTGGTCTCGAACTCCTGACCTCAAGTGATCCACACATCTCGGCTTCCCATAGTGCTGGGATTACAGTTGTGATGATCTTAAAACCTCTAACGATTTGGAAATATTCCTCCAGTGATCTTTGTTCTGTCGCAGTGATTGTAATAACATTTATTGAGGAGTTGTATGCCCAGTACTATTAAATAGGTTTACAAATTTTGTTATTTAATCCTCACAACTCTGTTAGAGAGATTGGATATTTTTATATCCATTTAACCACAGTAAAGCTGAGGCTTAGAGGATTTAACCTGGTAATAAGTCCAACATCCCACAACTAGTAAGTGACAGAACCAAGGATTTTCATTCATGTCTGTATAACATAAAAGCCTGTGTTTTATACTTTTTTTTTTTTTTTTTTTTTTTGAGATGAAGTCTCGCTCTTGTCTCCCAATCTGGAGTACAATGGCGCGATCTTGGCTCACCGTAACCTCTGCCTCCCAGGTTCAAGCGATTCTCCTGCCTCAGCCTCCTGAGTAACTGGGATTACAGGTGTGTACCACCACGCCCAGCTAATTTTTTGTATTTTAAGTAGAGACGGGGTTTCACCATGTTGGCCATACTGGTCTCGAACTCTTGACCTCAGGTGATCCATCCACCTCGGCCTTCCAAAGTGCTGGGATTACAGGTGTGAGCTACCGCGCCCAGCCATGTGTTTTTTACTTTTTAGTCAATGGGGCACTTCAGATTACAAGATCTGTGACCCCCCCACAACCATTCCATGAACTATTGGTTCAGCATATAAGAGGACCCGTTTTCTGCCATTTCCTGCATGATGCCTCTAGCAAGCATTGCAATCACAAAGACCTGGGTTTTTAAAATTATTACAAAGAAAAGGAAAGCTTCAGTAGTATGTTGATTAAAGGAATGTCTAGAAAAGGGGAATGGGATATGAGAACCAGGTTACACCAAATTGACAGTTTATGAAAAAATAGTAACCAAGAATATGATACTAATTTTGACTAATTGGTTTTGAATAGACATGGCTTTATTCATTTAAGACAAGCATCTCCATATTTGTGGAGTTTATTCTAGAGGAAAATACAGTTTCTCAGGTGATGGTATTGTGGAGAAAAAGAAATCAGAGAAGGGCAATATGGAGTAGGGTAGAGTGAGGAATGGGTGTTGAGTTTTAAATAGGATGAATGCGGAAGACTTTACCATTATTTAAGCAAAGACTAAGGAATGAGGAGTGAATCACGGGGATTCCAGAGAAGGAACATTCTAGGAAGGAAATATGCCTTGTTTTGGAAGCCATGAAGAGCTCTATACTGTTGACTAGAGATTTGTATTTTGGGTCTGTGACAAATACACCAGGATGATCAGAATCTAGCCAGGAAGGGGTAGAGTTCATGAGAGGAAGGAAGTTGACATTGGCTGGTAAAAACAGACTCTTAAAAGAAACCTCTTTCAGGCGGTGGCTCACGCCTGCAATCCCAGCACTTTGGGAGGCCAAGGTGGGGGCGGATCATGAGGTCAGGAGTTCGAGACCATCCTGGTTAACATGGTGAAACCCCGTCTCTACTAAAAACATAAAAATTAGCCAGGCATGGTGGCCTGCACCTGTAATCCCAGGTACTCAGGAGGCTGAGTCAGGAGAATCACTTGAACCCGGGAGGCGGAGGTTGCAGTGAGCCGAGATCGCGCCACTGCACTCCAGCCTGGGTGACAGAGTGAGACCCTGTCTCAGAAAAAAAAAATAAGAAAATAAGAAACCTCTTTCAAAATAGGCTTTTGCCGGGCGCGGTGGCCCACGCCTGTAATCTCAGCACTTTAGGAGGCCGAGGCGGGCGGATCACGAGGTCAGGAGATCGAGACCATCCTGGCTAACACATGATCCGCCCCCCCTTGGCCTCCCAAAGTGCTGTCTCTATTAAAAATACAAAAAATTAGCCGGGCGTGGTGGCGGGCGCCTTTAGTCCCAGCTACTCAGGAGGCTGAGGCAGGAGAATGTTGTGAACCCAGGAGACGGAGCTTGCAGTGAGCCGAGATCGCGCCACTGCACTCCAGCCTGGGTGACAGAGCGAGACTCCATCTCAAAAAAAAAAAAAAAAAATGGCTTTTAAAAGAATATTTTTACTGACATTGAAAGTAATCTTGTATGTATGTGCTTATGGTAGAGGGAAGAAGAGAAAAGCTAGTGAAAGGAGAAGAAAGCTGACTTCCTGGAAGCTGTTGCAAAAAAAAGAATGATAGAATATTTTTTTTTTTTTTTTGAGAGGTTGTCTGGCTGTGTTACTCAGGCTGGAGGGCAGTGGTGCAGTCTCGGCTCACTGCAACCTCTGTCTCCAGAGATCAAGCGATTCTCCTGCCTCAGCCTCCTGAGTAGCTGGGATCACAGGCGTGCACCACTGGGCCCAGCTAATTTTTGTATTTTCAGTAGAGACTGGGTTTCGCCATGTTGGCCAGGCTGGTCTTGAACTCCTGACCTCAGGTGATCTGCCCACCTTGGCCTCCCAAAGTGCTGGGATTACAGGTGTGAGCCACCACACCCGGCTATTTTCACTGTTATTTATTTGTTAGGTGGCATACTTTCCAACTTTTTTCACAACACTCTATCTTAAGAGATTTCTATATTAATATACAGTGTCTTCATTTGTATATGGATATACCATAATATATTTAAGCCATTTCCTGGTGATGAACACTTGGGCTTTACTCATTTCCTGGTGATAGACACTAGGTTGTTTCTAATCTTTCACCACCACAAACAATGCAGTGAATAACTGTGTGTATGTATCATATATACATACACATATATATACACACACACAATTATATATGTACAGTTAACTATATATATAGCTTTATATATAAATATATACACACATAATCATATATATATACAGTAAACATATAACTGAAGAAACATATTTTTCCTTCATTCCCTGTATATAACACTATTACACAGAAAAATTTTGTTTTATTAAATAGCTAATGTCTGTTTTTTCCTAAAGTGTCACATTTCTTTAGGTCAGATGAACATAGATTAACAATCACATTTTAGCTGGGTGCCATGGTTTATACTTGTAATCCCAACGCTGGAAGGCCAAGGCAGGTGGATTATTTGAGCTCAGAAGTTTGATACCAGCCTGGGCAACGTGGCGAAACCCTGTCTCTACAAAAAAATTTAAAAATTAGCTGGGCGGCCGGGCATGGTGGCTCATGCCTGTAATCCCAGCACTTTGGGAGGCCGAGGCGGGCGGATCACGAGGTCAGGAGTTCGAGACCAGTCTGGCCAATATAGCGAAACCCCATCTCTACTAAAAATACAAAAGATTAGGCGGGCGTGGTGGCGGGTGCCTGTAATCCCAGCTACTCGGGGGGCTGAGGCAGGAGAACTGCTTGAACCCGGGAGGCAGAGGTTGCAGTGAGCCGAGATCACGCCATTGCACTCCAACCCGGACGACAGTGCGAGACTCGGTCTCAAAAAAAAAGAAAAAAAATTAGCTGGGTGTGGTGGTGTGTGCCTGTAGTCTCAGCTACCCAGGAGGCTGAAGTGGGAGGATTGCTAGAGCCCAGGAGGTTGAGGCTGCAGTGTGCTGTGACTGCGACAGAGCCTAGACGGGGTGACAGAGCAAGACCTGTCTCAGAAAAGAAAACAATTTTTTTTGTATTGTATGATGAGCTAACATATTGTAAACATATCCACTTTTCCATTCATGTTTAAATTTATATTGGTCCTCCAACCCGGACGACAGTGCGAGACTCCGTCTCAAAAAAAAAGAAAAAAAAATTAGCCGGGCGTGGTGGTGTGTGCCTGTAGTCTCAGCTACCCAGGAGGCTGAAGTGGGAGGATTGCTAGAGCCCAGGAGGTTGAGGCTGCAGTGTGCTGTGACTGCGACGGAGCCTAGACGGGGTGACAGAGCAAGACCCTGTCTCAGAAAAGAAAAATTTTTTTGTGTGTTGTATGATGAGCTAACATATTGTAAACATATCCACTCTTCCATTCATGTTTAAATTTATATTGGTCCTGCCACCTTGTTGAGCATTTTGCCTTTACTCTGCTTTGTATCGGGTGGTGGATTTGGATGGTGCTTATATATTGAGAGAAGGTTTATTTGCAGCTGAATTGTGCAGAAATGACTTTTATGGGAGTTGGCCTGGGTGAGCAGAACTAGCACTAGGTTATTCCTGATAACTTCTTTCTCTTTTTATAGACCTGCTTTGCTCAGAAAGGGAGATCAGGAGACCAGGTGATGCTGTAGCAAATGTCAGAGTCGAGTCCTAGGTAATATCCCACCTTTCCAGGATCTGCCTGCTTCATGGCAGCTGCCCCAATCTCCTTCACTTGGGCTAGACCCTGCCTAGCACACCACTAGTCACATGCATCTACTCAGGAATTGCAAGACCCTTCTATAGATGAATGAGATGTTTCTTGCCCAGCAGACTTTTCTCTTAACCGCCACTTTACACTTACCCTTCTTTCCATTTCTCTTCAGCCTTATTTAAACAAGCATAAACATCTTTTTATGAATCTTCTCATACTTGTTGTTTTTTTCTTTTTTGAGACGGAGTCTCGCTCTGTCACCCAGGCTGGAGTGCAGTGTTGCGATCTCAGCTCACTACAACCTCTGCCTCCTGGATTTAAGTGATTCTCCTGCCTCAGCCTCCCGAGTAGCTGGGACTATAGGCGCATGCCACCATACTCAGCTAATTTTTGTATTTTTAGTAGAGATGGAGTTTGGCCATGTTGGCCAGGCTGGTCGTTCCTTGCATGCATTTTTGTGCATGTGTGGCCTTCTCTTTAGAAAAGCAGGATCATGGGGTACGTTTTAAGAATATGGGATAGGTCAGGCTTGGTGGCTTATGCCTTTAATTCCAGCACTTTAGGGGAGGCTGAGGTGGGAGGATCATTTGAAGCCAGGAGTTGGAGACCAGCCTGGGCAACAAAGCAAGAACACCCACCCCATCCCTCTTTCCCTCAATTAAAAAAATAAAAAAAAATTAGTGGAGTGTGATGGCTTGCACCTATAGTCCTAGATACTCCAGAGGCTGAGGTGGAAGGTTGCTTCAGCCCAGGAGTTCGAGGTTACAGTGAGCTATGATTGTGCCGCTGTGCTCCAGTCTGTCTCTTCAAAAAAAAAAAAAAAAAAGAACGTTGGGTGTTTGAGGATGTGGTTGTGAACTGGGTTCTGGTAGAGTCAGGGCTTGCTCAAGACTTACCTTTTTCGGAATGAGATTTAAATATGGACCTTTTTAAAACAATTGTAATAAAATACACATAACATTTAGCATCTTAATCATTTTTTTGTTTGTTTGTTTGTTTTTTTGAGATGGAGTCTCGCTGTGTCGCCAGGCTGGAGTGCAGTGGCACGATCTCTGCCTCCTGGGTTCAAGCGATTCTCCTGCCTCAGCCTCCCATGTAGCTGGGATTACAGGCACATGCCACCACGCCCAGCGAATTTTTTTTGTATTTTTAGTAGAGATGAGGTTTCACCATGTTGGCCAGGATGGTCTCGATCTCTTGACCTCGGGGTCCGCCCACCTCGGCCTCCCAAAGTGCAGGGATTACAGGTGTGAGCCACTGCTCCCAGCCTATCTTAACTGTTTTTAAGTGTTCAGTTCAGTACTGTTAGTTACATTCACATTGTTGTGCAACCATCACTACCATCTAGCTGCAAAACTCTTTGCATCTTATAAAACTGAAACTCTATACCTATTAAGAAATAACTCCCCATTCCCCTCTCCCTTCAGCCTCTGGACATCACCATTCTGCTTTTTGTGTCTATGAATTTGACTATTCTAGGTACCTCAAATAAATGGAATCATACAGTATTTGCCTTTTTGTGACTGGCTTGTTTCACTTAGCATAGTGCTCTCTAGCTTCATTCATGTTGTAGCATGTCAATTTCCTTACTTTTTAGAGTTGAATAATATTTCACTCTACGTATATACCACATTTTGTTTATCCATTCATCTGCCAATAGTCACTTGGGTTGCTTTCACCTTTTGGTTATTGTGAATAATGCTGCTATGAACATGGGGTTTATAAATATCTCTTTGAGATCCTGCCTTCAATTCTTTTTTTTTTTTTTTTTTTTTTGAGACAGAGTCTTGCTCTGTCGCCCAGGCTGGAGTGCAGTGGCACGATCTCGGCTCACTACAAGCTCCGCCTCCCGGGTTCATGCCATTCTCCTGCCTCAGCCTCCCGAGTAGCTGGGACTACAGGTGCCCGCCACCACGCCCGGCTAATTTTTTGTATTTTTAGTAGAGACGGGGTTTCACCGTGTTAGCCAGGATGGTCTCGATCTCCTGACTTCATGATCCATCTCCTCGGCCTCCCAAAGTGCTGGGATTACAGGCGTGAGCCACCGTGCCTGGCCTACATGCCTTCAATTCTTTAGAGTATACCCAGAAAAGGAATTACTGGGTTATATGGTAATTCTATTTTTCATTTTTTGAGGAATTGCCATGCTGTTTTCCATAGAAGCTATATTATTTTGCATTCTCACCAACAGTGCACAAGGATTCCAATTTGTTTTCATCCTTGCCAACATTTGTTATTTTCTGCTTGGGTTTTTTTTTTTAAAGGTAGGTGACCTAGTGGGTGTGAAGTGGTATTCTTTGTGGTTTTTATTTACATTTCCCTAGTGATTAGTGATGTCGTGTATCTCTTTGCATTTGCATATCTTTGGAGAAATGCCTATTCAAGTTTTTTGTCTAGTTTTTAATTGGATTATGTTTTTTTTGTTAAGCTATAAAACTTCTATTTTTAAAATGAAGACCCTTCTCTGGATCTGCTAATCTTTGTAGGGATAGTAGATAAATGGGAAGATGTATTCAAAATTAATTCTTGAACTACTCAATGCTTCTGGGGTTTTTTGGGTGTGTGTGTAAATAAGGTAATACTTAAAAAAAATGAATTGTTTTCTAGGTGGACAAGGTGGAGGAGAGAGAATTCCTTGGCAGTAGCATTATGAACAAATGCAGGGCTGAGAAACAGCATGGTGGCCTTGACTAAGTTTATGGCGACAGCAGGTAAGTCTGGAGAGAAAGCTTTACAGGACATGTGGGTGGCTTGGACATGCTTCTCCTAGCCCAATGCTGTCCAATAGAACTTTATCCTGTATCTGTGTTGTCCAACACAGTAATCGCTATGTACATGTGGCTATTAAACTCTTGAGGCTGGGCATGGTGGCTCACGCCTGTAATCCCAGCACTTTTGGAGGCCGAGGCAGGCATATCCCTTGACCTCAGGAGTTTGAGACTAGCCTGGACAAAATGATGAAACCCTGTCTTCACAAAAAATACAAAAAAAATTATCAGGCATGGTGGCATGCCCCTGTAGTCCCAGCTACTTGGGAGGCTGAGGTGGGAGGATCGCTTGAGCCTGGGAGGTCGAGGCATCAGTAAGCTGTATTTGCGCCACTGCACTCCAGTCTGGGAGACAGAAATAGACCCTGCCTCAAAAAAAAAAAAAAAAACCACTTGAAATGTGGCTAGTACTAATGAATTTTTACTGAATTTTAGTGGCTACTTTATTAGACAATACAACTCAACTCTAGGCAGTGGTTTCTTAATAGGCAGGTAGTATAACCAGATTATGTCTTAGATTATAGTTATAATATGGAGAATGCATTGAACAGGGACAAGACCAAAAACAGTAAAATCAGTCAAAAGACTCTCGGAATAATCTAGGTAGGTGTGTGTAAACTTTGGCCCCCCTTTAGTTATCAGTCCTTAATTCTACTCTGATTTTTTTCAGTTAGGATGTTTATTTGATTAGTACCATAAAGACCAAGTAACAATGATTAAGCAAGATAGAAAATTTTCTTTGTCATATAAATGTGCTGTTGAAGGGCAAACCAGAGACTTCTAGAAGCCCTTCTCCACAAAGTTCTCCAGGGGTCTATGTTCTTCTAGCTGCTTTTGGACCTCCTGAGGATTGCCTTGTTCACATGGGTGAAACAGAATCACAGCCTGCAGGAAGGGGAAAGAAAATATTGTGACTTAGAAGCTTCCTTTTAAGCAATGACAGAATGAAAGTTGCATATAACACTTTGGCTCACATTCTATGTTAAGCTAAAACTTGGGAGATTCTGACATCAAAGACGCCACGTATTTAGGAAAGAGTTTATAGGCATAAAGAGTGGGAAATTTTTCAGCTACAGCTCAGCCTTTCTTGTACATCAGTGTCCTCGCATGGGGAAAGAAGAGAGTAGTGCTTGAATGGGAGGAGTGAAAGAAAACTTGTACAACATCAGAGAATCCCTGCTGTACTAGTTTATTAATGCTGCCGTAACAAAATATCACAACTGAGCGACTTAAACAACAAAAGTGTCTTTGTCTCACAGTTCTGGAGGCTAGAAATCCAAAATCAAGGTTTCAGTAGAGTTGATTCCTTCTGAGGGCAATGAGGGAAAGATCTGTTCCAGCTTCTCTGCTTGGCTTGTAGATAGCCATTCTTTCCTATGTCCCTTCACCTTGTATTCTCTCTTGGTATGTCTGTATCCAAATTTTCCCTTTTTAAAAGGACACCGGCCATATTAGGATGGGTTAGGTCACATTCTAATGACCTACTTTCAGTTGACCTCACTGTAACTCTCTAAAGGCACTGTCTCCAAATAAGGGTCACATTCTGAGGTACCAAGTTTTAGGACTTCAACGTATGAATTTTGGTGGAACACAGTTCAACCCATGATATCTGCTAGTAAGGGAGCTTGCAAATATGACTAATTTCTAACCAGTTTCTAACATCCCATTTGACAGCAGGGAATTCCATATTTAAGGAAACTATTCATATTAACATTTAACATGGTTTTATGGCCGCCCAAAATCAATTTGTCACACTTCTCTTTTTTGATGTTTAAAGGGCACAGACACCAAAAGCTGAGACTCTGAACTTGATCAGCGTATTTTCAAATTTCAGGAATTCTTCTCATCAGAGAGCCTAACTTGGAAATGACCATTTACCTTTTCCAAATTTTCTTAACCCATAAAGAGGTTAAGGCCAACATAAGGGAGCTAATACATCTGCTGATTGAAAGTCAGATTATCTCAACTGCAAAAAAAAGTTGGGGCTTGAGTTAGATATTAAAAAAATAAAAATGATTCACTGTGAAAAGTGGTACAAAACTATGTTAAACATAACATTGTTGGGACAAAACAAAAATTAATTTTATTGAAAGACTGACTTTTTAAAGTTTTTTAGCTTGTTATTTTATTTCTTTTTTGTTGTTGTTTCTTTGAGATAGTGTCTCAGTCTGTCCCGCAGGCTGGAGTGCAGTGGCACGATCTTGGCTTACTGCAACCTCCACCTCCTGGGTTCAAGTGATTCTTGTACCTCAGCCTCCTAAGGAGCTGGGATTACAGACATGCACCACCACACCCTGCTACATTTTATTTTTTTGTATGTATTTTTAGTAGAGATGGAGTTTTACCATGTTGCCCAGGCTGGTCTCGAACTCCTGGGCTCAAGCAACCCTCCCGCCTCGGCCTCCCAAAGTGCTGGGATTACAGGCTTGAGCCACTGCGCCCAGCCTAGCTCGTTATTTTAAAAAGTATTCCCCATTTCTTGTAAATCGCTTGTTCTCTGCACAGTGGAACATTCTCTTGGCTGATTTGTAGATGGGAAGGCTCTTTCTACCGAACTCAGACTCATTACTGTCAGGAGTAGCAAACGTTAACTTTCTAAATGCATTTTACCCAGAATATAAACCTATGTGCTATTCTTAAATAGATTTAAACTTTCTCAATTCTAACATTTTAATAATTTTAGAACTCATTTCCAACCTGTTTTATACACTGTTCAGCTGATACTTCACAATTAGTACTTTTGATCTAAGTGTTTTCAGGGTGAGATTCCAGATGATCCCAGTAGTTTTGTTGATAAGTCTTCCGTCTTCCCATTAAGTGAAAGTCATATGTTGAAGAATGCAAATCCTTCAGTGTTTAGGTTTTACTCCTGAATTAGTCAGTCTTTCAGACACCCCAGAATAAATCCAGTTACTGCCTCTCATCTTTAAAAACCCTTCTGGTTTCTTCAGTCAGAGAACACAAATCTCCAAGTATTATTGCCAGGCTGAAATTCAGGACACAGCAACTTATTTCGGATGTTAATGTTCCTTGCTCCCCAACTTTATGCAAATGACAAAGGACGAAAACATACAAGGACATGCTTTGGGAGTCCAGGGTGGGAGGATCGCTTGAGCCCAGGAGTTCAAGACCAGCCTGGTCAACATAGTGAAACCTCATCTCTACAAAAAAAATTGAACTTAGCTATGTATATTGGCACATGCCTGTAGTCCCAGCTACTCAGGTTACTGAGGTGGGAGATTGGCTTGAGCCTAGGAATTTGAGGCTGTAGTGAGCCATTATGGTGCGATTGCACTCCAGCCTGGGTGACAGAGGAAGATTCTGTCTCACAAAAAAAAAAAAAAAAAAAAAAAAAAAAAGTATATTATCTATTTGGGAAATCACATTAAAAACCTACACACACCAGGCCGGGCACGGTGGCTCATGCATGTAATCCCAGCACTTTGGGAGGCCAAGGGGGGCGGATCACGAGGTCAGGAGATCGAGACCGTCCCGGCTAACACGGTGAAACCCCGTCTCTACTAAAAATACAAAAAATTAGCCGCACGTGGTGGCGAGCGCCTGTAGTCCCAGCTACTCGGGAGACTGAGGCAGGAGAATGGCGTGAACCCGGGAGGCGGAGCTTGCAGTGAGCCGAGATCGCGCCTCTGCACTCCAGCCTGGGCGACAGAGCGAGACTTTGTCTCAAAAAAAAAAAAAAAAAATACACACACCAAAGAATATACTTTAGGACAAATTATAGACAAGTATATAATAGTATAAGCAGCATTTACAATGAATTCACAATCTTCTTTTAGAAAAAAGGAAAGGATACAGCAATTAAGAGAGTTCCATGCCCTCAGGTTTTATTATTTGACGTGATGGCAGACAGAGGGGATGAAAAGGAGCAGACATCCTTTTTGTGAAAACATTTAGGCCCTCAAGTCAAGAAACTAGGGCTTGAAAGCCCTTGTTTTTGGACTCTAAGGATCTCATGAAAGCTGTGGACTGACTCTTCAGAAAAATACACATACACTTGATATTTTGCACGAGTTTCTTGGTGTTCATGGGTACCCTTCAGGCAAGTGAAATATATTATCTGTCTCAAACTGCATTCTTCTTTGATTTCCTTCACCACAGTGGCTGGAGAACTAAAAATTCTTTCTTTTTCTGATTTCTCTGTAGTTGGGGTAACATGTGACCTGGATCTGATCATTGTGATTCAAGTCAGCGTCATTTAGGGTTTTCGGGAAACATTTTTTGAAAGGGAGCAACTTGGCTGGAACACTCCATCAATTCTTTGCCCTGTGCATTTTTGCCCTTCTTTCTGCCTCTCAGGAATGCAGAGAGAATTCCTGGAGGAACAGCAGCTATCATACATCCGTGATGAAAGCCATGGGACAAAGGCAATTGAGCAAGAAGACAGGAGCTGGGGACATTCTTGACAGTAGTGCCACCTCTGGATGATTTACCTTGGGACCTCTTATTAAATGAGATAGGACTTCTTCCTGTTTAATCCACTGGAGTGGAATTTTCTGTTACAGTGAATGCAGTCCTAATTGATGATATTGGCTAATACATATTAGCACCTGCTATGTCCCAGTACAGTTTAAGCATTTTATCTACTAATGTTTTAAATTTTCTCAGTGACCTTATGAGATAGGCCAAAGGTTCTCAGAGTGTGGTTCCTGGACCAGCAACATCAGCATCACCTGGAAACTTGTTAGAAATACAAATTTTAGGGCCTGGCCCTAGACCCACTGAATCAGAAACTCTAGGGGTGAGGACCTAGCAGTCTGTTTAAAAAGCCCTCCATGCTATTTTGATGAATGCCAAAGTTGGACAGCTACTGAGATAGGGTATTGTTATTATCCCCATTTTACAGATAAGGAAACAGCTGAATTTATGTCACTTGCCCAATGTCACACAACTAGCAAGACTGACTCCTTGAAGCTCATCACATGTAAGAACTGCTTTAGAGCAGTGGTCTTCAAACTTTGAAAGCATATCCTGTTGAAAAATTATGTATCCACTTCTACATTTTTAAGTTGACATCTAAAAATTTCACATCATAAGTTTAAACAGTTGTAAAAAATGTGATTTCTGGTATATTGTGAATTATGACATTTTAAAATGTATTCCATCACTCCTCTAAATGTATTCAGTGGTTTCTAAATACCATAGTGATTTAAATCTATCATCAATTTAAAAAAAAAAACAAGCTTTTTTTTTTAACATTAGATATTTTGCATCTTTTTCTCTCTTTTTTTTTTTTTTTTTGAGACAGACTCTCACTGTGTCACCCAGGCTGGAGTGCAGTGGCACAATCTTGGCTCATTGCAACTTCCACTTCCCAGGTTCAAGTGATTCTCCTGCCTCAGCTTCCCAAGTAGCTGGGATTACAGGCGTACGCCACCATGCCCAGTTAACTTTTGTATTTTTAGTAGAGACGGCGTTTCATCATGTTGGCTAGGCTGGTCTTGAACTCCTGACCTCAAGTGATCTGCCCACCTTGGTCTTCCAAAGTACTGGGACTACAGGCATGAGAAACCAAGCCCGGCCATCTTTCTCTTTTTTACTTGAATTCAGTCTTTTTATTCTTCTTCCATTCCTCTCTCTCTCTCTCTTTTTTTTTTTGAGACAGTCTCACTATGTCACCCAGGCTGGAGTGCAGTGGCGCAATCTCGGCTCACTGCAGCCTCTACCTCCCAGATTCAAGCGATTCTCCTGCCTCAGCCTCCTGAGTAGTTGGGACTACAGGTGCGTGCCACCATGCCCGGCTAATTTTTTTGTATTTTTAGTAGAGATGGGGTTTCACCATTTTGGCCAGGATGGTCTCAATCTCCTGACCTCGTGATCTGCCTGCCTTGGCCTCCCAAAGTGCTGGGATCACAGGCATGAACCACCGCTCCTGGCCTCTTTCTTTCTTTTCTGTTCTTTTCCATCTGCCCTCCCCAAACATCTCCCTCCCTACCTCCCTCCCTCCCTACTTTCCTTGCTTCCTTCCTTCCTCTCTTTCTGTTTCTCTATTTTTCTTTTTTTCCTTCTTTTTTGAGACCATCTCACTCTGTTGCCCAGGATGGAATGCAGTGGCACAATCTTAGCTCACTACAACCTCTGCCTCCCAGGTTCAAGCAATTCTCCTGCCTCAGCCTCCCAAGTAGCTGGGACCACAGGCAGATGCCACCACACCAAGCTAAAGTTTTTTTTTTATTTTTCATAGAGACAGGGGATCTCATTATGTTGCCCAAACTGGTCGTGAACTCCTGGGCTCAAGTGCTCTGCCTGCCTCGGCCTCCCAAAGTGTAGGGATTACAGGCGTGAGCCACTGTGCACGTTGGGACTAATATTTTCTTATTCGTATTTCCATGGCAGAATATTCCTCACTGCTAGAATGAGACCAGAGGTCAAAATCAGCTCTATGTCTGTTTGTCATTCTTATGGATATGAGAAATTGTGTTCACACAAGTAGATAGGAATGAAAGGAATTTTGAAATAGAAATGCAGTTCTAATTTTTCTAACTTCCATATTACGTGCCAAAAATCACATAATAATCTATCATAAGATTCTCTAGTCCTCTCTCATCTGGTGATCTTCTTTTCCACGCTTTCTTTGCAACCCCCTCATGTGGCCAACATTTAGAGTAATGTTTTCCAACTTCTTTTTCTTCAGCTCACAGTAATAAATACATTTTACATCTTGACTCCTGAATGTATATGAATTTATAACGGAAGGTTTTATAATTCACTCCTTTCCCTTGCTACTTATAAGTAAAAGTAAAAAGTTAGTATTAAATATGCATTTAATCATATTTAAATAGTCGTGCATTGTTTAATGACAGGGATACATTCTGAGAAATGTGTTGTTAGGTGATTTCATCCTTGTGCAGACTCACAGAGTGCACTTATACAAACCTAGATCATACAGCCTACTACACACCTAGGCTGTTTGCTATAACCTATTGCTCCTAGGCTATAAACCTGTGCAGCATGTTACTGTACTGAGTATTGTAGGCAATTATAACACAATGATAATATTTGTATACCTAAACATATCGAAACATAGAAAAGGCACAGTAAAAATACAACATAAAAGATTTTTTAAAATGGTACACCTGGCCGGGTGCAGTGGCTCACACCTGTAATACTAACACTTTGGGAGGCCAAGGCAGGTGGATCACTTGAGGTCAGGAGTTTGAAACCAGCCTGGCCAACATGGTGAAACTCCGTCTTTACTAAAATACAAAAAAATTAGCCAGTATGGTGGCAGGCACCTGTAATCCCAGATACTTGGGAGATTGAGGCAGTAGAATCACTTGAACCTGGGAGGCGGAGGTTGCAGTGAGCCAAGATCATGCCACTGCACTCCAGCCTGGGCAATAGAGCAAAACTCCATCTCCAAACAAAAAAAAGTATACTTGTATAGGACACTTATGGAGCTTGCAGGACTGGAAGTTGCTCTGGGTGAGTCAGTGAGTGGTGAATGAATGTGAAGACCTAGGACAATACTGTACACTACTGTAGACTTTATAAACACTACATTTAGGCTACACTAAATTTGTAAAAAATATTTTTCTTCAATAGTAAATTAACCTTAGCTTACTATAACTTTTACTTTACAAACTTTTAAATTATTTATTTATTTTATTTTATTTATTTATTTTTTTGAGATGGAGTCTTGCTCTGTCGCCCAGGCTAGAGTGCAGTGGCGCGATCTCAGCTCACTGAAACCTCTGCCTCCCGGGTTCAAGTGATTCTCCTGCCTCCGCCACGTGAGTAGCTGGGATTACAGGCGTGTACCACCATGCTCAGACAAATAAAACTGGAAAGATAGACTGAGGCTAGAATAAGGAAGGGCTTGGATGTTACCCCAAGGATTATATTTAGAGGTAATCAAAAGGAGTTAGGGGAGTTTCAAGCTGGGGAAGGGCCTGATAAACTTATTTGGGGGAGGTGCTGTTAATCTGGAGTCTAGAATGGTGGGGATAATAACTAGGGTCAGTTAAAAGACAATATAACAGAACTTAAGGCATGACACATTATGGGCATGCAGTAAGCATTTGTTAAATGAATAAGGAGTTAAACTATAGAGAGGATATTGGGGCTTGAATGGAAGACTTAAGAGAGTTTTAGAAACGAGGGATCATTAGGAATTGTCTTTGAAGGGCGAGAAGTAAATATGGAGAATTTAAAGAAACTCCTCCCTTTTTCCCCACTTACTTCTTAGGCGATGCCTCTTCATGGGTGGTGGATGAAGAAACTGAACAGGGCCATGATCCTTATCTGTAATTTCCCGGCTACCACACTGCTTTGGTGGTCTTCCCTCGTCTCTTCCTGGGTAGAAACAACTACCTGGAGATCCCAATGTTCTTGTCAGTGCACTTTTCATGGACTGCAGTGGTAAGACGATGTGTTGGATGCCCAAACACAAACCAAGTAAGTCCTGGATTTAAAAAGGAAGGGCTAAATGTCATTACTAACCTGAGCCTCAGTGCTCCCTCCCCTCATTTCCCTCACAACTACTTCTTCCTGCTGACATCCACCAAACTTTACTATGTGACCTTTAGAACTGGGGGACTCTGAAACCAGAGAGAGCCCTGAAAAGAACTTATACCCCTCTCTCTCTCTCTCTTTAGCCTACTTCATACTGGGTGGAATTTTTATGATTAGCGCCCTTCTCTCATTCTGCTTGAACTTTTTGTTGCTGACCTTCCCTCAGTTATTCCCTGAGACCCAGAAACAGTATATTTTCTGTGCATCCATCTGCATTGTCACAGGTAAAGAGAGGCAGGAATAAATTCCGAATGTCTTGGCCTTGGGGTGAGGGTGGAAGAGGCTTAATTAGCCTCTTAAAAAGTTTTCAGGAGAGTACAAGGGAAAAGGAGAAGCTAGGAGAAAAAATGGTCTGAAAGGAGGGAGAAGAAGAATGAGGGGAGGTGATGAAATAATTTGGTTCCCTGATCATAATACTACAGTTAAATCTTTAAGTATTGATAAGCTAATTAGCAGATTGATCTCTCCCTTCTTTTTTGGGGTTGACAAGTACTTTTGTGTTCTTCTCCTTACTTATGCACTATACACAAATTTTGAAAGTGAGTCAGGGACCTGACCCAACAAAAGTCACTTATAAGTTTCCTTACTTCATAAATTCATTCAGCTATGCTCTATTTCTGCTATCTGGTGAGTGATCATTGGATTCTGTGAGGCCGAAGCGGGAGAGTTAACCTCCCAGGAAGTGGATAAAGCTAATTTCTGGGCCGGGCGTGGTGGCTCACGCCTGTAATCCCAGCACTTTGGGAGGCCAAGGCAGGCGGATCACGAGGTCAGGAGATCCAGACCATCCTGGCTAACACAGCAAAACCCCGTCTCTACTAAAAATACAAAAAATTAGCCAGGCGTGGTGGCGGGCACCTGTAGTCCCAGCTACTCGGGAGGCTGAGGCAGGAGAATGGCGTGAACCTGGGAAGCGGAGCTTGCAGTGAGCTGAGATTGTGCCACTGCACTCCAGCCTGGGCGACCGAGCAAGACTCCGTCTCAAAAAAAAAAAAAAAAAAAAAAAAAAAGCTTATTTCTTTGGTCTTTCTTTTCTTTTTCTGTAAAGGTCTCATATATGTGGAAGCTATAGCAACACCCAGTCATGTAATCTACCCCTTTTTGTCTTTGATTTCTGATCATGAATGCTCATTCATCACTTCTTTGTTTTGTTTTGTTTTGTTTTGTGACAGAGTGTCTCTTCATTGCCCAAGCTGGGGTGCAGTGGCACTGTCTCAGCTGACTGCAACCTTTGCCTCCCGGGTTCAAGCGATTCTCCTGCCTCAGCCTCCCGAGTAGCTGGGATTACAGGCAGCGCCAACAAGCCCGGCTAATTTTTTTTGTATTTTTAGTAGAGTCGAATTTTCGGCATGTTAGCCAGGCTGGTCTTGAACTCCTGACCTCAGGTGATCTGCCCAACTCGGCCTCCCAGAGTGTTGGGATTATAGGCGTGACCACCATGTCCAGTCATACATGACTTCTTATGGTTCAGTGACCTATTTTTAAAAATATATCCTTCTCCAAAAAAAAAAGGACCAAAAAAAATCCTTTCTTGATTTTTTTCCCTGCACTTCACTTTTACCACCTGAACACCAGAAGAGGGATTGGGAAGCAATCCCTGTGCACCAAACATACCTCGAAAAAGGGATAGAATCCAGAGTATGGGAAAGAATTGTTTCCTTTTCTTGACAATAGAAAAAGTCTGAAGACATTCTGTCAGACCAACTGCATGATGTGTGAGGCCCAGTGTAAAATGAAAATACAGAGTCTCTTGTTCAAAAATTATTAACAATCTCCAGATGGTGATAGCAGAGCATTGAACCAATTGTGGGGCTCTTCTGGGTGCAGGGCCATTTGCAACTGTAGAAGTTAACATGCCCATGAAGCTAGTCTGGACATCTTTAGAGTGATGATAAAAATGTACATGAGTAACTCACACTTTAGTGCCTGGACTCTTAAGCTATTTGAAAATTAGCAATTGTCATCATTGAGTCATCAGTATAATTACTGTTTTCTAGGAGCCCTCTACCTTCGCAATTCCCGGTGCTGTGGAGCTGTCAGAGTTTTAACATCTCAACCAAGCCACATGGATACTATTTCCTCAGAAAAGACAAAATTGATCCAAGCAGAAGAGTGAACTCACCGAAGAGGACTCTCTACCCATAACTGGGGATGCCTCAGCCACTCACACTTACTCCAAGATTAGTGTCACTGATTATGGAAAGAATTGACTTCTTCCCCTGGTCTTGCTCATTTTTCTAGAGCCCAGGACAATAAATGTGTTTTACGGCAGAGAAAAGTGAAGACGGGTGGAATTGTGTGTGTTGAGAGAGAAGCAGATAGGCAATCTTACGCTTTGGCTCCTAGATTATGCAGGTGCCTCTTTTCTATCATCTCCATAAATCCTACCCTTACTGCGCTTCCTATTCTGCAGGGGTATTTTGTTGTCCGTAACAGAACTCCTCCTCTGTCTGTAAAGTTTAGGTTTTGATAAAAAATCCTCTTCCCTCCAGAAGCGTCTACTAAAAATACAAAAAAATTAGCTGGGTGTGGTGGCATCCACCTGTAGTCCCAGTTACTCAGGAGACTGAGGCAGGAGAATCGCTTGAAACTGGGAGGCGGAGGTCGCAGTGAGCCAAGATCATGCCACCGCACTCCAGCCTGGGTGAGAGTGATACTCCGTCTCAAAAAACAAATGAACAATAAAAAACAAACAAAAAAGAAATAAATGTCTAGGGCTAGGTGCCATGGCTCATGCCTATAATCCCAGCACTTAGGGAGACATAGGTGGGCAGATCACTTGAGGTCAGGATTTCGAGACCAGCTGGACAACATGGCAAAACCCTGTCTCTGTTAAAAATACAAAAATTAGCCAGGTTTGGTGGCCCACACCCATTGGGAGGCTGAGGCATGAAAGTCACTTGAACCTGTGGAACCTGGGAGGTGGAGGTTGCAGGGAGCCAAGATCATGCCACTGCAGGTGAGCCTGGGTGACAGAGCAAGACTCTGTCTCAAAAAAAAAAAAAAAAAAAAAAAAAAGAGAGAGAAAGAAATAAGTGTCTAGAATATTTTAAAGGCTATGGAAATAAAGCAGGAATATTTTCATGAAAGGCAGCTTATAAAGGATGAGGATGGTTTTCTCTTTAGGGTAAAGGAACTAATATTTATTAAGCACTTACTATTTATCAGGCAGTATGTGACATACAATGTATGTGGGAGTGTGTGTGTGTCTTTCCTCACAATTATTTTATAGAGTAGGGGTTAGTACAATGAAGATGTTGTAGCTTAGAGAGAGGAAGTGGCAAAACCAGAATTGGAAAACAAGACTGTTGGGCTCCAAGGTCCATGCACTTTTCCCCTTTAAAGGTCTTAGGTAAAGAGTAGACCCATTTGGATAGGCCCAAACTAACAGTCTATCTCCAGAGTCCTTGTCCTAAATTCTTTACCCCACTGCCTTCTGAGAGGAAGTTCATCTTTTTACCAGGGAGTAGCCACCTTCAGAAGAATTCTCCTGTCTATATAACCAAATTAATAGAATCCTGGTAAATCAACTGGAATGTTAACTGTTCTGATTTTCAACTGTTTTTACCTTCATCATTAATACTGAATATGGACTGTAGGTTGGATAACTGCTGTTCAAGGTAAGGAACTCTGAGCAGCAGCCTTGAGCTACCAAGGCATTAAATAGGATTTTTGCTTAAAAATCCTATATTTTTGCTTAAAAATATTAAAAATATGACTGAGTATATGTATATATTCCCCCCACATTCCAAAGATAAACACTGTTAAGCATGTAAAGCACATTTTACTGTATATATATGGGTGGCATATGTGTGTGAGTGTGTGTGTGTATACATATATACACATACACTTCTAGACATTTATATACATGTGTTGTGTGTATATGTTGTGTATGTTTTTAAAAAGGGATTGTCTTTGGCTGGGCACAGTGGCTCACGCCTGTAATCCCAGCACTCTGGGAGGCTGAGGCAGGAGGATTCCTTGAGCTCAGGGTTTTAAGAGCAGCCTGGCCAACATGGCAAAACCCCATCTCTACTAAAAATACAAAAATTAAAAAAAAGAAATTTATCTGGATGTGGTGGCGCCACCTGTAATCTCAGCTACTTGGGAGGCTGAGGCAGGAGAATCGCTTGAAGCTGGGAGGCAGAGGTTGCAGTAAGCTGAGATTGCTCCACTGCATTCCAGCCTGGGTGACAGAGTGAGACCCCATCTCAAAAAACAAAGTTGGGGCAGGGGGGGATTTGCTATCCTATTAAAAATTTTTGGATCTTTTTTTTTAAAAACTTAATGCTATTTCTTGAACACCTTTACTTAAAGAAAATAGATAGCTAAATATTGCAGTGTGAAGAAAAAGGTCAATAAATATTTGTTGAATTAATGTAACATTTCCTTTGATCACCAGCTGCTTCTAATTCCCTACTTCAGGTATTGTTGAATACTACATTGCTTTAGGCAAAAAGTGTTTTATTTCTCACTGGATCAAAAACAATTAAGGATGTCATTTTCTCTTCTTCCTTTGAGTTCCAATAAATCTACATTTGTTCTTGTTCCCTTGTTTAGAGGTGCAATGGAAAAGAAGTTTGCAGATTGTACTCCTGCCTGGTTGGATAAACTCATTTGAAAATAAGCTCCTGTTTTGTGCAGATGCAAATTTAAATGTGCTATTTGTAACTAATCACTGATAAAATAGAGATTTCCAAAATATATTGAGAAAAAGAGCTGCAGAATAATTTGCAAGTTTCATAAAATCAGGAAGAATGCATTTAAAAACTAAAGTAAGCTAGGAAGGATGGCTCATGCCAGTAATCCTAGCACTTTTGGTGACTGAGGTGGGAGGATCACTTGAGCCCAGGAGTTTAAGGCCAGCCTGTGCAACATAGATCTCATCTCTACAAAAAAATTAAAAAATTAGCTAGATATGGTGGCATATACCTATAGTTCCAGCTACTCAGGAGGCAGAGATGGGAGGATCACTTGAGCCTAGGAGGCTGAACCTGCAGTGAGTCATGATTGCACCACTGCATTCTAGCTTGGATGACACAGTGAGACCCTGTCTCAAAATAAACAAAACAAAACAAAAAAGAAAAGAAAAACTATGGTAGAAGTGGTAGGGGGAATTGAGGGAATGGGGGAAAGGAAAGGCCAAAGACTTTTTCTATGCCTTTTAATACTTTCTCATTTTTGAACCATCTGAATATATATGACTTGGGCAAAAAAAATTTAAGCAAAAAATATTGCATCTGTTTCTTTCATTGTAACTATGCTAAGTTTGGTGAAAATTGTTCTTTATTTTTAAATTTTGTTTTCTCTTACACTAAACTATTGTGATGGTTAATTTTATGTGTTAATTAGACTGGGCCATGATATGCCCAGATATTTGGTCAATCAATATTCTGAGTGTTCTGTGAGTGTATTTTTGGATGAGTTTGACTTATTAATATTATTGTTAATATTATTTTTTAGACAGGGTCTCTCTCTCTGTCACCCAGGCTGGAGTGCAGTGGTACAATCTTCGCTCACTGCAGCCTCAACCTCCTGGGCTCAAGTGATCTTCTCACCTCAGCCTCCTGAGTAGCTGGGACTACAGGCATGTGCTACCACACCTGGCCAATTTTTCTATTTTTTGTAGAGACAGGGTTTCACCATGTTGCCCAAGCAGGTCTTGAACTCCTGGTCTCAAGCAATCCCTCTACCTCTACTTTCCAAAGTGCTGGAATTACAGGTGTAAGCCACCATGCCTGGCTGAGTTTAACATTTTTAAATTTAAATTTAAATTTTTATTTTTATTTTTTTGAGACAGAGTTTCACTCTTGTTGCCCTGGCTGGAGTACAATGGTGCAATCTCGGCTCACCACAACGTCTGCCTCCAGGTTCAAGCGATTCTCCTGCCTCAGCCTCCCAAGTAGCTGGGATTACAGGCACCTGCCACCAGGCCCAGTTAATTTTTGTATTTTTAGTGGAGATTGGGTTTCACCATGTTGGCTAGGCTGGTCTCGAACTCCTGACCTCAGGTGATCCACCTGCCTCAGCCTCCCAAAGTGTTGGGATTACAGACATGAGCCACCACGCCCGGCCTTAAATTTTTATTTATATTTTGAGGGGGTCTCATTGTGTTGCCCAGACTGGAGTGCAATGGCACGATCATGGCTCACTGCAATCTCCACCTCCTAAGCTTGATTCTCCTGCCTCTGCCTCCTGAGTAGCTGGAACCACAGGTCTGCACCACCATACCAGGCTAATTTTTTGTATTTTTGGTAGAGAAGGGGTTTCACCATAGTGCTCAGGCTGGTCTCTAACTTGTGAGCTCAAGTGATCCGCCCACCTCGGCCTCCCAAAGTGCTGAGATTACAGGTGTGACCCATGGCACCTAGCCGAGTTTAACTCTTAAATAAATAAACTGTGCCAGGCATGGTGGCTTGCACCTGTAATCCCAGCAATTCAGGACATGGAGGTGGGAGAATTGCTTGAACCTAGGAGTTTGAGACCAGCATGGACAACATAGTGAGACCTTGTCTCTAAAAATATAAAATTTTAATTAAAAAAAAACTGAATAAAGCAGATTACCCTCCCCAATGTGGGTGGGCCTCATCCCGTCAGTTGCAAGCCTGACTAGAACAAAAGCCTGGCCTCCCAGGAAGAAGAGGGAATTCCTCCTGCCCGACTGTTTTTTAGCTGGGACATTGGTTTTATTTCTGCCTTTGAACTCAACCTGAAACACTGGCCGTTCCTGGATTTTGAGCCTGCTGGCCTTCAAACTGGATCTATACCACTGGCTCTCCTGGGTCTCCAGCTTCCTGACTGCAGATCTTGGGATTTGTTGGTCTCATAAATATTATATATGTATATGTAAAATGTTGATTCTGTTTCTCTTTAAAAAGAAAAGACAGCTGGCCAGGCACGGTGGCTCACACCTGTAATCCCAGCACTTTGGGAGGCTGAGGCGGGTGCATCACCTGAGGTCAGGAGTTCGAGACCAGCCTGACCAAAATGGAGAAACCCCGTCTCTACTAAAAATACAAAATTAGCTGGGCGTGGTGGCGCATGCCTGTAATCCCAGCTACTCAGGAGGCTGAGGCAGGAGAATAGCTTGAACCTGGGAGGTGGAGCTTACAGTGAGCCACCGAGATTGTGTCATTGCACTCCAGCCTGGGCAACAAGAGCAAATCTCCATCTCAAAGAAAAGACAAGACAAGACACCTTTGAGGTCCTCTTCTGGTCCTCTGCACCAGAAAGCTTGGGAGAGTGGGGACATATTTTTCCCCCATTGCTGCATTCCTAGTAACTAGATGTGTGCTGCAAAAAAAAAAAAATAGTTTAAGGAATGAATTGGTAGCTATTGTTATATGTAAATGTGAAATTAATATCTACAAATACATATCTGTATTTATAAATTGTACTTACGTAGAGAAACAAAAAAATAAAAATAATTGTAATTACATACTTAGGGAATATATGCTTCTATTAATCTAAAATTTAATTATTAGCGTCTTTTTTTTTTTTTTTTGAGACAGAGTTTCGCTCTTGTTGCCCAGGCTGGAATGCAATGGCACGATTTCAGCTTACCACAACCTCTGAGGCACGAGAATGGCTTGAACCCAGGAGGCGGAGGTTGCTGTGAGCATCACCCACTGCCAGCCTGGGTGACTGAGCAAGACTGTCTAAAAACAACAACAACAACAACAACAACAACAAACAAACAACCAACAGAAATTAGAGTTGAGTAGAAATTTTCAGCATCACTAATAATCAGACAAATATAACAAAACCAAGTGACAGATACAATAGATTCAAATCTCTTGTGGCAGAGGTGTGCATTGGGTGGTGACTTTAGGTTGCAGTTGGCCCTTCCATTAGGAAAAGTTACATAAATTAACTTCTGTAGGGATCATTCCCTAATATTGATGTCATCAGCACTACGCTCTAAACAACTGAGCTAACAGACCACACAGAAAACAGACTGCTGTGTTTTCAGAAAGATCTGATTCAGGTAAAATCTATGTCATCTGGTGAATTAGTCCATTTTCATGCTGCTGATAAAGACATACCCAAGACTGGGTAATTCATAAAGAAAAAGAGATTTAATGGACTCACAGTTCCACGTGACTGGGGAGGCCTCACAATCATGGTGGAAGGCGAAAGGCACGTCTTAGGTGGTAGCAGACAAGAGAGCATGAGAGCCAAGTGAAAGGGGAAACCCCTTATGAAATCATCAGATCCTGTGAGACTTATTCACTACCACAAGAACAGATCGGGGGAAACTGCCCCCGTGATTCAATTATCTCCCACAACACATGGGAATTACGGGAGCTACAATTCAAGATGAGATTTAGGTGGGGACACAGCCAAACCATATCATCTGGAGTTTCATTTCGAAACATAACAAAACCACTCATCCTCTTTTTCCTACCCCATCCACGTGACAGAAATAAAAGTAAGAAAACCAACCTTTGCTAGGGATGAATTATTCTCCTCTGTGGGAACTTAGTCTTTCTCAAACCTGAGTATTCTGGCTGTGAGGTTGCAAATAAACATTCTCAGAAGGTGCTTCCTTCCCTGCGCCCCAACATCCCCAACCCTCTCAAGGCCAGGAACAAACTCAAAGCACTGAGGCAGCTCATGAAAGTGACCCAATTTGTGCTGCCACCTGGATCAGATAAATTTCAAGTGTGGAATCTTGGTGTTTGATCTCAACCTAGAAACATAACTATAAGGACAATAATCATCCAACATAGAAACAAATTAACTATCAGAACAATATCTAATTTCTGAGTTTCTCTGAAGGATGGCTCTAAAGGAAAGTGTGAGTTTCTTCTAAGAGAAAAGGGTACTAACCGATATAGTGGGAAAGGGCACTTTAAAATTTGCCAGGCATTTTCTTAGATACTATATATATATATATATATATATTTCTTTTAATCCTTACAACTCCCTTCTATGAAGTAGGGATTATTATTTTTATTTAACAAATGAGGAAATCAAGATTCAGAGATTCAATGGGAAAGCCAGAATTAGGACATCTGATTGCTGAGTTCCAAAGTCCACTCTTTCAAATGCTCCTAGAGACACAAGGTCCTATGAATTTTAAAGGCAACAGAATTTAGTATGCTGTCATTTCAATCACTCTGGGAAATATGAGTATTCAGTAATGGTGTTGGGATTAGTGGTAGTCTGCTGGAACTAATGCAGAGTTGGATCTCTACCTCACATATTACACCAGAGGAAAAATGAGATCAAATAATTAAATGTAAAAAAGAATATTCTAGAAGATACAAAGTTATTTTGTGAAATGACCTCATAATGGGGAAAGGCATATCTAAGTTAAACATAAAACTTGAAGAAAAGACTGATAACTTTGGTGGTTGCATAGATACCCATTTTCACATGTCCCAAGCCACCCCAAAGTTCAAAGACAACAAACTAGACTACTTGTGATTCATGTCAAAACAAAGTTTAATCAAGCCATATTTAAAGAGACCCTACAAATCATAAGAGAAAGACCTAACAACTAAGTAGAAAAATTAGCACAGAATACTATGCATGTAACAGAAAAGGAAATACAAATGGCTTTTAAACATATAAAAAGGTGCTCAAGGACAATATAACCAGTTAAATGCAAAATAAAACTCCCTGAGGGATCATTTTCACATTTCAAACTGGAAAAAACAAGATAAACTCTGTTGAGAAGGACTCAACCATGCTCTTCAGAGTGTGTGAGAGACAGCCCTAGCTAAGGGTTGGGCTTTTCTTGTACAATCATTTGGAAACTATGAAAATCCTGGGGAGTGGCTCTTATTTCCTGGGAGGTACCTAGAACTAGAGTTTCTTACCTGTGGCCTTCCGGTCAAATAGCCTCAGAGGTTCAGTTCCTGGTGGAATTGAAAATCCTGGAGTAGGCCATGGATGTGAGCGGTGGATATGAGGGATTTTTCCTTCTATTGGCAATCTGATAGGTTGTGGTAGAGAATCATTCACACACTACTGCCTGTTGAGGCGATTTCTTTAGATTTGAAGACAAAAAAACGTCAGTGTTAACGCAAAGGGGTAGAGAAACAATTAAGTTACCTTCGCGTACTTTTTAAATGCTGGTATTGAAAGGAGTCGAAAACTTAACCTACCGAGAGTGGGGTTCGAACCCACGCGGGCACCAGCCCATTGGATCTTAAGTCCAACGCCTTAACCACTCGGCCATCCCGGTGACTGGGGCAAGTTTCAAGGCAATCATTTTTTTATAACAACAAAGGCATTTGCACTGAGAGTCAAGGAAGTACCGAATTATTCCTGTTTTTACTGAATTGTATTAAAATATAAGGAGGATATAATAGGAAAACACAGCATGTGTTCATCAATCACTTCTCCTGAGTCTCCTCACTTGGTCAAAAATTTCCGGAGAAATTTTTGTTTGTACCTGATTTGAAAAGAAAAACAAGGGAGCGGTTGGAGGGGAAGGGTGGAGAGATGAGGGGAGGGAGTGCCCTAGTGGAAACCACAGCATTAACACCACCTACTACTTCTACTTCACTAAAGGCACTGTCCCGATTTTTTCTTCAGAGATCACTGTTTTGCCTGCTGAATTCAAACCTCCACCCCAGACACACTGATGTCATTGGAGGCATCAGGACTGGGGGCCCAAGTTTTATTATATTAAAACGAGTTCATGCTGGGGTAAATTTTAAGATCTTTAGTGGACAGAAAGGCAGTTCAAATTCTTTGATTTTAGTGACAAAATGCTTTAAACTGACAATGCAACCTATCAACAAAAGGACCATATTGAGCTGTGTGTGGGCTGCACAGAAATACGCCGCCCCAGAACTCTAAGTGCTCCCGGAAAAGCTCGCAATTGTTACAACAGAGAATCCAATTCTTGTGGCTAAAGTATCTCCTGGGGGACTTATTACAAATGTGGATTCTAGAACCCCTCGTGCAATGATCCTGACTAAAGCGATTTACTATGGGTCCCAAGAATCTTAATCTTACCAAGCACCCTCAAGTAATTCTAACTTCAATAGTCTGCTAAACGGCACTCAGTGAAGGGTGCTAAAGCTGTCATGGGGAATTTAAAAACTCATGAAATAAGCTCGTAGAAAGGAAGTTTAGGGTCTGGAGGACACAGAGCTGAAATGAAATCCTGAAGTAGGGTTGGAATATAATTAATTTATGTAACAATACTGAACACCTAGTGTGTGGCGTGCCCCTTTGTTTTTCAGGTAATCAGAGGAAAGCACCACAATATGCAAAGGTTGTGTGGTCTGCAGCAGACAAGCAAAGAAAGTCAGAGAACATCTCCTCAGAATCTCATCAGCTGAGGAAACAGGAGTCCAGGTCTTATTTGTGATGCTCAGGACTGCTTGGGTCCACATCAGGATCTTTATCTGCCTGATGAAGCCATGGGAAAGGAATGGACCCCTGAAGTCCTTTGGCTGTTGGGCTCTGGGTTCTGTCTCTGGCCAGATCAAGGTTCCATTCCTAGAAGAAGAGATACGGCCTGAGAGATTCCCGCTTCTACCAAACACTGAAGGAAATTCAGGTCTCTTGCTGCTGGGGCAAGAACTGACTTGAGGATGGGAATGGAGGTGACTGGAAGGTTCCATGAAAAGCATATCAGAGAAAGAAACCATCATAAATAGATAGACATAAAAATGTTCAGAATATTCTATTGCTGTTAGCTCTGAAACTACAGAGCAGAATCAATCAGCTGTGAAGATTTTTAAAGTATACTTATATAGAGGGTTTAAATATCTACATGTGACAGTAAAAAAGAAAACTATTCGAAGTATATGAAGGATGGTCGGCCTCAGTGGCTCCAGCTATAATCCCAGCATTTTGGCAGGCCGAGGCGGGCAGATCACCTGAGGTCGGAAGTTGGAGACTAGCCTGGCCAACATGGCGAAACCCCGTCTCTAGTAAAAATACAAAATTAGCTGGGCATGGTGGCGCATGCCTGTAATTCCAGCTACTCGGAAGGGTGAGGCAGGAGAGTCGCCTGAGCTGGGGAGGTGGAGGTTGCTGTGAGCCCAGATTGTGCCACTGCACTCCAGCCTAGGCGACAGAGCGAGACTCCGTCTCAAAAAAAAAAAAAAAAAAAAAATGTATATGAAGGAGAACATCCTTATACCCAGGAGACAGAAAACTTTTGAAAACTTCAAAAGCACAAACCATAAGGCAAAAAACAAAGAAGACATATTTGCTTACATTAAAATCAAGAATATAGCCACTGTAGTCTAGCTACTGGGGAGACTGAGGCAGGAGGGTTGCTTGAGCCTAGGAGTTCAGTGCCAGTCTGGCCAACATAGCAAAACCCCCACCTTTAAAAAAATCTTTTTTTTTTTTTTTTTTTTTGAGACGGAGTTTCGCTCTTGTTGCCCAGGCTGGAGTGCAATGGCGCGATCTCAGCCCTCCGCAACCTCCGCCTCCCAGGTTCAAGCGATTCTCCTGCCTCAGCCTCCCGAGTAGCTGGGATTACAGGCATGTACCACTATGCCTGGCAAATTTTGTATTTTTAGTAGAGACAGGGGTTTCTCCATGTTGGTCAGGGTGGTCTCCACCTCCTGACCTCAGGTGATCCCCCCGCCTCGGCCTCCCAATGTGCTGGAATTACAGGCGTGAGCCACCGCGCCCGGCTAAAAAAAATCTTAAATTAAAAAATCAAGAATATGTAAGGTAAAGGATACAGTAGAAAAATAAATATGTAGATAGATGCACTAATGGGAGAATATGTTTGAATTGTCTCCAAAAATGGCAAGGGCTTAATATATATCAAGAAGCCATGAAAATCTGCAAGAGAAGGACAGCAAGATCAAAAGGAAATGAACAAAAGATAGGACAGGCAATTAAAGGAAAGAAATATGTCATGACTAACAAAGATTGCACAAAACCTTTAGTAATCACAGAAATAAAAAGTAAAAAGATATATCGCATTTACTGTCATTACATTGGCAAAACTAGAAGCTGAATAAAATCAATTTTTGCAGGACTAGTGATAAAAGAACCCTCCTGTCCTGCCAGTCGAAGTTTAAATTAATGAAGCCATTCTGGAGTACTTCTTATTCAAATTAAGTATATTCACATTCTATGATGTAACTGCTCTGCTCCTAGGCATAAATCTTCCCCCACCCTATCCACTGCCTCAAATCTTACACAACTACCGAGAGTACACATGTGATAAAGTTAATCACAGCCTTATTTTAGTCTTTTGAAATTGAAAGAAAATTTAATATTTATTATTGGAAAGTGGACAGGTAAACTGTTATAAATGCACACCATAGGCTATTAAGCAATATAAAAAGTAACAGAGTAGATATACATGCAATAATGTGGATGGAACTTGAAATTATAATACTATTGAAAAAGAACACCAATAAAAGAGATATGGGTTTCTGCTTCTACCTGTGAAGAAGTCACTGTTAGGAAAATTGCAAACAACAAGAAAAATATACTGGACATAAGTATGTGAAATAACTGTTTTCAGGCATCGCCTGCTGTCAGTTTGGGACTGCGATACCTGAGAGAAGAGAAATAAATGAGGTGAGTCTTACAAATGTTTTAGCTTATTGTCTAGAGTACGATCAGAAAATGTGGTCTAAAGATGAAGCCAAGGGTGTTATTGTAAGTCCTTTATTAATACCACAGAGAGACTTAAGGTGGTATCTAAACAAACCCCTGAGGTTCTTAAGGACATACCTTAAGGATCCTATAGTTTAAACAATAACTCTACAACTCTTAAGACTGTGGCCCTACTGCAGTTTTATGGGAAGCCAAAGGGAGACAAGGCATTATTTTCATGAATGTGGCTTTTGTTTTAAAAGAGATTGGCGAACTTTAAAAAAAATTTTTTTTATTGAGGCAGAGTCCGGCTCTGTTGCCCAGGCTGGAGGGCAGTGAGTGGTTCGATCTTGGCTCACTGCACCCTCCACGTGCCAGGTTCAAGTGATTCTCCTGCCTCAGCCTCCCAAGTAGCTGGGACTACCACCATACCCGGCTAATTTTTTTTTGTATTTTTAGTAAAGAGGGGTTTTCACCAGGTTGGCCAGGCTGGTCTCAAACTCCTGGGCTCAAGTGATCCTCCTGTCTTGGCCTCCCAAAGTGCTGGGATTATGGGGGTGAACCACTGCTTCTGGCCTGGAAAACTTTTTCTTTAAAGACCCAGATAGTAAATATTTTAGGCTTTGTGGGCCATTCAGTTGATGTGGCAATTACACAAATCAGCTGTTGCAGGAAAGCAGCTACAGATAATGCTAAATGAATGAACGTGGTTATGTTCCAATAAAGCTTTATAAAAACAGATATAAGTCCAGATTTGGCCTGTGGGCTATAGTTTGTGAACCCCTGGTCTAAAGGAATAAACTTCAGTAACTTTCATAAAGTCACATTTTTTGAAGAAAATTAGAGTATTTGAACATTGACAGTCTGGACTGAAAGGAATAAAGGACAGCATAAAATGAAAAGAATTTGGACCTCACCCCTCTTCCTCCCAGACTACTATGGGAAAGAAGTAGGCTAAGAAAACCATTCAGCTGCAAGTAAATGATATTTCTTATTAAAAGAATGAATGAATCTGAGTGTGGAATAAGATCCCAGGAGATGGACCAAAGAGCCTAGGGAGTCATTCTCAGACGGCATTACTGAGTTCCAATCAACGCACTAGCGTTATGTGCCCACTGAATTCTACAATTGCTACAGACCAGTGTGACTCTTGTTTTTTGTTTTTTGTTTTTCTTTTTCCTCTTGTTTTTGTTCTTTTTGAATAGGATTGTGTATCGAGATTATCCTATGTCTCCTGTGCCTGTAGTTGGGAGACAGGTAACTTGTATCTTAAGTACATAGATGTTCAAACTAAGTAGAACCTTATTTGAAAAAAATTTTTTTTTTTTTTGAAACGGAGTCTCGCTCTGTCACCCAGGCTGGAGTGCAATGGCGCGATCTTGGCTCACTGCAAGCTCCGCCTCCCGGGTTCAAGCGATTCTCCTGCTTCAGCCTCCCGAGTAGCTGGGACTAACAGGGGCCAGCCACCACCCCTGGCTAATTTTTTGTATTTTTAGTAGAGACGGGGTTTCACCACGTTAGCCAGGATGGTCTCAATCTTCTGACCTCGTGATCCGCCCGCCTCGGCCTCCCAAAGTGCTGGGATTACAGGCGTGAGCCACCACGCCCGGCCGAAAAAATTTACCCAAGGAATTTAATCTGCACCTTTACCTGATTTTGATAACGCCATCCTAGAGGTCGAGTTCATGTTGCAAAGAAGTCAGACGTGGCCAGGGTGACTATATTCTGCATGCTGGACAGGCAGAATCATTGGGGGCCAAGTTAAAGAAAAATGTAGAGAGAGTGTTTTTCCTGTTACCACTTACCCACTGAATGAACAAATGAAATGAGAGTTCATCAGAAGGCAAATTCACTGCCAGGCATAGGAGATGTAATTGTTCTCAAAACCAAGCAAGTTTTCTACCTGGCCGCCAGAGCTTATCGTCTGGAGGTGTTCTTGACATTTAGAGCAGTTTCCTAAAGGAAAACAGTCTTCTTAATTCAGCACCTATTCTTATTCTACAGCAAGAACATTATTCTCTGGTTTTGACTGAGATCCAGAAATGTGGTATTGTGTTACTACAAAGAAAGTCACTGAGGTAGAAACATTGACAGGCCGAGGTGTAAATTTTTATAAAATAATAAATTACCCCTACACAACACAGGTGAGGCTTCGTGGCTTAGCTGGTTAAAGCGCCTGTCTAGTAAACAGGAGATCCTGGGTTCGAATCCCAGCGAGGCCTCTTTATTTCTTCCCCTAAACTTAGGTAAATTCTTGTCACTAGTTAAACCTGACTTAGATGTATACCTAATAAAGCAGCAAACCTTGAATCTCGATGTCTGAGGCACTTTGTAGAGGAACGTGGTGATGGGTTGGAAATATTTACGATGAATTAGCTAAATCTATGCCAGAGACCAACCGTCTAGAACCATCTAGAATTGAGCTGCAATTTTCTACGTTTAAATTTTTGTAGCTACTTTTCATATTTCTAAGGAACTTACAGCTTCACGTAACATTTTTGCTTTTAATACAATTCAAAAGGAAGGCAAGGAAGGAGATGAGACATACATATGGTATAAATTGAGTGTTGTGATAACTTCCTCCTTGCATGATTCTGAACTCTAGAATTTCACTGAATATATTGAAAAGTGGAGTAACATGACAACGTCTTGAGAGGATAAGAAGAATGATTAGTGAAACACCAAAAGAAAACACAAACAAAAACAAAAAACCTAACAAGAGGCTGGAAGCAAATGGGGCCTGAAGTTGTGGATCATTTATTAGACAGATAAAAATAAAATGATGGAAAAAATTAATCAAACCCTGGATACAGTGCTATGTTTTAGCTGCTCTTTAAAGAAAAAAAAATTATCAGTTATATCTTCAAAGTATCACATTCTACAAATGCCTTCCCTCATAACATTCCTTGTTGCAGTATTGCGCTCAGCTTTTTGCTTCTCCCTGTAAGGAATGATTACATTGGATGATTACTCCTTTGTGAGCATTTAGGAGAAAAACCAGTTACGTAATTGATGAGTGCAGTGCAAAATGGAAATGTTCCTTGTTTAAGGAAATTAGGAATTTCAAACCAGCAATAGCAGAGCATTAAATCAAGTGCCTGGCCTTGTGCAAATGCGTAGGTCGCATGCCCATGAAGACAGTCGTGACTGGGAAGACGGTCCTGATTGGGAATGTGGTTATTTGTCAAAAGACTGGATTTTAGAGACACCTTGAAATGGAGTGAAATCTAAAGTGATAGTCAATGATATCAAGTACAGCTAGAAGGCTTGAGCACTTAAAAGTACTAATCAGGGGTGAGGCGCGGTGGCTCACGCCTGTAATCCCAGCACTTCGGGAGGCTGAGGTGGGCGGATCACAAGGTCAGGAGTGTGAGAGCAGCCTGGCCAATATAGTGAAACCCCGTCTCCACTAAAAATACAAAAAGTAGCCAGGCGTGGTGGCGCACGCCTGTAGTCTCAGCTACTTGGGAGGCTGAGGCAGGAGAATCGCTTGAACCCAGGAGGCGGAGGTTACAGCCACTGCACCCCAGCCTGGGCAACAGAGCAAGACTCTATCTCAAAAAAAAAAAAAAAAGTACTAAGCAGGGAAATGTTCCAGTATAAAAAGAATTCTGAAAGTCATGCTTTTATTAGTCTTCTCTAACAAAGTAACATTTCTTATACAATTCAAGTTACTCTTTTCTCAGGCAACTCCACCTCCTTCCAAATCCCATCAAATGGCACCAGCCTGGGATCTTTCAACATAGATATATGCTCCTTCTTCCTTTAGCCTCCTGTTGTCTTTGGGCTCCCACGGGGCTCCCTCTTTAAATCTGGTGTAGGAAGAGAGCAAGTCGTATTCGTAGTACTGAGTTACACAGCGTAAACCACTTACAAGCGTATAGTCATTTATTCGAATGGACGGGGTTCTAAGAGCGTGAGTCCTAAAAACGGTCGCTGTAAATTTTAGGAAGACAAGCGGTCGCTATAAGTTTTAGGAAGACAAAACTGAGGACAATACAATGTTCCCGCCTGATTTCGAACCGGGGACTTTTCGCGTGTGAGGCGAACATAATAACCACTACACTACGGAAACCCCTAACTCATATTATAGAAACCCCTAAGAGAAGGAACTATCCTGCTGGACCTAATCAGGAATTCCCTATTAATCATCCCGCCTTCCTAGAAATTTGTTTTCTTTCTATTCAAGTCAGTGTCTACAATCGCATTTTAAAACTGGTACAAAACAAGCACCACATCGAGATTAGGAAATATCCAAAACCCAGAAATTGCTAAGTATTTGAGTTCTATGAGCCTTATACTAAAACTATAACCTCCATAAGATAAATCTCAAACATCTTGGCTCTGACCAGATTTGACGTTTACTTACTTGACGTGATGACTGGAATTTGTCCTTCTGCTTACCTCAGAATTCCTTCTCACTCTCTCACCTAGAGTCAAAATCGTTGCAAAATTCTACTGAGCTTACATTCAGACTTTATAAAATGTCCTTCTCCTCTGTTGTTGATAGGTCCCTCGTTCAGGCCCTTCATATCTGTTCTTCACGACTGTCCGTACCGATTCTAGGGTTGACTCTCTGAATCAATTCTCCACCGAGCTTAAAGTCCCAAGCTTCATTTCCCTTCACAAAGTTCCACAAACATAAACCTTTCTTCTTTCTTACATATGCATTTTATAGACTTTTTTTTAAAGAGAGGTTCTAGATTCGCAGCAAAACTTTGAGCAGAAGGTACAGAGATTTCCCATATACCCCCTGCCCCCGCACATGCATAACTCCCTATCAACATGCCCCACTAGAATAGTACATTCATTACAATTGTTGACCTATCTTGACATACCATCATCACCCACAGACCGGAGTTTACATTAGGCTTCACTCTTGGTGTTGTACATTCTATCCATTTGCACAAAAGTATGATATATACCCACCAATATAGTATCATGCAGAGTAGTTTCACTGCCTTAAAAATTCTCTGTGCTTGGGCTGTTCATCCCTCCATCCTCACAAACCCTGGCAACGACTGATCTTTTTACTGTGTTCATAGTTTTGCCTTTCCAGAATGGCATATAATTACAATTATACAATATTTGCTTTTTCAGATTGGCTTATTAGTAATGCGCATTTAAGTTTCCTCCATGTCTTTTCATGGGTTGATATCTCATTTCTTTTTAATGCTGAATAATATTCCATTGTTTACATATATCACAGTTAATCCATACACTTACTGAATAATATTGTTTGCTTCCAAATTTTGGCAATTATGAATAAAGGTGCTATAAACATCTGTGTACAGATTTTCATGTGGACATAATTTTTCAACTCTTTTGGGTTAGATACCAAGGAGTACAACTGGATTGTGTGAGAAGAATAAGTTTACTTTTGCAAGAAACCATCAAACTGTCTCTTAAAGTAGCTGTGTCATTTGTGATTCCACCCGGAATGAATCAGAGTTCCTGTTAGTCCAAAGCCTCACCAAAATTTGCTGTTGTCAGTGTTCTGGACTTTAGCTGTTCTGATAGGTGTGTAGTGATATCTTATTTTTGTTTTAATGTTCATTTGCCTGATGACATATGATGCGGAACACCTTTTCATATGCTTATTTTTCATCTGTATATCTTCTTTGGTCACATGATTGTTAAGGTCTTTGGCCATTTTTTTTTTTCATGAGGTTGTGTTCTTACTGTTGAATTTTAAGAGCTCTTTGTAGATTTTGAATAAGAGTACTTTATCTGGTATATCTTTAGCAAATATTTTCTCCCACTGTGTGGCTTGTCTTTTCATTATCTTGATGTTATAGTGTTTTTGATCACTAGCACGTCTTTTTGGCTCTTTCTCAGAATTTCCATCTCTCTGCTTACATTGCCCATCTGTTCTTGCATGCCATCTTTTTTATACATTAGAGCCTTTCGCGTCTTTGTTTTTTCTTTTTTTTTGAGACAGAGCCTCGCTTTGTCACCCAGGATGCAGTGCAGTGGCTCACTGCAATCTCTGCTTCATGGGTTCAATCAATTCTCATGCCTTAGCCTCCTAAGTAGCTGGGATTACAGACATGTACCACCAGGCTTGGCTAATTTTTTTTGTATTTTTAGTAGAGACGGGGTTTCATCATGTTGGTCAGGCTGGTCTGGAAGTCCTAGCCTTATGTGATCCGCCCACCTGAGCCTCCCAAAGTGCTGGGATTACAGGTGTGAGCCACCTCGCCTGGCCAAAGCCCCTAGCATCTTAATCAGTTGTTTCAAATTCCTCGTCTGAGAATTCCAACATCCCTGTCATATCTGAGTCTGATTCTGATGCTTGCTCTGTCTCTTCTGTGTATTTTGCTTTTTATTGTGCCTTGTTATTTTTTCTTGACAGCAGGACATGCTCCACTGGGTAAAGTGAGGTGCTATAAGCAGGTCTTTAGTAATGTTGTGGGAAGGTGTGGGGGGAATAAAGCATTCTGTAGTCCCACAAGTAGGTCTCAGTCTGTTAGTGAACCTGTGTCTCTGGACTGTCAACTTTAAACATGCTTCCTAGGTTTTCCCCCACTTTAGGTGGGACTGGATGGCTAGAGTGGGCTGGAATTGGTTATTTCCCTTCCCGCAGATCAGATGGGCTCTGATAAAACCCCAGCAGGTTAGGCTGAGGTTAAATGGTTTCTCCTGAGGGCAGACCTTATTAAGAGAACAAAATGCTCTGGCCAATTGCAAACTGGTTCTTGACCCACCTGCTACCAGAGATAGAGGGGATTTTTCTCCCATATTCACTATGACAATCTGGTCAAGCTCCTGAGGTAAAATTAACAAAATCGTGGGGTACAGATGACTGAGTTCTGGAGTTTTTATCTCCTAGACTCGCCAATGTTGAGCCACCAACAATTTGCTAATTAGAGTTCAGGTTTCCCTGCTCCAGCGCTAGTTCACATGGTGTCTGTTCTGTCGGTTTCTTCTCTGGTAAGTTGTGATTCTCTGTATTTGTCTTTTTCAATTTTGGGAGCAGTGGCTTGCCCTGTGACCTCATTTTTTCTGACAGACCTAAAAAGACTTGGGTTTTCAGTTTATTCAGGTTTTACTTGTTTTTAGGACTTAGTGATGACTTGTAGCTTCTTACATGCCCGACTGGATAATTTATGTATATAAATCTATAGCTTTCTATCCAAGAACAGTGTTAGCAGCTGTCAATAAGTTTGGATATGATGTACTTTATTATTTTTAGTTCAAACTATTTTCTAATTTCTCTTGTAACTTATCTTTAACCCATAGGTTGTTTGGGAGTGAGATGTAATTTCCCCAAGCATTTGGGGATATTTTCCTTTGTTTCTGTTACTGATTTCTAGTTTAATTCTGTATTGATTAGAGAACATTCTTATTACTTTTCTTTTTTTTGAGATGGAGTCTCGCTCTATTGCCCAGGCTAAAGTACTGTGGTGCGATCTCAACTCACTGCAGCCTCTGCCTCCCGGGTTCAAGTGATTCTCCTGCCTCAGCCTCCTGAGTAGCTGGGATTACCAATGTGGGCCACCATGCCCCACTACCATCAGGTTTTTAAATTTTTAATTTTGAAATAATTATAGATTTACAGGCCATTACAAAGAAAGTACAGAGAAGTCCCCTGTACCCTTAATTTAGTTCCCCCCAATGGCTGCATGTTATATAACTATAGTACAATATCAAACCCAAGAATCTGACATTGGTACATTGTTTGTATATAGTTCTAGGTCATTTTATCATGTGTAGATTTGTGTAACTATCACTGGAAACCAGAAAAAAAAGTTTCATCACAACAAAGATTTCCCTGCGGGTGCCACCACTTAATTAGTTACACTCACTTCCCATGGCACCCACCCCACCACAACTACTAATATGTTCTTTTTTTTTTTGAGACAGTGTCACTCTGTTGCCCAGGCTGGAGTGCAGTGGCGCAACCTCAGCTCACTGCAACCTCTGCCTCCCAGGTTCAAGCCATTCTCGTGCCTCAGCTTCCCAGGTAGCTGGGACTACAGGCACGTGCCACCACACCTGACTATTTTTTGTATTTTTAGTAGGCACAGGGTTTCACCATGTTGGCCAGGCTGTTCTTGAACTCCTGACTTCAGGTGATCCGCCCACCTCGGCCTCCCAAAGTGCTGGGATTATAGGCATGAACCACCGGGCCAGGCCTAATGTGTTCTTAATCTCTGTTTTTTATTTTGTTTTTAGAATGTTATAGAAATAGGCCAGGTGCGGTGGCTCATGCCTGTAATCCCTGCACTCTGAAAGGCCGAGGCAGGTGGATCACGTGAGGCCAGGAGTTCAAGACCAGCCCGGCCAACATGGTGAAACCACATCTCTACTAAACATACAAGAATTAGCTGGACATGGTGGCTCATGCCTGTAGCCCCAGCTTCTCGGGAGGGTAAAGCATGAGAACTGCTTGAACCCAGGAGGCGGAGGTTGCAGTGAGTGGAGATGGCGCCACTGCCCTCCAGCCTGGGTGACAGAGCAAGATTCTGTGTTAAAAAAAAAAAAAAAGGATGGCCTTTTTCACAGCCTAATGCCCTTGAGATCCATCCAATTTGTTGTATCAACAGTTCCTGCCTTTTAATTGTTGAGTAGTTGTTTATAGTATGGATGTACCACAGTTTCTTTAACCATCTACCTATTGAGGTACATTTTAGTAGTTTTCTAGTGTTTTGCTATTATAAATAAAGGATTACAAATAATTGTGATAGACTTTTGTGTTGACATAGTTTTCATGTCATTTTTATTATCGTTATATATTATTGAATATATACAATATATATTGAATGCTACACATGTAGCATTCACGTTTCTGTTTTATAAAATGTCTCTGTTTCATCACTGTGAAATGCCTCCTTTTCTTTTTTATTATGTCACGTCTCTATGGTAATACTCCTTGTCTTAAAATCTACACTTTATGTTAATACATACGTTTTATGTTAATTTTTTTATGGTTCGCCTTTGTGGGGTTTTTTTTTTTTTTGGTTGTTGTTGTTTTTAACTTTATTTTATTTTATTTATTTTATTTATTTTTTGAGACTCACTCTGTCACCCAGGCTGGAGTGCAATGGCGTGATTTTGTCTCACTACAACCTCTGCCTCTTGGGTTCAAACGATTGTCATGCCTCAGCCTCCTGAGTAGCTGGGACTATAGGGGTGGGCCACCACACCTGGCTAATTTTTGTATTTTTAGTAAGAGACAGGGTTTCACCATTTTGGCCAAGCCAGTCTTGAACTCCTGGCCTCAAGTGATCTACCTGCCTCAGCCTTGCAATGTTCTGGAATTACAGGTATGAGCTACCACACCCAGCCTAACCTTTGTGTTATATATCTTTATCCCTTTACTTTTCTTTTTTTTTTGAGACAGAGTCTCACTCTGTCACCCAAGCTGGAGTGCAGTGGCGTGATCTCAGCTCACCGCAATCTTTGCCTCCTGGGTTCAAGTGATTCTTCTGCCTCAGCCTCCCAAGCAGCTGGGACTACAGGCGTGCGCCACCATGCCTGGCTAATTTTTGTATTTTTAGTAGAGATGTGGTTTCACCATATTGGCCAGGCTGGTCTCTAACTCCTGACCTCGTGATCCGCCTGCCTTGGCCTCCCAAAGTGCTGGGAATGCAGGCATGAGCCATCGCGCCCAGCCTATCCCTTTACTTTTCTAAACCACTTACTTTACATCCTTACATATTTTTAGGGCCTTTTAAAAACTGTGGTAAGGGCCGGGCGCGGTGGCTCACGCCTGTAATCCCAGCACTTTGGGTGGCCGAGGCGGGCGGATCACGAGGTCAGGAGATTGAGACCATCCTGGCTAACATGGTGAAACCCCGTCTCTACTCAAAATACAAAAAATTAGCTGGGCGCCGTGGCAGGCGCCTATAGTCCCAGCTACTTGGGAGGCTGAGGCAGGAGAATGGCGTGAACCCGGGAGGTGGAGCTTGCAGTGAGCCAAGATAGCGCCACTGCACTCCAGCCTGGGCGAAAGAGCGAGACTCTGTCTCAAAAAAAAAAAAAAAAAAAAAAAACTGTGGTAAGATATACATAATATAAAATTTGTTGTTTGAATTAGTTTTAAGTGTACATTTCAGTAGAATTAAGTACATTCACATCATCTTGCAACCATCCCCGTTATCCATCTCCAGAACTTTTTCTCATCCAAAATTGAAACTCTGTATCCTTTAAATAATAACTCCCCATTTCTCTTCACTTCCCCAGCTCTTGGTAACTACTCTTTCTGTCTCTATGAATTTTACTATTGTGGAAATCATATATTTGTCCTTTATGTTTGGCTTATTTCACTTTGAATAATGTTCTCACTCTTTATTCATATTACAGCATGTATCAAAATTTTTACTCCTTTTAGGCTTTCTGAATAGTCAACAGGTGGAATCAACCCAAATCAATAATGTTGCCGTGAAACATTGGCATACGAGTTTCTTTTTTAAATTTAAACTTTTAAATTTATTTTATTTGTTTATTTTTTGAGACAGGAGATTACCCATGCTGGAGTGCAGTGGCGCAATCATGGCTCCTCGCAGCATCGACTTCCCGGGCTCCAGCGATCCTCCCACCCACACCCAACTAATTTTTGTATTCTTGGTAGAGACAGGGTTTGGCCATATTGCCTGCGCTGGTCTCGAACTACTTGGCCCAAGCGATCCTCCTGCCTCTGCCTCCCAAAGTGTTGGGATTATAGGCATGAGCCACAGAGCCAGCTGGGATGCTTTTTATTTCACTTTCTTGCCTACTTTCTGTGGCTAGAACTGCCAACACTATGCTGAATAGAGTGGTGAATGTGGGCATTTTTGTCTTTTACTGATCTTGGAAAAAAAGTTTTCAGTCTTTCACTATTTTTTTTTTTTAATTGAGACGGTGTCTCACTCTGTCGCCCAGGCTGGAGTACAGTGGTGAGATCTCAGCTCACTGCAACCTCTGCCTCCCAGGTTCAAGTGATTCCCGTGCCTCAGCCTCCTGAGTAGCTGGGACTACAGGCGCACGCCATGCCCGGCTAATTTTTTTGTATTTTCAGTAGAGATGGGGTTTTGCCATGTTGTCCAGGCTGGTTTCAATTCCTGACCTCAGGTGATCCGCCTGCTTCCGCCTCCCAAAGTGCTGGGATTACAGGCGCGAGCCACCGCGCCTGGCCAGCCTTTCACTATTGAATATGATGTTAGTTGAAGGTTAATCATAAGTAGCCTTTATGATGTTAAGGAAGTTTTCTTCTATTTCTAGTTCATTGGGTAGGTTTTTTTGTTTGTTTGTTTTTCACGAAAGGGTGTGGGATTTTGTCAAATGCTTTTTCTGTATCAATGGAGATGATTATGTAATTTTTTTCCATTCTGTTAATGTGGTATATATTACATTGACTGATATTTGTATGTTGAATTATCCTCACATTCCAGGAATAAATCTTACTTTTTCGTAGTGTATAATCTTCTTAACATATTGCTAACCAGGCATGGTGGCTCATGCCTGTAATCCCAGCACTTTGGGAGGCCAAAGCAGAGGATTGCCTGAGCTCAGGAGTTCACGACCAGCCTGGGCAACACAGTGAAACCCCGTCTCTACTAAAATACAAAAAATTAGCTGGGTGTGGCGGCGTGTGCCTTTAGTCCCAGCTACTCGGGAGGCCGAGGCAGGAGAATTGCTTGAATCTGGGAGGTGGAGGTTGTAGTAAGCTGAGCTCACGCCACTACACTCCAGCCTGGTTGGTAGAGCAAGACTCCATCTCAAAAAACAAAAACAAAAACAAACCCAAAACATATTGCTAACTTTAGTTTGCTAGTAATTTGTGGATACATTTTTGTATCGTACTGCTTCAGTATCCTTACTAGTTATAGGTCTATTCACATTTTTTATTTCTTTTTAATTAAATTTTAATAGATTGTTTCTAGGAGCTTATCCACTTCATCTAGGTTATCCAATTTGCTGGCATACAATTCTTCACAATATTCTTTTATAATCCTTTTGATTTCTGTAAATTCGTAATGTTTCTTCTTTTCCTTCCTTCCTTCCTTTCTTTCCTTCTTTCCTTTTCTTCCTGTTTATTCTTTTCATTACAATCTCTGATTTTCATGACAGTCAATCTCAAGGGAAAGCTATGACCACCTCCATGTGAACCTGAAAATGGATATCCTATGTGTTTGGCCCAGCTACCATAGACATCTCTTGCCCCAGAGTTCCGGTGTATTTTTCCCTCTTAGTTTTTCGGTTCCTCTCCGCCATTGCACCAGCCTCAGGTCCACATAGGATGCTCTCTGCTGAGTATTGCCTTGAGTTACTGCTCTCTCTCATGTTCTAGCTGATGCTACTCGTGATCACAGTATCACCTGAGTAGGAAAGAGGATGCTAGAGGTAAAAAATGCTACCACAGCATTTTGTTTGTTTATAAAATGTTAGACCCTGGTCCCCTCCATTTTTTTCCCCTTTCATATCTAAATTTTGAGACCACTGGCCTCTAACAGTCTGTAGTAGCCCTAAGTTCAAGGTGTCATATGCTTCTCTGGTGCCTGTTAGTGAGCCAAATAGAGAAACACTATGCTAGAGAGACTGCTGACCAGGAAGATCACATCAAACCAATGGTAACAGAAATTGAACTGCAGTTCTCCAAGGACTTCGGTAATTATGGTGCATATTCTAGAGGCATACTCATTCAGATTAGAAGCGCAGAGGAGACAAAGTACATGCCCATTATCTGTGCTAATAGCAGGACATTGACACTGGAGGACTTACTGCTAGAGATGGCATAAAAGAACGTGGTATGAGCAATCCTCTGATGGATGTGGCGATGATTATTCCAACAAGAATGGAGGAAATGTGTTGGGACCAAAATTTCACATCACACTGGATTCCCAGATAATTCACAGTGATCTCAACGCCTCTTGTGACAGGATCCATTTTCCCAACTCGATCAAAAGCAATGTTGATGGTGCCATGAAAATTTTTCAAACACAGTAAATAGAGAAAAAGTAACCCAGAAAATTGAAATATTTCCTTTTGAAGGTTTTGGAGTATTCTGTTCTCTCCTTGGTAGCGTACAGATCAGCTGTTTTCAGAAAAAGCTGCCTGCTTAGTTCTTCCAAAGCATCCACTTCCTGTTGAGTAAGTGGTAATACTTTCTATCATTCCCCAGAATCCTGATGGTTTGTTATGCACCTCCCCTTTCTGGAACATCGTTCTCTGTGCCATTGCCATCCTTTTCTTTGTGGTTATGATCATATCCATGGTTTGGAGCAGTCGCTGTTCCAGGGCTAGAATATCTGTGTCAGTCACATTCCTGAGGAAATAAGACATCAAAGTGTATGTGCAGTAGACGGCACCAAATCCAGAAAGGAGGGCCATGAGAGTAACTCCAATCACACCAACCCAGCTGATGAGCTGTTCTATGGATAAGATCCCATGTTTTGGGCTGAGAATGGGAAAGGAATCTCCTAGTTTCCAGAAAAAACAGATAAAGGTCAACCACAAGAGACAGGAAAAAAGCAGTCGTTGTTTATGCACTAAGACAGAGGAGACAAAAGTAGTCGGATGTTGCTCACAATAAAATAGCCAGTTTAAAAACGCACCATGAAAACCAGAATCAGCAGAATTACACCTAGGTTCAATTTCCAGTAAAAATAACGACAGCTGCTACTCAATACTCCAAAGATTTCAAAGATGATGAGCTCAAACATAGTGCAAGAAAATGCAAACGTCACAGAGAAGATCACCTGTACAACATACTGACGCACCTCATAGTTCTTAAACAATTGGCACATGAAGAAAAGCCACCCAAATTAAAAAAAAATAGTATCTGGGAGGTAATCACGATGCTGGAATCAATCAGGAAGCCTATGGTGAAGTGTAGGGAGGGCTCCTGCCTCCATTTCCCACTTCCAAGGCCGCGGCACGCTGGGGCCACCGGCCTCTCACACAGGCGGCCTTCGCCCAGGTGCAGCCGTAGGGACTGCGGCTCGTCAGCCTGACGCCATCAAGCTGCGCCCCAGCCAGCCAGTCAATGGCTGTGTCCAGAGCTTCCCGCCTCGGGCTCAGCGTAGGTGGAGCGGACGCCTCCACTTTCATTTCTGATTTTAGTCTTCTGCGTCTCCTCTCTTGTTTATTTGTTTGTTTGTTTTTTGAGACAGAGTCTCACTCTATTGCCCAGACTTCGGTGGTGCCATTTCGGCTCACTGCAACCTCCGCCTCCTGGGTTCAGACGATTCTCCTGCCTCAGTCTCCTGAGTAGCTGGGATTACAGGCGCCGCCACAACGCTAGGCTAACTTTTGTATTTTTAGTAGAGACGGGGCTCTCGCCATGTTGGCCAGGCTGGTCTCGAACTCCTGACCTCAGGTGATCTGCCCACTTCGGCCTCCGAAAGTGCTACAGTTACAGGCATGAGCCACCGCGCCCGGCCCGCTCTTCTTTTTTCTTGGTTCATTTAGCTAAATGTTTGTCAATTTTGGTGAACTTTTCAAAGAACCAACTTTTGGTTTCATTGATTTTCTATATTGTTTCCAGCCTGTCCTTTCCGATGGCTTGCCTTTTCTGACAGCCTGCCCTATGGATTTAGCAATTACTAGCCAGGTTCACAGTTGCATAAGCCAATTCCTTAAAAAAAAATCAACCTCTCACATATAAATATTCATCTGGATGATTCTCCACAAACCGAATAAACCCCGCCTACCAGCATGCAGCTCAAGAGCACCCTAAGTTCCTTTCCAATCACTATGCGGAGGGAACCACTATTGCGACTCGCCCCACACCCACCGGCGAGAAGGCAGGGTCTTGCTTTGTAGTCCAGGCTGGAGGGCAGGGCGTAATCAGCTCACTTGAACTCCTGGGCTAAAGTGATCCTCCCTCCTCAGCATAAGCGACTAAAGGCTGGCTAATTTTTAAATTTTTTTTTGTAGAGACGGTGTCTTAATTATGTTGCCAGGGCTAGCTTCTAACTCCTGGCTCAAGTGATCCATCCGCTTCAACCAACTAAAGTGCTGGGATTGCAGGCGTGAGACACTGCGCACCGGATCACTGAAGCTGGACTGTATAGACATAGCTCCTTTTTTTTTTTTTTTTTTTTTTTTTTTTGAGACAGAGTTTCCCTCTTTGTTGCCCAGGTTGGAGTGCAGTGGCGCGATCACGGCTCACTGCTGCCTCCGCCTCCCGGGCTCAAGCGATTCTCCTGTCTCAGCCTCCGGAGTAGCTGGGATTACAGGCGCCTGCCACCACGCCCGGCTAATGTTTGTATTTGTAGCAGAGATGGGGTTTCACCATCTTGGCCAGGCTGGTCTTGAACTCCTGACTGCGTGATCCACCCGCCTCGGACTTCCAAAGTGCTGGGATTACAGGCGTGAGCCACCGCACCCGGCCTGAGACCTGGGAATTTTAGGAGAATCATTGGGTTGAACAAAAATTAGACACAGGCTGGGTGCGGTGGCTCATGCTGTAATCCCAGCACTTGGGAGGCTGAGGCAGGAGAATCGCTTGAACCCGGGAGGTGGAGGTTGCAGTGAGCCGAGATTGTGCCATTGCACTCCAGCCTAGGGGACAAGAGCCAGACTCCGTCTCAAAATAAAATAAAATAAAATAAAAAATAAAATAAAATAAAATAAAATAAGAAAATAAAAAAATAAAATAATATTCCCAGGTCTCACTTAATAGGCTGTCCAAAGCCAGTCTTGGACGCCATTAGGGAGACTCCTACCCTTTTTGCCTTACCTTTCTTTCACGTCAAAGTAATTCTGTGAATCATTGTTCTCTCGCTTTTCAAGTGGAGTCTCCTTCCTAGTTGGAGAATAGTAGCTCCTTGTCACTACTGCAGACACCCTTAGGGAGGACACCTGTGGTTTCCTGCCTTGCTTATTAGATGTCTACAATTTTTTCTTGGATTATTTTTTGAATAAATAACTTGGCTTCATTCACCATTCCAGATACTATTATTGCCACTTTACTATATGCTTACAGTATGTGTTAAATTATTTAATTTTATTAATTGAAAACAGTTTTTTGAGACAAGGTCTCGCTAGGTTACCCAGGCTGGTCTCGAACTCCTAGGCTCAAGCTACACTCCTATCTCAGACTCCCAAGTAGCTAGAATTATAGGTACATGCCACCCTGCCTGGCTTAATTTTTATGATAAGTAACACATTCACTTGGTTCAAACATCTTGAGTACAGAAAAAAAAATGCAGCTAATATCACCTTCCTCTTTCTCATCCACCCAGTTCCCAGCTTTTTAATTTAATTAATTTATTTTTCTTACGTGCTATCATGTCAAAGTACAGTTCCTAGCATTTTAAACAGGCTACCATTGTCATGAATTTCCTGCTATCTTTCCAGAGATTTTTAAAAGTGCAAATACAGTCTAATACAAATACATATTCTCTTCCACCCTGGCCCAGTCTGTATATTTAAAAGAGCATAAGGAGGCCGGGCGCGGTGGCTCACGCCTGTAATCCCAGCACTTTGGGAGGCCGAGGCGGGCAGATCACAAGGTCAGGAGATTGAGACCATCCTGGCTAACACTGTGAAACCCCGTCTCTACTAAAAAATACAAAAAATTAGCCGGGCGTGGTGGCGGGCGCCTGTAGTCCCAGCTACTCAGGAGGCTGAGACAGGAGAAGGGCGTGAACCCAGGAGGCGGAGCTTGCAGTGAGCCGAGATCGCGCCACTGCACTCCAGCCTGGGCGACAGAGTGCGACTTCGTCTCAAAAAATAAATAAATAAAAAAAGCATAAGGAGGGGCCAGGCCCAGTGGCTCACGCCTGTAATTCCAGCACTTTGAGACGTCGAGGCGGGCGGATCACTTGAGGTCAGGAGGTTGAGACCAGCCTGGCCAACATGGTAAAACCCCGTCTCTACTAATAACACAAAAATTAGTCAGGCTTAGTGGCCTGTAGTCCCAGCTACTCAGGAGGCTGAGGCAGGAGAATCTCTTGAAACAGGGAGGCAGAGGTTACTGTGAGCCGAGATTGTGCCACTTTTAAATAAATAAATGAAAACTGTTATATTTCGTATATATGGCATAATTTATTTAACTGATTATATACTTAAGATAAATAGCTTTTTCTTAATCTTTATATTACAAATAATATCAAGTGAATAATTAGAACATAATCGTTATGCCTGCAAGCATCCTTTGTACACTTGTGAAATGCACATCAAGGGACATATGATATATGCATTTGAAATGTTGATGGATTCTGCCAAATTGCCCTCTGCAGGAGGCTGAGCGTGATTTATTTCTTTGTGGTGAGCACAATAAAACAGGATCCTGGCCATACTCAATATCACATTTGCACAATATTAGATTATCTGTTACAACTATGACGCAAAATCAGGCAATCCATGAAGACTGTAGAAGAATAAAAAGTGGCTGGGTGCGGTGGCTCACGCTTGTAATCCCAGCACTTTGGGAGGCCGAGGCCGGTGGATCACCTGAGTCAGGAGTTCGAGACCAGTCTGGCCAACATGGTGAAACCGTGCCTCTACTAAAAACACAAAAATTAGCTGGGCGTGGTGGCAGGCACCTGTAATCCCAGGTATTTGGGAGGCTGAGGCAGGAGAAACGCTTGAACCCTTGAGGCGGAGGTTGCAGTGAGCCAAGACCACACCAATGAACTTCCAGCCTGGCTATCAAGAGCGAAACTCCATCTCAAAAAATAAATAAATAAAATTAAAAAATAAAAAAAGAAAAAGTAAGGTATTCTACCCATGAAGCTTGAAAGATCATGCTATACAAATAAAAAACTCTCATCTTGGATTGACCTAGATGAGTTTGTAGGCCAAGGCAAAAATTACACTTCTACTGCAGAGACTGAACCCTGCTTCATACAAAACAAAAGATACTTGAAACTGTACTAATGCTAGGAAGAAAGACATGATGACAAGCTAAGAGTGTCAATTGGCAGGACAGGCATAGTTGGGGTTCTGGGGTTTTTCTGGGGACAGAATTACTGGGAAATTCACTGATCTTCCCCACATGCAGAATAATCTGCCATCAGATTCTATAAAACAAGTTTTTCTACTTTACTTTGAAACTTTGAAGAAGATAGCCCCACAAAATATTATCATATTGCAGAAAATTTTCCTAGATCATTAAAGTAAAAGAAATGTTAATTAACAGTAAATAACTTGTTAAACTTAAATTTTCCCTCTGCTCAAAATAACTTCCCTTCTTCTTCACCACAAGTTTACTCAAATTTTAGATATACCTCAAGAATAATCTTCCCTTGGGAGGTTTCCTCAGACCAACGTGAGTTACATGTCCTTCCTCTGTTTCGATTTGTCACGACAAAAATATTATATGTATGAATTTCTACATGGAATAAAAGTAGGATTTTATTCTTAAAAAATATAGTTCTTAGATTTTGCTCTGCAGGCATTGAGTTTTTATTTTTGCATAGCTTTTTGTCTAATACCCAGCAATCCCACTTCTAGGAATATCCCTCAGTGACATTTCAGTTTATCATTCTAGTGGATTAAATGAGACTAATCATTGTAGTGATATGCGGTAACAGAGTTGAAGCAACCTGCCTGTCTGTCATCGGAGCAGGTGGGTATAAACTTCATGCTGTGCAGAGTCACAACTAACGAAGCAGCTGCGTATGTACCAAGACGGGTAGATTTTTCAAAGTGAAGTAAAATCTAAGAAACAAAAAACAAAAGATCAAAACAAATAAAAACAAAAAGCACAATACCAAGGTTAAAATCATAGCAATACGCAAAAAGCAGATTAAGTGAGACGATAGCTGAATGGGAATGGCAGGGAATTGTGTGAGAATCGGAAGAAGCTAAGTCAAGTGGTCCTAATTTTACCTTTTGTAAGACAGCTGTGTAGCACTGGCCCCTGCCCTCTTGCTGACCTGGAAGATAACCAGTCACAGGCAGCCCCCTGGCCCCATCTCAATCGACAGTCTCTCCCTGTGAGTATTTCTCTGCAGAAAAGTGCTGGAGGTCTCCTGGGCTCCTTCCTTACAAAGTGGGTTTTAAAAGTCGTTCTCTGTAATCAAGAAGTGAATGTCTGTGTGCATTGAAAGGACAGAGAAACAAGTCATAGGACTGTATAACAGTTTTGAAATTTAAATCAAATTTCTGTGTGTTCTGCCCGAGGTTTATTGGCCTGGGGTTTGTGAGATTTTGTGTCCCTGCGGAAAGCCTTCCTGGATCTTGAGTCTAGAGTTTTGGTATTTTTGGTTTTGTTACGTGGAATGTATAAGGAAAGGGAAAAAGCGCCGCAAATATGACAATGGTTGTTACAGTAGTTTCTCTAGAGTAGTAGTTCTCACGTTCACTTCACCCTGGAAGGACCCTCCGTCTGAAACTGGGCGGAAATACCTCCCAGATTCTTCCCACTCCCCTCTCTATTTCAGCTTGGGTAACTTGTTTCATCGAACTCCACCCCAGCTGAAGGAGCCAATGCTGTCCCAAGAGAAGGATCGCTATGGGGCCCTAACTAACCTCAGTCTCTATGCTGATGTGACCCAGGTTAGTAGCCTAAGGCACTGCCACATTACAGGTCCCACCTGCTGGTGAGCCTGGTCACCCTTCTCAATTAGGAAAGAGTGAGGCTTTCAAGGTTTTTGTTGTTGTTTGTTTGTTTTTGTTTTTGTTTGTTTTTGGTGGGGGGGCGGTGCGGCAGTTAGGGTCTCTCTCTGTCCCCAGGCTGGAGTGCAATGCCACGATCTTGGATCACTGCCGCCTCTGCCTCCCGGGCTCAAGCGATTCTCCCATCTCCGCTTTCCCAGTAGCTGGGACTACATGCGTCCGCCAATTTTTGTATTTTCAGTAGAGACGGGGGTTTCGCCATGTTGCCCAGGCTGCTCTCGAACCCCTGAGCTCAAAGGATACTCCCGTCTCGGCTTCTCAAAGTGCCAAGATTACAGGTGTGAGCCACTGTGCCCAGCCTCTCACGGTTTATAAAACGGAACAGAGTTCCCTTTTGAATCACAACAGCATATTTTATTGGGGTTTGTATTATTGATTTTGTATATATCACGTAAGAGTTTTTTGCTGGATACTTGTAGTGTGAATATCTTCTTCCCACCTGTGTTTGAGAAACAGCTTAATGGTGTCTTGTGATAAAATTGTTAAATTTTCACGAAGTCAAATTTATTTCAATTTTGTTTACTTATTTTTGTATCTCCCTATGAAATCTTTGTTTCCCCAAGGTCATGGAAATAGCCTATGCTCCACGACCCCCCCCCCCACTTACATAATCATTTACCTTTTATTTATTTATTTTTATTTTATTTATTTTTTTGAGCCATCTTGGCTCACCACAACCTCCATCTCCCAGGTTCAAACAATTCTCCTACCTCAGCCTCCCGAGTAGCTGGGATTACAGGCTCCCGCCACAACACCCCGCTAATTTTGTATTTTTATTAGAGACCGGGTTACTCCATGTTGGTCAGGCTGGTCTCGAACTCCCGACCTCAGGTGATCCCCCTGCCTCGGCCTCCCAAAACCCTGGGATTACAGGCGTGAGCCACTGTGCCTGGCCACATCATTTACCTTTTATTTTTAGGAATATGATCAAAAGACCTGAACAGGCGCTTCCAAAATAGAATATGTCAATGGCCAGTAAGCACATAAGCAGATGTTGTGATATCAATAAAAAGTTTGCTTATTTATTTTAACCAGTGGTGACCAGACAAAAGACCTCAACTGTCTCTGGAAACTTTATTTTATTTCCAGAAATCTTTTCAAAACTCTTCTGTGAAGGTTGTGTTTGTCTGGGGGAGGGGTGAAGTTGTGGTTTGGGATGAGTTGCAGATGAAGGAGATAAGACAAGGTTTCTGCCTTCAGGATCTTCAGGAATATGTGTCCTTTAATCAGACTGCTTAACTTGATTTGGCTGATCCCCCTTTCTTTTTCAGTTCCCTCCATCCCTCTAATCCCCATCACCTAAAAAGACCTCCAGAGACTTAGTTCATAGCTGGGCTTGATCTATATCTCTTTGCTCCAGACATTTCTGCTCTGTGTCAATGCCAGCCTGCATCTATCTGGGATGTTGGGTGGGGTAGTAGAGTGGGATCGGTCTCTCTAGCCATAAGGTCTCCTAGGTTGGGCACTCAGCAGTTGCCATCAGTGTCCAATGATTATGGGGAGACTATTCTTCAGTGGGTTAAATGGGCAGTCACACAGTTCTGTAAATTCAGGCCAACATGAGGTGAAGTTCAGAAATTCAAGACAGTCAGGAGCTGGGGGAGAGAACTCAGCCTTTCCTGGAGTTGCAGTGGTGCGGGTATGTACTAGATTTGTGGGGCCCTAGATTTGCTGGGACAGTGGCAGGATTTATCAGAATTGAGGAATGAGAGAAATAAAAGATTTTAAGTTTTAGTTATTTGATGTGGGTTTTATTATACATTTTGCTAGAAAGAGTAAAGGTCAATTTTTCTTTTGATTTAAGAAATGTATTTTATTGTAGTACGAGCACTTGACATGAGATTTATGTTCTTAACAAATTTAAATGTGTGCTATACATTTGTCCCTTGCTTTGTGGCAGAGATTGATTCCAGGACCTCAGGCATATTCCAAAATCCCTGCATAGTCAAGTCCTGCGACTTGCCCTCTGAAATCTGCCCCGCCTACATGAAGAGTCAGCTCTCCCTTTGTGCAGGTTTTGCATCTTGCCAATAGTGCATTTTTGATCTGCGAGTTTGGATGAAAAAAAATCCATGTATAAGTGGACCAAGTGCCAAGCCTGGGTAATATAGCGAGACCCTGTCTCTACAAAAATAAAAATTTTTTAAAAATGTAAAACAAACTGAATGTCCACCATCAGATGAGTGGATGAAGAAAATGAACCTTGACTGGGATTGGTGGCTCATGCCTGTAATTCCAGCACTTTGGGACGCCAAGGCAGGCAGATCACCTGAGATCAGGAGTTTGAGACTACCCTGGCCAACATGGTGAAACCCCATCTTTACTAAAAATACAAAATTAGCTGGGTGTGGTGGTGCACGTCTGTAGTCCCAAGTACTCGGGAGGCTGAGGCAGGAGAATCCCTTGAACCAGGGAGGCAGAGGTTGCAGTGAGCTGAGACTGCACCATTGCACTCCAGCCTGGGTGACAAGAGTGAAACTCCATCTCAAAATCAAATCAAATAAAATAATAATAAAAAAGAAAATGAACCTGGAGGATAATATGCGAAGTGAAATAAGCCATTAAAAGAACAAATTAATTCTATTTTAGATTAACCTCTATTAATCTTAATTTGTTATATTAACAAATTTAATTTGTAAACTACTTAATTCTACTTGAGATATCTAAAACGATCAAACTCAGAATCAGAGAGAATGGTGGTTGCCAGGGGCTTGGGAGAAGGGGAAACAGGAAGTTGCTAATCAACAAAGTTGCAGTTATACATTGTATTAGTCTGTTCTCACACTGCTAATAAAGACATACCTGAGAGTGGGTAATTTATAAAGGAAAGAGGTTTTATGGACTCACAGTATCATGTGTCTGGGGAGGCCTCACAATCACCGCAGAAGGCAAAGAAGAAGCAAAGACATGTCTTACATAGCCACAGGCAAGAGAGCTTGTGCAGGGGAACTCCCGTTTATAAAACCATCAGATCTCGTAAGACTTATTCACTACCACAGGAACAGTATGGGGGAAACCACCCCCTTGATTCAATATATCCACCTGGCCCCATGCTTTACACGTGGGGATTATTACAATTCAAGGTGAGATTTGAGTGGGGACACAATCAAACCATATCATACATGATGGAAAAGTTCTAGAAATCTCTGTACAACATTGTGCCTATAGTTAACGATACTACAGTTGACTCTTGAACAATACAGGTTTGAACTGCATTGGTCCAGTTATATGTGGATTTTTTTTCAACCAAACTAGCAGATCAAAAATGCACTATTGGCAAGATGTGAAACCTGCACAAAGAGAGAGCTGACTTTTCATGCAGGCGGGGCAGATTTCAGAGGACCAACTGCAGGACTTGATTATGAGGGGATTTTGGAATATGCCTGAGGTCCTGGAATCAATCTCTGCCACAAAGCAAGGGACAACTGTATATTATACATTTAAATTTGTTAAGAACATAAATCTCATGTCAAGTGTTCTTACTATAATAAAATACATATTTTAAATCACAAGAAAAATTGACCTTTACTCTTCCTAGCAAAATGTATAATAAAACCCACATCAAATAACTAAAACTTAAAATTTTTTCTTTCTCTTGTTCCTCAAACTCCTGATCTCCTGCCTCAGCCTTTGAAAATGCTGGGATTATAGGTGTGAGCCACTGTGCCAGGCCTGTTTCCACTTTTTTTTTCTTTTTTCTTTCTTTCCTTTTATTTTCTTTCTTTCCTTTCTTTCTCTCTCTCTCTCTCTCTCTCTCTCTCTTTCTTTCTTTCTTCTTGAGACAATCTTGCTCTGTCGCCCAGGCTAGAGTGCAGTGGCACTATCTCGGCTCATTGCAATCTCCACCTCCTGGGTTCAAGCGATTTGTGCCCCAGCCTCCCGAGTATCTGGGATTACAAGCATGCGCCACTATGCCCGGCTAATTTTTATATTTTTAGTAGAGATGGGGTTTCGTCATGTTGGCCAGGCTGGTCTCAAACTGCTGGCCTCAAGAGATCCACCCGAATCAGCCTCCCAAAGTGCTGGGATTACAGGCGTGCACAACTGCGCACCCAGCCTCCACATCTTGACAGTTGTGAATTCATTGGTTGCAATGAATACAGAAGTGGTATGTGTCTTTCAGATTCTTATTTCAGTTCTTTTGGATAAATAGCCAGCATAATCATAAGGTAGTCACATTTTAAATTTTTTGGAGGAAACACCATACTGTTTTCTACAGTGACTGTATCATTTTGTATTCCCACCTACAGTGTAGAAACAAGGGTTCCAATTTTCCACATGTTGCCTTTTGTTTTTGTTATTTGTTTGTTTGTTTGTTTTTCATAATAGCTATCCTAACAGGTGTGATGTGAATCTCATTGTCAGGTTGATTTGCATTTTTTTGATGATTAGTGACATTGAACATTGTTGCTCATTTGCATGTCTCCTTTGGATAAATGTCTATTAGCCCTTCTTAAATCAGATTGTTAGAGGTTTGTTTGTTTTGCTACTGAGTTGTAGCAGTTCTGCATTTTGGAAATTAACTCCTTAACAGGTATATGGTTTGCAAATACTTTCTCCCATTCTATAACCTATAGAATTCACTCGATTGTTTCCTTTGCTGTGGCGGCTCCTTCATTTGGAATAGTCCAATTTTTCTATTTTTGCCTGTGCTTTTGGTGTCTTATCCATGAAGTAATTGCCAAGACCAATGTTCTGAAGCTTTTCTCCTATGTTTGCCCTGTTGCCCAACCTGGAATGCAGTTGCGCAATCTCTGCTCACTGCAACCTCCACCTCCTGGGCTCAAGCGATCCTCCCACCTTAGCCTCCCGAGTAGCTGAGACTACAGGGGCAGGCCACCAGGCCTGGCTAATTTTCTGTAATTTTTGTAGAGATGGGATTTTACCATGTTGCCCAGTCTGGTCTCGAACTCCTGGGCTCAAGCAATCCACCCCCGTCAGCATCCCAAAGTGCTGGAATTACAGGTGTGAGCCACTGAGCCCTGCCTGAGACCTTGTCTTAAACAGCAGCAGCAGTAGCAGCAACAACAACAACAACAAAAACAACAAACCAAACCAAACAACAACAACAAAAAACCAGTATGATACTGATACAAAGACAAACATAGAGACCAATGGAACAGAAGAGAGGGCTGGAGAAGTGTAATGCCTCCTGGTTTATTGTTTTTTTTCTCAAGATTATTTAGTGATTCAGGGTCCTTTGTAGTTTCATATAATTTTAGGATTGTTTTCTCTGTATCTGTACAAATGCCAGTGGGATTTTGATAGAGGTTGCATTAAATCTGTAAATCACTTTGGGTAGTATGGAAACTTTAAGTCTTCCAATCTATGCACGTGGGATGTCTTTCCATTTGTTTGTGTCTTTTTGATGGATGTTTTATGGTTTTCAGTGCACAAGTGTTTCACTTTCTTAATTAAGTTTAACTAAGTATTTTATTATTTTTGGTGCCACTGTATTAGGAGATTATCTTCCTAATTTTCTCTTCAGCTAATTTGTTGTTGGTGCATAGAAACACAATTGCTTTTTAATGCTGATTTCATATCCTGCAACTTAACTGACAGTTTTTAAAATGGAGTCTTTAGGGTGTTCTCTATATAAGGCCATGCCATCAATTAACTGATTTTTGTATGTGAAGCATCTTTGCATCCAAAGGATAAATTCCACTTGTTCATGGTGTATGATTATTTTAATGTGCTGTTGAATACAGTAATACAGTTTGTTAATATTCTGTTGAAGACTTTTGCATCTATGTTCACCAGGGATACTGGCTTTTAGTTTTCTTGGTAATGTATCTGTCTTTGATATCAGGGTATTTCTAGCCTCATAAAATGAGTTTGAGGCCGGGCGCGGTGGCTCACGCCTGTAATCCCAGCAATTTGGGAGGCCTAGGCGGGTGGATCACCTGAGGTCAGGAGTCGGAGACCAGCCTGATCAATATAGTGAAACCCGGTCTCTACTAGAAATACAAAAATTAGCCAGGCGTGCTGGTGGGCACCTGTAGTCCCAGCTACTCGGGAGGCCGAGACAGGAGAATTACTTGAATCCTGGAGGCAGAGGTTGCAGTGAGCCGAGATCGTGCCACTGCACTCCAGCCTGGTGACAGAGCATGACTCTGTCTCAAAAAAAAAAAAAAAAAAAAATCTTTATTATTTCGTCCCTTCTGCTAACTTTGGACTTAATTTGTTCTTCTACTTCTTTGAGGTATAAAAATTAGATTGTTTAACCGGGCACGGTGGCTCATGCCTGTAATCCCAGCACTTTGGGAGGCCGAGGCGGGCGGATCACCTGAGGTCGGGAGTTCAAGACTAGCCTGACCAACATAGAGAAACCCTGTCTCTACTAAAAATACAGTATTAGCGGGGCGTGGTGGCGGGCACTTGTAATCCCAGCAATTTGGGAGGCTGAGGCAGGAGAATTGCTTGAACCTGGGAGGCAGAGGTTGCGGTGAGCCGAGATTGTGCCGTTGCACTCCAGCCTGGGCAACAAGAGTCAAACTCTGTCTCCAAAAAAAACAAAACAAAACAAAACAAAAACAAAATTAGCCGGGTGTGGTGGTTCACATCTGTAATCCCAACTACTGGAGAGGCTGAAGCATGAGAATTGTTTTAACCTGGGAGGTTGCAGTGAGCTGAGATTGTACCACTGCACTCCAGCCTGGGTGACAGAGCGAGACCTTGTATCCAAAAAAAAAAAAAAAAAAAAAGAAAGGAAGAAAAAGAAACTTGGTGTAATTTTGATCTTAATTTTTTAAAGACATGCTTTGTAACCTAATGTGATCTATCCTGGAAAATGTTCCGTGTACCCTTGAGAAGAATGTATGTTCTGCTGCTGTTGGGTGGAATGTTCCTAATAGGTCTATTAGGGCCATTTGATTTTCTTCTGATTTTTAACATATGGGGACTATGACCTCCCTCCCTAGACAGGTAGTATATGGGGACTACCTGTCTTTGGTACTGTAGATGGCACACGACCTGCACCTTCCGCTGGAGCACTTTTTTTCTACCCTCCCAACCTGGATGCAGGTCTGGATCTCAGCCCTAGTATATGGGGACTATGACCTAGTATATGACCTAGTATATGGGGACTATGACCTCCCTAGACAGGTAATTCAGGGAATTTTTTCTACTTTTAATTATTGTGACCTCTAGTGTTTACTTCAGTTAACATCTGTAACTTTAGTTAAAAAGGACAAAACTCAAAACACCAAGGGGGCAACAGAGACTTGAAATTCCAGTAGGACCGTAGTTTTTGTTCCTAGTGGACCAAAAGGACTTACATGATTCTTCTGATTTTATGAATTCTGTCAGATTCTTGGAAGTAAATGTAATAGGCTGTCCCTTAGATAAAATTAGACCATAATTCAGATTCTGTATATTCTGAGATGATAAAGGGTAGAGGAGGCCATTATTAAAATGGCCTTAAATGTCATGCATGCTAGACCTTTAACTACTTCTCTAGTCTTACTTAAAATCACACCTTTTTTTGCTTTATGTACGCTAGCTACACTGGCCCTAGTGTATTAATTCCTCTTATTTATAAGGTTATCTCCCACCACAGGGCCTTTTTACATGCCATTTCCTATTCTTGGAAAACTCTCCTTTCTCCAATGCATTCTCTGGACTCCAAATCAATAAATAATTTTCTAGGGACTTTCCTAAACATTTAAGTGTGTGACACCTGCATTACTCATAGCAAAATGTATCTCTCCTCGTAGCAAGTTCTACATTAGTTTGTAAGGCAACTTGATTAATGTGTTTCTCCCTCAATGGAATGTAAGTTCTATTAAGGCAGGTACAATGTCTGTTCTTGTTCACCAATGAAGCCCTACTGTCTAACACATAGACTAGTTTATAATAGGCACTCAGTAAATATTAGTGAAAGAAATGTGTCACCTTCGCGCGGTGGCTCATGCCTGTAATCCCAGCACTTTGGGAGGCCGAGGTGGGCGGATCAACTCAGGTCAGGGATTCCAGACCAGGCTGGCCCATATAAGAAGCAGCTAACACCCCTAGGGCTGAGGGCTGAGATGGAGCACGCAAGTATTCTCTTCCCCACCAGGGCTGAGATCCAGACCTGCATCCAGGTTGGGAGGGTAGAAAAAAAGTGCTCCAGCGGAAGGTGCAGGTCATGTGCCATCTAGAGTACCAAAGAAAAATGTTCATGGGGAAGTCTGTTACCAGAGATGCTCTAAAGGAGGTTCCCCCAAAGTACTGCTGGCCACCATGCACTGCAGGAGGTTCCTACTAGGTAAACTGCTCAGGCTGTGGGAGCCAGGCCACTGTGCACAGTAACGCCAAGAGATTATTTCCTCCAGCAATGTCTCTCCATCGCCCTCTATTGACAAAATTTAATATTGAGCTAAACTGCGACAGAAAATATTTAAAGGGCCCAGCTCCGTTCCATTGTTATGGAGCAAGGAAAAGTGATTTTGCTGCTGAGAGGTAATAAATAGATAACCGGACAGAAGAGAAAATGCTGACTTTCTTTGGACTGGTTCGAATTCAAACACACTTTTATATCCTTGTCCAAGTGCACAATCCATGGTGAAAGTTTAAGAGCTGTCAAAAAGTTTGTTTTGGCCGGGCGCGGAGGCTCACGCCTGTAATCCCAGCACTGTGGGAGGCCGAAGCGGGTGGGTTACCTGAGGTCAGGAGTTCGAGACAAGCCTGGCCAACATGGCGAAACCCCATCTCTACTAAAAATACAAAAATTAGCGGAGCGTGGTGGTAATCCCACCTACTCGGGAGGCTGAGGGAGGAGAATCGCTTGAACCCGGGAGGCGGGGGTTGCAGTGAGCCGAGATCGTGCCACTGCACTCCAGCCTGGCAACAACAGCGAAACTCTGTCTCAAAAAAAAAAAAAAAAAAAAGTGTTTCCTCTCTGTGCTTCAGCAAAAAAAGAGCAAATCCAATTCCCCGAAGGGCTCAAAGCGAAGCGCTCTTCCTTAGAAATCCCCGAGGAAACCCCCTCCACGAAAAACCCGCAAGTGCTGCTCTCTGGATTCCAAGAAAGCCTGTCTCACCTGCGAGGTGCAGGCGGGTGGAGTTCTGGGACTCCGGTGCCTATTGGGATTGACACCACCGGGGTCACTCAGACGGAGATCAGAAAAGGAGGATGAGGGTGAGGGTTCGGCGTGGGGTAGAGAAAGGTGTGACGCGGGATTCAGCGCCACGTCGCTGGGTGACGGAAGGAGTACAGAAGTTGAGGGTTCACGTGCTCGGCAAAAAGCAAAGATTCTATTGGTTCAAATGAAAATACTCAAAAACAGAATTAGCGATAGAAAAAAAAGCGACTCTCTTTGTTTCCGCCCGGTTTCGAACCGGGGACCTTTCGCGTGTTAGGCGAACGTGATAACCACTACACTACGGAAACCAACGGTTACAAAGCTTCTTCTTTTTGACCTAAAAGACTAGTCCTGAATTCTCCCCCTTTCCCTCCACCCCCACCTCCGATTTTTTTTTGATTATGGTGAATTACACACTTTCACATTTACTATTTATAATATAAAAACTCGATGTCCTAATTTAAGTTGAGGAACATTTGATAAATAATCGGTTTGTACTTTTTTGTATAATAAACTATATTTCCCAGTAGTTACTTATACAAAGAGGCATAGAATTAATTTGGGAAAGGTAATTTGTTAAGATTTATGCATCTATGAATCTATGAACTAATTTTTAAACCTATTTCTAGTATTTAGATGTTCTTCCCATTGTTTTATACTTTAAAAAATACTGATTAGTTTTCAAATTTATAGATATAAATGTTTTAATGTTATATAATGTTTATATAACATTATATATAATGTTATATAATGTTTATAAGATATAAACATTTTAATGTTTAGTTGTAACCAACTAGTAGCTTCAATGATAACTCAATTCGAAGGAATTCTATAAAAAGTAGAACATTATGCTTCCCATAACAAAAATAATAAATAACTGGCTAATGACTTCACCTGACTGTAGCGTAGTCTTTGGTGCTCTAATTAGAAGAGAAGCTCTTTTCTTTCTAGAAATACTTGCCGACCTCCTTGTGGAAAACCCTCCCTTTCCGCTGTCTGCATTCGGATGAGAACCAGATCACCAGGGAGATGCAGACCAGGGGGACACTTCCTCCTGTTAACACTAGCGGAGCTGGTGGAACCCAGCCGACCATGCAGGAGGGAGGAGCTGGCAACGCCCTGAACGGTGGGAGGGGAAAGCATGCGGGGTGTCAGCGTCTCTAGGGTTTGGATAAGCCGATTTCAAGTCCAGGACAGGAGAGAAAACAAAAGAGTTCTGTTCAAATAATAATAATAATAAATCTTACTGAGTTTCAAACCAAGGGTCTTTACTGTATTGGGCAAATGTGATAACCACAATACCAGTAAAACTTGCCTTTGGTCCCATGTCTCTTCTACAGGAAAAAAAAAATACAGTTTTTCCAGATGCCCCAGGTTCTATAATCTCAAAGCTGCCCTTTCTTCCCAGAAACTCTCACAGTGGTGGTACGTTTCTTGCCCTTGTACTTTTAGTGTACTAAAACCAACAGCCAAACTTTATCATTTTAGCAATCCAAGTATTCACCCATGAGCCCCAATTTCTTTGCAAATGCCAGGCAAGAAAACCTCAAGTAGATAGAGAAGTAGAGAGCAGATGATTTGATTTTTTTAAAAAAATTCTACCATAGTGTCCTTATCTTATCCATGCAACTTGTTCTGATCTTCATCTTTCTAGTGCCAGAAAATGACCCTTTTAGGAACCCGGACCTGTAAGACTGAGCTCTTGGGACTATTAGCATTTGTTACAGAGCAGGTAAGCTTCAGGATGAGATATACTGGGGAACAGGTACAAGGTTACAAGATTGGATTCTATGTCACAAATAATTATTTCTCTGGAATGTGACAGTTCAATGCTATTTGATTTAGAAAAGGAGGATAAAACGCTCGTGTATTTTTTTCTTTTCTTTGTTCTTCTCTCCCTTTTCACTGTCTTCCTCTATCTACTTTCACTGCACACCTAGAAGCAAGCTGCCTTCTTCCAGATTCCTCCTTATAACTTCACTTTGCATATAAACACCACACACTCTCTGTGCTTAGAGGTGGTGGTTGGGCTGCCAGACCAGTCTGGAGAAAGTCTGTGCTTACTTTTTCCTCTACTTAGTATTCTTTCTTCCATGGGTGCCAGGAACAGAGAGCCCCTTCTCACCTTGAGATCATGTGAGCTGGTAGTAGCTGGATCATGAATAATTGGAATGCTGTGGGTAACAACTGAAAGAAAGACTGTAATTCCCAATTAACAAATTAGACTGTATTTCCCAATTAACAAATCAAGACCAGATTAGCAGCAACAATGATCATTAAAAATATTGTTAAAGAAAAAAAGAAAGAAAAAAGATAAAAAATATTGTTAAACTGGACATAGTGGTGTACCTGTAGTTCTAGTTACTCTGGAGACGAAGTAAATCAGGAAGATCACTTGAGCCCAGGAGTTTGAGGTTGCATGTGCAATGATTGTGTCTGTGAAAAGCCACTGCCCTCCAGCCTGGGCAATATAGGGAGACTCCATCTCTAATTTAAAAAAAATTGTTGTAAACACATTTATTTCATATTAATTAAAATAAATTATTGGCTGGGCACAGTGGCTCATGCCTGTAATTCTAGCACTTTGGGAGGCTTAGGCGGGATGATCACTTGAGCCATGAGTTCGAGACAGCCTGGGCAACATTGCGAGATCCCCATTTCAAATTTTTTTAAAAAGAAAAATAAATTATTGAGCTACAAACAATGTGCCAGACAATTGTGACCCTATGTTGTCACTAGGAGTACCAGAGGCATGCAGGACAAGATTACACAATCCTAACTCTCAAGGAGAAGAAAGAGGAACATGAGCAGCCAATATGCCATAAGCAAAAAGTGGAGCAACAGACGTACAGATTGCGAAGCATTTGGATGGTAGTATAGAGAGGAGGCATCTTCTTAGTCCTTATGAACTGGCAGGGCAGATCTGGCAGGGATCTTTGGAGCCAAAATATCTGAGTACAATTCCTTCCTCTGCCACTTTCTCATCATATGTAGGGTTTCAGGCAAGCTATTTGGCTTCTTCATGACTCTGTCTGTGCTGGTAAAATGGATATGGATACAGTGTGTACCTCATAGAATTATCATAAACTCAATTAAGAAAAACTCCCTGAAGTGTTTCAGACAGTGCTCAACTTACAGAAGTAGTTACTGCTTTTATTTTTAGTATTACTTTTAGCCTTGTCAAGCCTCCTGAGTCAAGATCTATCCCTGTCATTTCGGGTTTACATTTGAGCAAGTTAAGGCTTGAACAATGTGCTGAGGTTATGCTAGCTAGGAAAGGACACCACCAGGTGTGTTTGTCTCCAGAACTGGTGTTCTTGACCACCATGCTATACTAGGTAGTTTTATAAACCCCTGTTTATGACAAAAAAAGATTATAGAGAATATTATGGACCTCCTTATTTCCATGATCCTACTTCAACAATTAGTCTCTCCTCCCTCTGCCAAGCCCCCATGATAATTTAAAGCAAATTTAGACATTTTCATCTAGCAACAGCTTTTTGTGGCATTTTCATAGCATATGCTTCCATTTAACTTTGTAGTTAATGAGGAAATTTGTTGAGCTGTTCTCCCCTGGGCGGGAGAGATGCCATGCAGGGAGTCCTAAGCTTCCCATTGTCCCTCAGATCAGTAAAGAAGACCAGCCCTAAGCTGCTGACCACAGGTTCATGGGACTCTTCTGAGGGAATGTGAGGCCCAGAACTTACGCTAGTGATTCTCCAGGTGGACTATTCCTAAGATTCCTTGCCATACCCCCTTCTAGTGCAGAGGGTCTCTGGTATGGCCCACAAGTCTTAATTTTTAGAAGCTTCCAGGTGATTCAGAAGCTGAGGACCTTTGGGAAGATTTTGACAATCCTTTCATTAATGACAAATTTGTTTCATCTTAAAAAACAAAACTTCATCCTTGTATGTGTGGAGGAGGACACTATAGTGAAATTAAAGAAAAAAAAAGTCAAATTATCTGCTCCCTCCATCTACCTGAGGTTTTCTTGCTTGGCATTTGCAAAGAAATTGGGCGCATGGGTGAATACTTTGATTGCTATAAAGAGTAGAGTTTGGCCGTTGATTTTAGTACACTAAAAGTGCAAGGGCAAGAAACATACCAGCACCTTGACAGTTTCTGGGAAGAAACTTAACGGCACCTTCTGGACCCAATCTGCGTGGCGCAGTGGCCTAAAGAGGCGACCGAACCTGCATCCCTAGCTCCGCCTTCCCGGTCCCTGCACACCCCGGCAGCTTCCGCGCGATTCTTCCCGCCCCCGACACCCGCCGCCACACAAAGGCGCTGCGTCCTGGCGGCCAGCGGGGGCTTAGTCTAGGCCCGGCAGGGTTTTCTGGAAGACCAGAGGGCCACCAGGTCACCGAGGTGGGAAGTGAAGAGAGGTTCGACGCTGCCTCAGGCCTGGGCCTGGCCGGTGGGAGACACAGCAAGGACTCTGGGAGCCTGCAGAGCAGAGGCCGCCGCGGGGCCGGGCCCCCGTCTCCTCCTCAGGTCCAAGACCAGAGGGTCTGCAGGGCCCCAGAGCAGCTGGCCGCGCTCCGCTTCCCACCGCGCTCTCTGCTGGAACTCATGTGGTTGTTTATCCTTATTTTGCTAAATTTCTTTATTTGCTGTAACAGTTTGTGTGTGTGTGTGTTTGAGTGTGTGTGTGTAATTTTCAGGGTTTTCTATATATAAAAATCATGTCACGGCCAGGCTTGGTGGCTCACACCTGTAATCCCAGCACTTTGGGAGGCCAAGGTAGGAGGATCGCCTGAGCCCAGGAGTTCGAGACCAGCCTGGGCAACACGGGCAACATAGCGAGACCCTAGTCTCTAAAATTTTTTTTATTAGCCGGGCATGGTGGCAGGCGCCTGTGGTCCCAGTTACTCCGGAGGATGAGGCAGGGTAATCGCTTGAACCAGGGAAGTCGAGGCTTCAGTGAGGCATAATTGCTCTGCTGCATCCCAGCCTGGGTGACAAAGAGAGATCCCATCTCTCTCTCAAAAAAAAGTCATGTTATCTGTGAACATAGATAATTTTACTTTTTCCTTGCCAATACTGTGCTGAATAACATGGTGAAAGTGGGCACCCATTATTCCTGATTGTAGGAGAAAAATTTTCAGTCTTTCGCTGTTGAGAATGATATTAGTTGTATGTTTTTCATAATTGGGCATTATCAAGTTGAGGAAGTTTCCTTCTATTCCTGGTTTACATTGTGTGTGTGTGTGTGTTTTGTTTGTTTGTTTTGACAGAGTCTTGCTCTGTCACCCAAGCTGGAGTGCAGTGGCCGCGATCTCGGCTCACTACAGCTTAGACCTCCAGGGCTCAAGCAATCCTTCGACTTCAGCCTGCCAAGTAGCTAGGACCATAGGCGTACAGCACCACATTTAGAAGTCCCTGAGAAAATTATCTTGGAGGAAAACTCGCAAGTCCGACTATTGGTTTTCCAAGGAAGCCAGTCTCGCCTGTGAGGAGGGATCCTGCTCGCCCTGGGAGCCTACTCAGACACCATGGGGAATGGGGGGTGGGGCTCAGAGCGCGCAGGCTTGGTTTTTTTCCCCCTCCGAACTCCTGAGTTCCAGTGATCTGCCTGACTCAGCCTCCCACAGTGCTGGGATTACAAGTGTGAGCCACTGCGCCTGGCCTATTACTTGTTTTAATAATAACAAAAAACAGCAAAATCTTGCAGAAGGTTGGAAGGTAACCAAGCAGCTTAGCTTCAAACCACGTTTTAAAAACTTTGTTTCTTTTCTTCTTTCTCCCCAGTTTCTAGACATAGCTTTGAGACAAACTGCAGATGTGCTTTCTTTTGTCGTCAATTACTGCCTTGGAATGGGCATTAAAACTGCCTTCCCTTTCGCATCTTATGCCCCCATGCCTTATGCTCATTTATTTACCTGGATGCTTGTTAAGCTCATACCATGCCCACTTATCTGGTCATATATTTCCTTAGAAGCTTCAGGGGCTGAATCCTGATGCAGACCAGACATCTCCAGAATTCTCTCTCCAGTAGGAGATTAATTCAAGGACAATATTCACTCTTGGCTAGAGATTATCTGCAAGATTGACTGTCATTAATTTGTAACTTGATTGGGCCTACAATGTCACTGGCCCCTTCACCAGGTGAAACAATAATTCAAGATAAGCCATCAGAATGAGACACCCACTGGGCACCTCCTGCCTCTTGCCCCTCTGCATTACAAGCTCCTCTCCTTGAAATGCTTGGCCTCTCTCCAGAAATTGGAGAGTGGCAAATTTTGGCCAGCCACTCTCCCCATTGCTAGCATGGATAATAAAACTTACTCTATTTTTAATTACACCTCATTCCTTTTTTTTTCTTTTTTTTTTTTTTTTTTTTGAGATGGAGTCTCACTCTGTTGCCCAGGCTGGAGTGCAGTGGCACGATCTCAGCTCACTGCAGCCCTGCCTCCTGGGTTCAAGCGATTCTTCTGCCTGAGCCTCCTGAGTAGCTGGGAGTACAGGCGCACGCCAGCACACCCAGCTAATTTTTGTATTTTTAGTAGAGACGGGGTTTCACCATATAGGCGAGGCTGGTCTCAAACTCCTGACCTCGTGATCCGTCCGCCTCGGCCTCCCAAAGTCCTGGGATTACAGGCATGAGCCACCACGCCCGGCCTCATTCTTGTTCTTTTGGCTTTTTTCTACAAGTGACAATCAGCCAGACCCTCTTTCAGCTACAGGAAGAGTTTGATAAAGAGAATGCCTGAGCTCAATCTTGTGTGTTTTAAGGAAACAGAAAAAAAGGGAAAAGAAAAAGTCTTTTCCTGCCTTGTACCTCTGTCTAACTAAAAAGAGAGGCAGCTTCCTCACAGAAAAATATCACTGATCTTAAAACTGAATTCAAAGAACTGAAGAAGGAAGTTTCTAGTGTTTCACTTCTGTGGATTTGGCCCAGAAAAATCCACAGAGAAGGTGTTAAAGTCAGGTAATTTATCCTGCATCCCTTAGAAAGCCCTAGAGCCAATCAAAACTCTCCCCAAAGGGCTGAAATCAGGCTCTGAGGGTTGTGGGAGTGACAGAGCCATGTAAGCTCTCTGGATTCACAGGTTTAGGTCACTGCTGATGGATTCAATTACTATGGGAGGACATTTCATGCTGTCTAATTTTCATTCAATTGGATGATTCTCCCAAATCCTTCGTTCTTTACCATAAGTTTACTCATTATTTTAGCTTTACCTCAAGGCACTTTCCCCTGGGAATTTTTCTGAGACCAGTGTGAGTTAGGTGTACTTCCTGTGTTTTGATTTGTCATACTAAAAATCTTACAAGTATGAATTTCTACATGAAATAAAGGTAAGATCTTAATCTTAACAATCTAGGTCTTAGATTTCACGGTATGGGCATTAAACAAGTGTTTATTTCTGTATAGCCTTTTTGATGAGTACCCAGCAATCCCACTTCTACGAATGTCTATCAGTGAAATTCCAGCTTAGCTCTGTAGTGGCTTCATAGAATCCAGTCATTGCAGCAATTTCAGGCAGCAGAGAGTTGGGGCAACCTGCATGTCCATCACCAGAATGAGTAAGTACTGCAGTGAATACAAGTTTGTGTGAAGTTTCATGCTCTGCAGGAGTCACAACTAATGAAGCAGAGGTACATGTATACCAAAAACAGGTGGATTTTTCAGTGCAAAGTAAAATCTAAGAAACAAAATGTATATCAGGATGTATAGTACAATACCAAAATTAAAATTACAGAGTTACACAAAATACAGTGGGTGAGGCAGTAGCTGAATGACTAATGCCAGAGGGAATGGTGGCAAATTGTGTGAAGAGGGGAAGAAACTAAGTTAAATTATCTGATTGGCACACTTGCCACCTCTTGGAAGACACCTGATTACACTCAGTCCCCTGCCCTCTTGCTGGCCAGGAAGATAATTGGTCACAGGTGGCCCCCTGACCCCACCTCACTCCACAGTTTCTTATGGCAAAGCGTTTCCTTGACAGAAAATGCTAAATGTCGCCAAAGCCCCTCCCTTGGGGTCCTGGTTTCTAAAAAGTCTTTTTTTCTGTAATCAAGAGGTTAATGTTTGGGTGTGTTGGAAGGATACAGAAAAAGGCATAGCACAGTATGGACAATGGTCTTGAAATAAAATTCCTCCTTATTCTGCCTGAAATTTCCTGACATGATGACATGGTATTTATGAGGATGTGGGTCACTGGGCGAAAGCCTTCCTTGGTCTTGAATCATGGATTTTGGGTATTGTTGGTTTTGGTGAATGGAATATATAAGGAAAGAAAAAAAGGGCCACAAATATGAAAATGCTCTAAAAGAAACAATAATTTCACAATACTGAACGTGAGCCATTCAGGAAATGTCCATTTTAAATTTTAAAGATAGCTCCTGGGTGAACGGTGGTTTTTGTAATGCAGTGGTTGTCACGTGTGCCACCCACGCGAAATGGAAACTGGGCAGAAATATCTCCTTATGGGTCTCTCTCTCTCCCTCTCTCGCTCTCTACTTCAGCTTGGGTAATTTGTTTCACTAAACTCAACTCAAGCTCTCTTAAACCCAGGTCTGGTGCTTAAAACAATATGTCTTTATTCCCTTACAGGTCTAGGGGTCAGAAATCTGCAATCAGTTTCGGTGGACCAAAATGAAAATGTCAAACAGGGTGTCTGACACCCTCCAGAAGCACCAGAGGAGAAGCAGCTTTCCTTGGCCTTCCCAGGTTCTACAGGGACATTCCTTGGCTCATAGCTCCCCCTCCCATTTTCTTTCTTTCTTTTCTTTTCTTTTCTTTTCTTTTCTTTTCTTTTTTTTCTTTTTTTTTTTTTTGAGACAGAGTCTCGCTCTGTCACCCAGGCTGGAGTGCAGTGGCGCCATCTCGGCTCACTGCAAGCTCCGCCTCCCGGGTTCACGCCATTCTCCTGCCTCAGCCTCCCGTAGCTGGGATTACAGGCACCCGCCACCACGCTCGGCTAATTTTTTGTACTTTTAGTAAAGACGGGGTTTCACCGTACTAGCCAGGATGGTCTCGATCTCCTGACCTCGTGATCAGCCCGCCTCGGCCTCCCAAAGTGCTGGGATTACAGGCGTGAGGCACCGCGCCCGGCCTCCTCCTCCCGTTTTCAAAGTCACCAGCGTAGCATCCTGATTCAAGATCACATTGTCTTCTTTTTTTTTTGTAGCCAAATCTCCCTCTGCCTCTCTCCCCTGGTGACGACAATGGCTGGGGTCTTGACTTGCCAAGGTAACTCGTTGGGGAGCAGAGAGTGGGATCCGCAGTGTTCTGGTGGCTGTTGGGATCTGGGCGCGAGGAAGGAGAGTGGCTCTCATGATTCTCTGCATTCTCAGTGCAGCGTGGCCCGTACTGGTCACCTGGGTATAGCTTTACTGAATTTCGCAGATCTGGAAACGGAGAAGGGACTGGATCTCCAAACTTGGACTGCCTTGGACTGACCCTGGCCTGGAAGGTGTGGGCTCAGGACTCCGAGCTCAAGTCAGTCTGTTCCCCCAACCCCTAACCCACTGCATCCGGGTGAGGAGTTGGGCCCGAGCGCCACAGCGCAGATAGGGTTGTTAGGAGCGAAAGACTGGAGACCCAGGGACTGTGGGGCTGGGCTGGTGGGGCCACTGCTACCGACTAAGCAGTACGGGCCGCCTGGAAGACCGAAGGCGGAGTTCGCTGATGCGGAAGCCAAGGCACAGGGCAATAAGGATCCGCGCCATTTCTTGTGATGTCACCTGAAGCCTTGGCGGGTAGCTGCCTCTCATCCATTCGGAGGACAGGGCTCCAGCCACCGGCAGCTCTGAAAGAGTTTGAAGAATTTATTGTTCACAGATGGTATTTAAATGGACTTATTTCTAAAAGTCACATTCCTTTATTACTTATTTGTTATTAGAAGTACCCATTTTCATATGTGTTTAAAACTATTTGTGTCTCAAATTCTCAGGAGATTGATGCATCCCAGTTTACTCTTTTTGGCATATGTTTTTACTCATAAATTAGGTTAAATTTCATACTTGTTTTATAAAATTTAGTTATTTGGTTACATTAAAATATTTGTATCCAGATAAGAAGTCTCTTCCTTCTCCTATGCTTTTTTTGGAATTTAGAGCATATCTGAAATAAAATTAATTTACTTTTTATTACTAATTGGTTATATGCCATCAATTCATATTATTTCAACTATCCATTACTGTAAGCCAATTAGATTATACCTTTTTTCTTTAGTGTTTTTTCATTTATTAGTATTGATTTGTGCTGTTCTGTTGTGTTTTTTAGTTAAAGAAAAAATTATTCATGACACTAGCTAAACATGGTAAGGCAGATTTTATTCAAGGGGACTACTATAATGGAGTTTTGCAGTAGGGGAGATTGGGCTCAACTCCAAATACAAAAGAACAAGTGGAGCTTTACAGCAAAGGATCAGCGCGGGGGTTAATGGCTGAAAAATTACTAAGAAGTAGGGTAGTTCTTTGCTAAACTGATGTAACAGTATATATATAATTTTTTTTTTTTTTTTTTTTTTTTTTTTTTTTTTTTTTTTTTTTTTTGCTAAAGACAGGCCAGGAAGGCCGGGCTCGGTGGCTCACGCCTGTAATCCCAGCACTTTGGGAGGCCGAGGTGGGTGGATCACTTGAGGTCGTGAGTTCGAAACCAGCCTGACCAACATGGAGAACCCGCGTCTCTACTAAAAATACAAAATTAGCCAGGCGTGGTGGCGCATGCCTGTAATCCCAGCTCCTCGAGAGGCTGAGGCAGGAGAGTCGCTTGAACCTGGGAGGCAGAGGTTGCGGTGAGCTGAGATTGCTCCATTGCACTCCAGCCTGGGCAACAAGAGCAAAACTCCGTCTCAAAACCAAACAAACAATCAACAACACGCACGCGCGCGCGCGCGCACACACACACACACACACACACACACACACACACACAAAAGACAGACCAGGAGGCCAGGGTAATAAGATATCAAGGTGAGACATAAGGAATTTGGTAAAATATCGAGGGTGATCAGACCAAGGGTGGAGAATTTTCATTAAACTTAGCAGGATTCTTGCTAAAACTAGAATAAGTGAACCAAAGAAAAAACCCAAGGTCTGGGCTTTCAGTACTTATAAAGGAGGCTGACTAGAGTTGGGTCAAGAAGGTCTTTGTCACTTTAGGCAAGTAACTGAGTTTCCTTTAATGGTGGCAATCTCAACATTCCCTTGGAAAATAAATCCACATCTGAAATGTGAGTGAATTTGGATAAATCATATTCAGAAATCAGACACCCATTGACTCGCAGCTGCTCCAGTATGTGAGAGCTGTCAACAAGGACATGTGCAAGTGGTGTTATACCCTCCTCTTAGGCCTAATCTCCCAGTGAGGTTGGGGATGAACAGGGGCCCAGTCATCTGTTTGCAGAAATGAAACCCCAGGGTGCAGTCAGAGAGACTTTTCCTACGCTATTTCGTGGTACTTTGCGCCATTATCATTCCGTGGGTTCGGTCCTCCAGGCCATGCCTGAATATAAGGTTCTCACTTGCCTGGCCCTCATCTGATTAAGGACAGAAGTACAGGGTCCTTCTTTCTGATCCACTCAGGTCTTTAAAGTTCAAGCTAAAAACTCTTTCCCGGAGAATGCCTCCAAGTGCCCCCCAGCATGGGGGCAAAGAGCAGTTTAATGTACAAGGGGTGAGAAAGAGGGTGGGGAGAGGAGAAATTGCCTCCCCAATCTCTCCTTCCCCATGGAGTCCCTTCTGCGTCCTCACTCCTGGCATTGGAGACCAAGGGGACAGAAGCTGAGATAGGGCCCTGGATTGCCTTCCCTAAAAAGATGTCCTTCAAAGCTTTGCCCAGCATATCCTGTTGCCCCTGAGGTATATAACCCAGGGTGGGTTACCTTTCAGGGTCCCTTAGCTGTGGTACAAATGAGGACCATGCAGTGGAGACTCCATCCACCCTGACAGTTTTCTTGAACCTTGGGGGACTGGCTTGCTGTGCATCTTAGGCTTCTGTTGTCTCTTACTGCCTATCTGTGAACAATAAACCTGATTCATATAACTTGTGGCATGTGAATGTATTCTGTCTCATCTGACTGAGGCAAATAGTAAAACTGCAGCCCAGGATGCTGTGGGTGGAAATGTTCTGATTCCTGGTGGTTAGCATAGTAATGATTTTTGCTATTCTTCCCTCAGTGAGAGTTCTCCTTTGGGATTGGTAATTAGTGATCCTGCTTCATAAAATTGGTATAGCAGCACAGTCTGGTCTGACAGAACCATGACTTATGGGCTAAGAGGGAGGGGCAATGTCCTTCAGTACCCAGTCCAGGGAAGAGAGGTCAGTCTGGGGGTGCAGGAGCCAGACATGCTGCAGGATGTTTTATGGGGAAGGAGGAATGATAAGTGGGACATATGTCACCTCCCCACAGATGTGAATGAGCTGGCTGCATGGATTGAGGCAGAGAGAAAGGAATGTGGAAACAGAGGAGTGTGAAACTCTGTCCCCTAGCTTTGGGACACATATGTGATTGCTCATTCCCCAGGATGGAGATCTTGGGAAATGGACACTCAGACGCTAAGACACCCAAGAGGTTATAAGAAAAGTCTCTGAGGCACTTAAGAAGGAATAAATGTGCATGATGCAGCCCGTCTTTACCCAGCAGTGCAAGAATGTTGGGGTAGCTCAGCAAGAAACCATCAAAATGCTCTCCTTCACAGAAAGACAAATTAGTGATCTCAAGGACAGCTATGGGCAAAAACCAAGAGAAGACATGTTTTCTTGGCTATCTCAGGTAGTTGATGAGGAGTGACAGAACATTCTGCTGTCATGAAAAGAATGGCACAGCCTGGGTAGATTGGCTCACAACCCAGTGTTGCAGCAGATGTTCAGGGTGATCCAACAAGCTACAGGTGTAGATCACCACGCCCACAAGCTGGAATCTTTACTTATTTGGTTGGTGTCTAGCATTCTAGGCTCTTTTCCCATCCAGGGTGGTTTGCCTAAGCTTCCATTGTGCCCTTGGCAGTCAGGACATGAGGCTGGCACAGCCTTGTGCAGGGTGGCCCCGGGCTCATGGCTATCCAACCTCCAGAAGGGGGAATTGGATGATACAATACTGTTTAGATGCAATATTGATGACTTCATAGAGCAGGGCCCTTGGCCCTGGCATAATCAATTGATTTTATTTCTTCCCCTTGGAATAGCCTTTGGCAAGGCCATCGAAAAGCTGTATCGTACTCTGCTAGCCTGGCAGCAGAATGGGGGTCAAATTTGACAAATTTAATCTGACAATTAAATACAAAAGGCTAACTTGGGAGGGGGCAATCCAAGGGCTGGTAGTGGGGCAGCCTCCAAGTGCCCCCACTCCACAGACTGTGGATCTGACTGACGCAGCAGGGGGTTCCTAAATAAGAGATTGATGGCCTCCCCCCATCTGATACATGCTATCAGAACCAATCAGAGGGAGGCCCTTGCAGTTCACAGAATCAACAGGTGCCAACCATGCAGGAGGAGTACTGGGAAAGGGAAGTCTATAGACAAGTGGAAACATTGGCACCCCCTTTAGCCTCTCTGGGAGAGTCATCTTCCCTGGCCCTAACACAAGTTCTCTGTACCCACACCTTTTTAAACTGAAACAGGTGTGGAACCAAGGTCTCCACTGGCCTCAGCCTGGCCCTCTGACCCTGCCCTGAGACTGGAGGCATTATGTACCTGTTAGAGTGGACATGGAGGCAGATTTTAATTTACATGGAACTGCTAGACACTGAGGCCCAAGCCACTGTAGTTCCTGGCCCTGAAGAATGGCATGAATTCCAGGTGGATTCTGGAATTTTGTAGGGTGGAGAATTAAGGAAATGCTAGGTAGGGAGGTGCTTTCTCACTTATGAGTGTGGCCATTTAGCAGCTATGACAGGCTGGTGGTTGGGTTTCCATTGGCTGAGCGTATTATAGGGATTGACCTAATGCAGTGCACAACTTCATGGTGCTTACTGGGCTATGCCCCAACTAAAAGAAACATTTTAGCCATCACAGTAAGGTAAGTCCAGAGGCAAGCACCACCATGTCACCCCAAACCTTAGAAGAGGGTACAATAAAGACAATATAATATCCCTGAGGGAAAGAAGGACATCACACTCCTCATCCAATATTCAGTTCAAGCAGAAGTGTGCGGGCAACCGGTTCCACTTTTAACAGTCTGGTTTAGCCTGTTAAGAAAGCCAGTGGAGCCTGGAGTCTGACAATTAACTATTGAGAGCTAAATGCTGTAGTAGACCTATTGACACTCGTGGCCCAGATATCACCACAGTAATTGAACACATCATGGAGGCTTCCAACCAATGGTATGATGCAGTTATTGATCTGGCTAATGGATTCTTCTCAATCCCTTTGAGGGATAAGGGCAGAGATCAATTTGTATTCACATGGCAAAGTATACAATATACATTTACAGTGCTGCCACAGGAGTATTTGAACTCACCTGCCATATGCCACCAGTGGGTAGGATGGGATTTCGCCACTGTGCTTTTGCCTAAAGTGGTCATGTGCATTCATTACATAGGTGACATCCTTATTGTGGCCCTTGATGATCCGATCACACAAGAGGCCTTGGACTTGATGGTCACAGGGACGTGACAAGCAGACTGGGAAGTTAACCCTAACAGTCCTGGGATCAGCCAAACTGGTGACCTTTTTAGGATCTACCTGGGCTAGAGCTCAGTACTAGATTCCAGATCTGCCCATCAAAATCTGTTACCATTAACTGGCCGACTATGAAAAAGGAGGCCCAACACCTGACTGGTGGACTTTTTGGGTATTGGAAACAACACATACCTTACCTGTTCATTCTGTTGGCTTCACTCCACCAGATACCTAGGAAAGCTGCTACTTTGCATTGAGGGCCCAGGGAGGATGAGGCACTCTAGGTTTTACAACAAGCCATTAGGCAGGCCATGGCCCTGGGGCAGTTAGAGCACACCTCTCCATTTGAATGACAAGTCTCTGTGTTAGGAAATGATGCAGACTGCAGCCTTTGGCAAAAAGAAGAGGCCACTGGGGTTTAAAGGCCTTTAGGGTTCTGGATTAACCACTCCCTACACCCCTTTTGAAAAGCAGTTTTTAGCTTATTGGACCTTAGTGGAAACTGAAAGGCTGACCCAGTACACTAAGGTTGTACTCCAACCACAAGTCCCCATCTTGTCCTGGGTTAACAGGCAGCCTAGATATTAGAACGGGGTTAGCCTAGCAAAGAGGCATCATCAGATGGAAGTAGTATATTCAAGACTGAGCCTGATTAGGAGAAGAGGTAGTAAGCAAGCTACAAGTAAAAATGGCCAGCTCTCTGGCAGGTGGAATGGTGCCTACACCACCTAGGAATCCCCATAGCCAAATGGGGACCATGATTACAGGATGCAGACTCTGACATCTTCTGCTAGTTCACAGATAGCTCAGCAAAGCTGAAGCCTTGAGGGGTAAAATGGGCTGCAGCCACTGTCAACATGAAAACAGGGGACATTATCACTGACAGTGGAGGAGGTCACAGTGCCCAATGGGCTGAGTTACTCACAGTTTGGCTGGCAGTGTTCTGGGGATGGGGAGTGAGGCACCAATCTGTCACTTTGTTCTTTCTGTGGAGCATGGCAGCAGAGGCCTGGAAGCATAATGCCTTTGTTAGCCTTTCTCAAGCTGTGCCCGCTGTGGGAAACCTGGTGAAAAGTTGGATTGCCATCCTGGACCTCAATCTGTGAACAACCAGAGTGACTCCATGTCCTGCCAGTGGTCAAGTATGCCAGCATTTCTAATGGCACAGTGTACACTAACAGAACTCCAACCCTGGCTTACCATGTGAGGATCTGATACCCATCACATTGGAGGGAGCTGAAGGTGCCCTGTTTTAGTTTAATTGGTTTAAGGTGGCAAAATATCACAACCACAAATAACAAAGCCATAGAGAGCTGGTATTTGGATGCACCACACTCCTTTCATTACTTGGATGAGAAGTGCCCTGCCAGTGATCCAGTTCCTCCCCTCTCCTTGTCTGTAGTTCTCAGAATACTGTAGGATGTGCTGGAAATGCAATATACTGAGATAGGGAAGAACTGTCCTGGACAGTGCTTACTTTGTTCCTGTCTCCTTTACAAGGATGTCCTTCAAACCTTTGCCCAGTGCATTCCATTGCTACTCAGGTATATAACCCACAGTGGGCTACCTTTCAGGGATTCTAGCTGCAGTATAGTGGGGAATGTACAGTTGAGACTCCATCCTCCCCAGAAACTTTCTTAAGCCTTGGGGGACTAGCTTGTTATGAATCTTAGTCTTCTGTTGTCTCTTTCTGCCTATCTGTAAGTAATAAACTGATTTATATAACTTGTGGTGTGTGAGTATGTGCTGTCTCACCTGACTCAAGCAATTGATAAGACTCTAGCCCAGGATGCAGCGGGTGGAAACATTCTGGCTCCATTCCTGATGGTCCACATAGTGATGATTTTTGCTAATGACCTCATTTTTGAATCCATTTGATATCCTTTGGTCTTCATTTTACTTCCCTTCTTGATATTTACACTTCCTAAAACACTTCCCGTGGCATCAATAACACCAAACCCTTTTCTCCTTATAAATTCCCACCTGTGAGGCCAACCCCAAGCTTTAAAAGATGCCATTTTTGGCCAGGCGCGGTGGCTCATTCCTGTAATCCCAGCACTTTGGGAGGCCGAGGTGGGCGGATCACAAGGTCAGGAGATCGAGACCATCCTGGCTAACATGGTGAAACCTCGTCTCTACTAAAAATAGAAAAAAAAAAAAAAATTAGCAGGGCTGGTAGCAGGTGCCTGTAGTCCCAGCTACTCGGGAGGCTGAGGCAGGAGAATGGTGTGAACCCAGGAGGTGGAGCTTGCAGTGAGCAGAGATCGCGCCACTGCACTCCAGCCTGGGCGACACAGCATACTCCATCTCAAATAAATAAATAAATAAACAAACATAAATAAAATAAAAAATAAAGGATGCCATTTTTCAGGGCTGGGCACGGTGGCTCATGCCTGTAATCCCAGGTTTGGGAGGCTGAGGCGGGCAGATCACGAGGTCAGGAGTTTGAGACCAGCCTAGCCAATGTAGTGAAACCCCATCTGTATTAAAAATACAAAAATTAGCCCCATTGCACTCCAGCCTGGGCGACAGAGCGAGACTCTGTCTCAAAAAAAAAAAAAAAAGCCATTTTTCAAGTGTTTGTCTTGGCCCTTTAGCCCCTCTCAGTTTCCTATATAATACCTCAATATAATTCCTTATTGGCCTTTCAGTTTTATACTATCTCCTCTCATAGCTGCAGAACTTGCCTGAAGCTATTCCTTATATTGTTATACCCAAGCGAGTTAGAGAAAACACCACACTTTGAGACGAATTAAGAGTCCTTTATTTAAGCCGGCGGCCAAGAGAGGGCTTGACGCTCCAAAATTCTCCTGGCCCGAGGAAGGGGCTCGATTTATTTTTATACCTTGGTTTAGGAAGGGGAGGGGAGCTCAAATGCAATAATTCTACAGAAGTAGAAACATGCAAGAATCAAAAAAAACAAATAGTTACAGAGAAATAAACAATTTAAAAGACAAATGGTTACAAAAAAAGCAACGGAACCAGGTGCGGGGCTCTAAATCCTTCATAAGAGTTAGATATGGATGCTATGCCGGACACAGACTCAAGGCTTTATGTTGTTATCTTTTTTGAGCAAAATCCTGGGAACTTCATACATTGTTCCAGTACCTTGTCAGTTAATTGGGCTCCTTTGAAATGCTGAGGATCTGCTTACACAGGTTAACTGCTTGAGGAAGCGGGTTGGGTAAGGACCCCTTAATGTCTTGTAAATCAAGGGGCCAGATGGAGTTCCTCTGGCTTTCCCAGCTAAGTGAGAGTCTATTCATATGGGAAACAAGGCTAGGTAATTAAAGAGACAAAAAGGGAAAATCCAAAAAATAGGTTTAGTAAATACAAGGTTAGGCATTGCAATATCCTATTATCCTACTCAAACATCTCTACTTGAGCATATTTGAAACTGAGTACTTAATTCCCCTACCCCCAAAAAGGATGGAAAAAATGTTGCCCTCTCACTATTGTTTTTTATTTCTCCATTTATATATTGCTGCATTACAAACCACCAAGACCATAGTGGCTTAAAACAATAATAACTTCATTTTGCTCCCCGATTTGCAGTTTGGGCAGAGTCGGCTGGTCTTTTCTCCACAGGGTGTCAGCTGGGGAATCCACTTTTAAGCTGGCTCACTTGTGTGGTTAGCAAAGTGGAAGTGGCTTTTGCATGGGAGCTCAGCCAGTGCCATGTACTAAGGGCTTTGGTTCTTTTCTCTGGAGGTGGATGACCTGACGGTACACAACTTAGGCTGCTGCACTGGTGTTTATTATGGTCATTCACTATGAAGGAACAGTGGGAGGCGTGCATATCTTTCAGAACTGCACATTGATTCCTGGAGAGGGATCTTGGGTTGTGGGACTTTCAGCTACATGATTAGGGAAACACAAGCCACAGTGTAATGGGGCATGGAAAAAGGCATATTATGCTAACATTAGTCAAAAGAAAGCTTGGAGTAATTTTAATTTCAGACAATGTAGACTTCAGAGCAAGGAAAATTACCAGGAATAAAGAGTGGCATTATATAATAATAAAAGGGTCAATTCTTCAGGAAGATATAACAATCCTTAAAGTGTATACGTTTGTGATGGGCTAAACTGTGTGTACCCCTGCCCTGCCCCCCATAAATTCGTATGTTGAAGTTCTAACCCCCAATATATCAGAATGTGAACATGTTTGGTGACAGAGTCTTTATAGGGGTGATTAAATTAAAATGAGGTCATTAGAGTAGGCTCCTTCCTCCGTCTCCCCCCTCCCATCCTTTTGGATTGGGGTCTCACCGTTTTGACCTCATTCAACCTTAATTACCTCCTTAAATGCCCTATCTCCAAATACAGTCACGTTGAGATTAGGGGTTTGGCACAGGAATTTTGATGGACACAGTTCAGTCCACAACAACCCCCATCCCTAAATTTACTTAGCTTTAAAACAGATACAACCGGCAAGACAACACAACATGAAGTGATTAGCTGACAATGTGGTGCAGCCTCTGGATGCTTAAGGTGATGAAAATATAATTAAGCCTGTCTGCATAGGTTCGAACCTGCCGGCTACAATCCTGTCCCACGTATTGACAGTTGTGAATCTCCCGCGGTGCATTTTCAGACGAGATCGGGCGCGTTCAGAGTGGTATGACCATAGACCCGCAGTGCATTTTCAGCCTCCCTCCTGGCCTATACCCGTCATGCAGACACTAACCAATCCTTAACCAACCTCATCCTGGCCTCTTGATTTGTAGAGTCTTCGCTGAGGGGAGGAGGGCCTTACTCGTGATGTGTAAGAAGAGCAGCAACCAAAGGCTAACGTGAGAGTCACTTTTCAAAGCACCTTTTCAGCAAACAAGAATCAGCTGTCGAGTTACCAGCTCCTGTGGCTCCTTCCCCGCAGTCTCCACCAGGCGGCGCGCCCCAGGAAGCCGGACGCCTGCTACCGCGGGCCGCGTTTCTTTGTGCAAACTCAGCAAGGCCTGGCAGCCTTGGAGAGCAGGCCTTTAGCAAGCCGCGGAAACGCAACTGGGTGCCAGGGTTACTCGTTGCATTTGTGGTGGGCAGAGCTTCCTCCAAGCAGTCAGAGGAAAGCTCTCTGAAGGTGTGTAATTTCGTTTGGTAATTAGCATATAATTAGGTCTTGGGTAGGGCATGGGTCAAATCCAGCGCCACGTTGGACTCAGACGGTTTCAGACAGCTTAGCCCTCATCCTGTTTATTAGGGTCTTATCAGCCCAAGCTCTTCCTTGTCCTTGTAGCTAATTTTAACAGCTCCTTTAGGAGCTGTTAGGAGCTTAGGAAAGCTCTCCGACTGCTTGGAGGAAAGCTCTGCCCATGAGACTGCTCGGAGGAAAGCTCTGTCCACCACTACAGCGCTAAGGATATCGCCCAAGCTCTTTGCTAAATGTCTCTTGGGAAAAAGCTCCTCATGAAGCAGGTAAGACTGATTTGTAGTTTAATGACCTGCAGGTCCCCACATGAACACGAGGAAAGGGACGTGCAAGGCAGTGTTGAAGAAACATCAGCAGGTCTATTTGAGGTTCTCACCAGGTATCTTTCCTGATGGTGGGATGGGAACTTGGGGCCCTGTTGTAATTCCAGATCTGGGAAACTGCTGATTTCTCCTTCCCCCCAACTCTCCATTCCATCTCCTTACCACTCTCGTTATGATAATTGTCCCATGGTGCATTAATTCTTTTCCAGCCTTGTCGTTCAAACACTTATGTTTCCTGTAAGTACCATTAACAGCTTCTCTTGAACTGGTTTCTCTAAAAATTCCTCCTTTACCTTTCTTCTAAAGTGTCGGATCCTTTACCTTTCAAAAACGAGGAATAGGTCTCGTGGCTCATGCCTAGCGAGACCTCATCTCCACAAAAAATAATAATAAAAAAATTAGCCAGGTGTGGTGGTGTGGGCCTGTAGTCCTAGTTACTGGGGAGGCTGAGGTAGGAGGATCACTTAAGCCCAGGAGGTCAAGGTTATAGTGAGTTATGATCGTGCCACTGCACTGCAGCCTAGGTGACAGAGCAAGACCCTGTTCCCCACCCTCTGCAAAAACAAACAAACAAAAAAGCATCCTGATAAACATAGACATGAAATTGAAACATACAGGTGAAGGGTCACAGATTTATGCCTCAGTCTTCTCATCTGTAAGACAAAGACAGCCTCATCACTTTTAATGAGGTGAGCGAATGAGGGAGGAGACCACCCCTCATATTGTCTTATGCCCGATTTCTGCCTCCAAAGAAAGAAGAAGTAAAAACTAAAAAGCAGAAATGAAATCCACAGGCAGACAGCCCGGCGCCACGCCCTGGGCCTGGTAGTTAAAGATTAACCCCTGACCTAACACTGGTTATGTTATCTATAGTTTCCAGACATTGTATGGAAAAGCATTGTAAAAATCCCTGTCCTGTTCTGTTCCGTTCTGATTACTGGTGCATGCAGCCCCCAAACATGCACCCCCTGCTTGCTCAGTTGATCACGACCCTCTCATGTGGACCCCCTTAGAGTTGTGAGCCCTTAAAAGGGACAGGAATTGCTCACTCAGGGAGCTCGGTTCTTGAGACAGAAGTCTTGCCGATGCTCCAGGCCAAATAAACCCCTTCCTTCTTTAACTCGGTGTCTGAGGGGTTTTGTCTGCGGCTCTTCCTGCTGCACATTAAGTGAGGTACACCACTGCATATTACATGGCAGGTGCTCAGTCTCCTCCTTCCACTTCCTCACTGGTTTTCTAGTGAAGAGAGAATGAAGGGGTGGGTTGCCCCTCCACACCTGTGGGTGTTTCTCGTAAGGTGGAACGAGAGACTTGGAAAAGAAAAAGACACAGAGACAAAGTATAGAGAAAGAAATAAGGGGACCCGGGGGACCAGCGTTCAGCATATGGAGGATCCCACCAGCCTCTGAGTTCCCTTAGTATTTATTGATCATTCGTGGGTGTTTCTCCGAGAGGGGGATGTGTCAGGGTCACAAGACAATTGTGGGGAGAGGGTCAGCAGACAAACACGTGAACAAAGGTCTTTGCATCATAGACAAGGTAAAGGATTAAGTGCTGTGCTTTTAGATATGCATACACATAAACATCTCAATGCTTTACAAAGCAGTATTGCTGCCCGCATGTCCCACCTCCAGCCCTAACGCGGTTTTTCCCTATCTCAGTAGATGGAACGTACAATCGGGTTTTATACCGAGACATTCCATTGCCCAGGGACGGACAGGAGACAGATGCCTTGCTCTTGTCTCAACTGCAAGAGGCATGCCTTCCTCTTATACTAATCCTCCTCAGCACAGACCCTTTACAGGTGTCGGGCTGGGGGACGGTCAGGTCTTTCCCTTCCCAAGAGGCCATATTTCAGACTATCACATGGGGAGAAACCTTGGACAATACCTGGCTTTCCTAGGCAGAGGTCCCTGCGGCCTTCTGCAGTGTTTGTGTCCCTGGGTACTTGAGATTAGGGAGTGGTGATGACGCTTAACGAGCATGCTGCCTTCAAGCATCTGTTTAACAAAGCACATCTTGCACCGCCCTTAATCCATTTAACCCTGAGTTTGACACAGCACATGTTTCAGAGAGCACGGGGTTGGGAGTAAGTTCATAGATTAACAGAATCTCAAGGCAGAAGAATTTGTCTTAGTACAGAACAAAATGGAGTCTCCTATGTCTACTTCTTTCTACACAGACACAGTAACAATCTGATCTCTCTTGCTTTTCCCCACAGAGAAGGCCCATGCAACACAGACCTAAACCCCTTTGAGAGGAAAATAGGGCATTTGGTGGAGGGGAGGGGAGGAGTCCTGGCTTGCGGCTATAAAAATGTTTTTCCACTCAGATTATTTTCTGAAAGAGGCTGAGATCAGGCACCTGAGTCACTGAAGGGTTCATGCTAGTGGAGTGAGAGGGCCAGGGGAACAAGGAAGGTGATAAATCTCATCTCTATTTGATAGGAATGCTGGGTAGTCATAGGAGAAACATCAAGCAGTAATTTCACATAACAGCAAAAAAGGAGCTGTTAAAATTAGCTACAAGGACAAGAAAGAACTTGGGCTGATAAGACCCTAACAAACAGGATGGTGGCTAAGCTGTCTGAAACCGTCTGGGTCCAACATGGCGCTGGATTTGACCCATGCCCTACCCAAGACCTAATTATATGCTAATTACCATACGAAATTACACACCCACCAGCGCCCTGACAGATCGAGTACGCCCATATTTAATATAAAAATGGGTGGCATCTCAATTTTATGAAACCTTCGCCTTTCCCCCAGAAAACCTCATGATTAGTCCACCCTCTAATTACAAGAGCCCATAAAAATAGAAAACTCAAACTCTGTTGGGCACGACTCATTCTCATGAGCTCACCCACACTTCCCTAAGTGTGTACTTTTGCTTAGCAATAAAAGCTTCTTGCCTTTGGCTTCATTCTGACTCCTCCCTGAATTCTTTCTTACGAAGGTGTCAAGAACCTGGAAACTGGCTGGGGCTGGGGCTGGGGTCTCACTGGCTTCTGGAAACCCTTCTGAGCCCTCTGGCAACACCTGTAGTGTAAGCAGCAATTCAGTGCTGTGATGCCTCGGTCCCAGACCTTTTTGGCACCAGGGACTGGTTTCATGGAAGACAGTTTTTCCATGGACAGGGGTTGGGGGAGAGGGGAATGGTTTCAGGATGATTCAAATGCATTACATTTATTGTGCACTTTATTTCTATTATTACATTGTGATATATAATAATTATACAACTCACCATAATGTAGAATCAGACGGAGCCCTGAGCTTGTTTTCCTACAACTAGATGGTCCCATCAGGAGGTTATGGGAAACAGTGACAGATCATCAGGCATTAGATTCTCATAAAGAGTGGGCAACATAGATCCCTCAAATGGGCAGTTTACAATTGGGTTAGAACTCCTATAAGAATCTAATGCCTCAGATGATCTGACAGGAGGTGGAGTTCAGGCGGTAATGAGAGTGATGGGGAGCAGCTATAAATACAGATGAAGCTTCACTGGCTCTCCTGCTGCTCACCTTCTGCTGTGTGGTCCGGTTTCTAACAGGCTGCCACTACCACTGACCAGTACCGGGTCAGTGGCCCAGGGGTTGGGGCTCCCTGCTGTGATAGTTAATACCCATGGCTCCAAATCTAGTGGCCCCACGTCAGGTCCTGGTGGGACCTGGTTCAGTTTTGCTTAGGACTCATCTTGTCCACATGAACCATTCCAGCCTGCTTTCTCATGCTCTTATTCTGGGATATCTTCCTAACCCCAGTATATCTGCCTCAGTGTCTCACCCTGTCTTTTTAGAAAAGGAAAAAAAAAAAAAAAGAAAGAAAACGTAAATGAAATTGGTGGAGAGTAATGGCCACCAATCCTATGCCTGACCTGGAACTGGAAACACAAGGCTTTCCTGAAGACAGAGAAACTCTGAGAAAACGGGAAAAGCAAGTTGGTGAAAAGAGCAAAATAAAAGTTTCAGAAGGGACTTTCTTGACATAGCACAGGATGAAGGAGTATCAAAGGTCTCTGTTTGGGCCCTTGGCTGGGAAAGCCCACATTCGCTGAAAGTGAAAGCTGTCCGCAGACATAACACCAAAGGGTTAGGGTAGGAAGCCCCTTTTTATGAATTCAACGGCAGGGATAGGGGTGGGGATAAGGTGGGGCTGCGTGGGTACACCAGGCGCCCGGAAAGCTGCAAAAGGCGTTAGGTCAATATGCAAAAATACTTCTAGGTCAATACGCAAAAATACTTCTAGTGTTGGGAAAGAAATTTTATTGGGGACAGGAAACAAGCGAACTGGCTAATATACTTTCTCTCTAAGGAGAGTAGTCTGACTTAATGCCTTCCTCGATTCTCTCTAAGGGCTTCTGAGGGCTTTGCTTGACTTTTCTCCTGTTTCTGCTCCTGAGCCCAAAGCAGCTCTTAAAGAAAGAAATGTCAGGTTTTGAAGCATGTTTGGTAGATTTGGAAAGGGCAACTCGCAACTTGAAGGGGATTGTTGGAATCAACTGGTTCTAGAGTGAGCTGATCTTAAGAGGCCAAGAGGAAAAAAGAAAAACCGGGAAAGAAACAGTGAAAGAAAAACAGAAAGAGGCAAAACAGTGTAACAACAACAACAACAACAACAACAAAATGGCTGATCACCTGCATGATAAATAAGAAGAGTAGAAGCGTGTTTTCCGTTAGCAGAGTGGCGCAGCGGAAGCGTGCTGGGCCCATAACCCAGAGGTCGATGGATCTAAACCATCCTCTGCTAAAGAAGGGTGCTTTTTTTTTTTTTTTTCCCCCCCCCCTTCTTGAGGAATTACCTTCCACAGTTGTGGGGAGAAGATGGCCTCTAAATATATATTATATATATTATATCTCTCTCTCTCTCTCGCTCTCTCTCTCTTAAAAGTCCTTTCAGAGGCTGTATCTCACTTTTAGATATGTCTTCAGCATGTTCCTTCTCCTTTCTCCAAATGTTTGCGTAACTCCTTTCTTACTCATATCTTATTTGGAAAGGCATATCTTACTTGGGAAGAGGAGGTGACAATTCTCATGTTTACTTCCAACAAATTACCTATCTTCCAGTGAATAGAAAATACACTGAGGTTGAATATAATTTTATATTTTCTTGCACTCGAAGGCAAAACACTGTTACTGACTTTTGCCTGAGACCATTGGTTATTGTAAATCGTTATTGTCTTTTTGCTTCTACGGGAGCCTCCTGCTTCTTTTGCTCTTTTGTTCATCTCTATGCATGATTTATTAAATTCATTTCGTGTACTGTGAATTCTTCTCTAAAGCTATCTGTTACGATGGCCAAAAGACATCATTTATACCCTCCTCCTTCCATACTTACAGAAACTAGACACATGGAATGTTATGAGAAAGAGAAGCAACAATGAAGTTAAGTGTAAAATGGTTGATTCTACTTGGATAGATTTTTTTAAAAAATGTAAATGGTAGAAAACATAGGGGTACATTTAAAGCATTTTGTGAATCAGAATTCCATGGGCAAACTCAGAAGACCAATAATCTTTATTTTGTCTGCTTACCTTCTAGAAGCATTTTAACTAACTTTAAATGTCCAGGCATAAGAGATTGGTTGAATAAACTGTAACATGGACTCAAAGAGGAAGCGCTATGGGGCTACAAAAAAGATATAATTTCTAGGAGATAGTGTTAAGTAAAGAAAGTGCAGATGAATATTATAGTAGGCTACCTTTTTTCAAGAAGGAAGGGGAATTAAGAAAACATACACATACCTGTTTTTCTTTCTGAAAAGAAAACATAGTGAAGATAAACCAGAAAACAGTGAATCTGGCTACCTAAAATGGTGGTAAGAGACTTGGGGGAAATGGAGTGTAAGGGACATGGGACGCCACTTCTCTGAGTTTACCTTTTGTTATACCTTTAACTTTTGAAAGCATGTGAATGTTTTACTTTTTTTTTTTTTAACGGAAGAGGTTCTCTGTGTGAACATGTTGACTAAATACAAAAGGGTTATAAAAGGTCTTTGCTTCTTTAAAATTTCTGAGTCATCGTTTTGGCAAAATAAATAACTTATAGCAATCTGGAATTCCCAAAATCAAACATCGGTTTCAAAAATCTCTTCCCTGGCACCTGGCTTTTTGAATACTTCAGCGGGCCCCTGAAGTGTCCAGAAAAGACAGGTAAACAGGATTATTTGACACGTTTAGGTACATGGGATTGCCAAAATGATGCTCAATCTTCTTTAGGCTATATTTTTGTGAATAATACTAATATATATTTCAAAATTGTATGGGATTTCTAAAATAGTATAAGCTATTAATTATAGTTATGTTAAGTTATTGTAAACTGCAGAAACAACCAAATTTTCTTGTATAAAGCTACTAACCCAAGTAAAACAAAAACTTAATTAAATATCAAGAAAATAATTTCATGTTAAACCAGCTAATACTGAAATTGTTTAAAATAGTTTATAACCAATGCTTGATGCCATATTCCTGGGAAAACAAAGCTTCAGATATGTTTGGTCACGTGGTCGCCCATTTAAACATTTTATAAAGGAATTTTATTCATTTGTTATTTTCTTTTTCTGTTTATTTTTTCTTTTTAAATGGTTTCATTTTATGTGCAAATAATGAACAGATGTTATACTCATAAATTCTACTTTCCAAAAACAGGAGCTTTTTAAAAGAAAACCATATAATAACTTTTAAAAGGCACTGGGATTCCTCTGCTTCTAGAACATTGCTAGGCTAGAAAAATAAAGTTTGTTCTACCAGCAGTCACAAGTTAGAACTGAGTATTCTCCAAAATGGAAATTCTAGAGTGTAGTGTCACTCCAGGCAAAGATTATTCAGTTCTCATCCCCAATATCCACAACTACCTATCAGAAGGGTTAAACCAGGTCAAAACAGTCCAGAATAATTAGGCTTCATCAAACAATGTCATTGTGCTCTTCTAAGATACAAATAAACCAAAACAGGAAATACTAAAATCAAAATAACATTTGACACTGTTATACAAATTGTTAGTTCCTTGTTGTATCCCCCCTTCTGTAACGTTAATAAACGGAATATTTTATTGCAAAGAATATTTTATTTTATACATCACTAGCCATGAATTTTTGCCATTAGTTGTTATACAAATGCTGCCTAGTGCCATTATCCAAATAGCATAACCATTTTACATCCACAATTCACTTCTATAGTTAGAAGTAGAATTTTCATGATTTACATACGTACATCTATCAGTGAAGATTTAACACTGAGATGCAATCTAACATTCGTAATATCTGATGTTTTGCAGATGTCAATGTAGGAAAGATATGTTTTAATCACTTTTCATTTAAGTGACCTTATGTAAAAAATAAACTAATAATTTAGCAGTTCCAAGTCTGTAAAGGACATTTTCAAATGTACATAAAAGAAATGGTTACAGAGATTTTTAAGATGTGTTTTCCATGCCTACATGCTCTTGTAACTGCTGTACCATTTTCTCTTCCAGCTGCTTCTCTTTGCCTGCAAGAGGGGCTTGAATAAGATGGATGTTTTGCTTGACTTCTTTGATATCCTGAACTTTCTGTAGCTCTTTATTTTTATTCAGTCTGTTCATTATAAATTTAGCTTGGCATTTCTGTTTGATTTCTTCAATTTGCTTCATTGCATCAATAGTTTTATTCCATAGCTCTCGCTGGTATTTGATAGGTTCATTTCTACGTTTTTCAAATTCAAATGAATTATCCACTGTAAGCTCTTTACCAGCTGCATTCTGGAATGCTTTGATCCACCTAGCTTTGCGAGGACTGCACTTCTTTTAAAAGTTTTTATGACATTTAGATTTACAAAATCTGAACAACTTGCAATTGTTGTGGACGAACATCATGCCGTGACCAGGGTAGATGGGCCCTGAACAGAAATAACACTTCTCAATACACATGTTGAACCCACGTGGGTCCCCACCAAGCAAACACCAAGCTTGAGAGCTCATTTGTTATTTTCAGTGCATGTTTTCTGGTTGTATAAAAGGTTTCCTATGCAAGAGGGCTGATGTTATAACAGTAGATTACTACAGTGTATTTTCAACAGGCAAAGAAAGCTTTTTATGATTTGAATCTTCTAGAAGCATCAGAGAAAGACTGTTCTTGCCATTCACACTACAACAAAACTTTGGGATCTTGAACTTTGAGTTCATAATCTCACAACTGAGAAGGGTCCCTCCAAGCTCTTGGAGCTGTGTGCCCACTGGAACCCTTAAGGTAAAATTAACCAAAGAAATTTCTCCCAAGAGGAGAATGGCATCCTTACTATGAACAGCTTTTCTCACGTTCACAGATTAAGACTTCTACTGTCGTGAAACTTATCTTCGAATATTTTTTGTTGCTTATGCCTCTACAAAAAAATAGAAGTGGAAAAGGTGTCTGTTATGTGCACTTATGGTGTATACTCTTACTTGCGAAGGAGTTTGTAACCAGCTTTTTAAATGGGTAAACTTATACTTTGATAGATAAAAGATGAAGGCCCAATGTAGGTAAGAAACTTTAAAGGTACATGCTTTGCCTCATAATCAAAAACAAAACATTGGTTCACTCCTCTTAACCCACATCATGGGTTAAAGAGAACATTGCCAGAAGGCCTTCACTCTTCTAAAAAGGCATCATTTGTTAGGTCCTTTTTCCATGGTTTAAAGAAAAAGAAGCAATGATTAGAAATATATCCCTCACAATAGGTTCTATAGCAAATTCTACTGTAAAGGCTATAGTTACACAATAGACTCTAAATTACCTTGTGAAAGTTATGATAGAATTGGCTAAACAGAGAAGTATCTGTGCAGCTGCTGGCACTTGTGGCCTATGGAAAAATACGTCAAATGAAGATTACAGAAATTCAGTGGTAGAGGATTGACAAAGAAATTGCTAAGTCAAGTGAGTAAATTCTTTATCTAGCTGATCCTTTGATCTATTTGATTTTAAGAGGTTTGGTTTATGGGGACCTTGGGTAAGGAGCACACTCCAAACTCTTGGTATCATCCTCCCAATAGTCATAATAATAGTCTCCCTGGTGCACTGCATTCCCTCGAAGGTTTTAAATGCTTGCATGTAGCCATCTCCAGAATGTCAAATGGTCTTTCTTCAGCTGGAATAACAAGAGCTGAAGGAAATGTGCAACCATGAGGACCCCTTAACCTATGAATGATGTGCTGAGACCAGAAGCCCAAAATGATGGTAACTGAGAGCAGCACTAAGGCCCTAAGTTTTGGTTACACTCTCACCTGAGAACCTGACCAAAAAGGGGAAATTTTTTTAACAAAATTCTGGAAGGCCATTGTTTCGGACTAGGCTTATGCACTAGGCCCCAACAAACCAAACCAAACCAAAAGGGAGTCACTTCTGCTAAGACTTTAAGGAAACACATAGATTTCTAGAACAAACCAGGTTTTGTTTTTTCTCCTGCAAACCTCTATAACAAACATTTCTGAGAGCATAGGTATCCACCCCCGAAGTTCCCATTAAATCTTTTAACCAAATTCATTTCCTCTTGCTTAGAAATCATCAAGCTTCAGATGATCATGAAACAAAGGTTCCAGCCACCTCCATGTGAAGACACCACCCCTGGCCATCAAGAAGCTACCTTGCCTTCACTAGACAGAACAGGGAGAGAGTTCCATGATCCACAATAGGTAGGGACTACGCCCCAAGGTAGCATGAAGCAGTTACAGAAAAAAGACCATCAGTCCCTCTGCCTCCCATAAAGATTTATGGGGATCACATCTCTCAGGGAGGAAATGAGACAGGAAAATAAGGTCTGGAGGCAGGGAACATAAGGCCAATTCATACTTCAGCTATAAAAGGAAATATCCTCTCCATAGGGCATATGCTGTAAATGACTTTGTAACTTTACCTCATCCTGTCTGTTTATATAGGGCTTCCGAAGTAACAAATAAGAATTCTCTAGGGGTTAAACTCCTGAAAATTCTGTAACGGGGCCTTTGAGCCCCTAGGTTCAGGTCCACTCCCACACTGTGGAGTGTACTTTCATTTTCAATAAAACCCTTAATTCCTTCATTGCTTTGTTTGTGAGTTTTGTCCAATTCTTCGTTTAAGACGCCAGAACCTGCACACCCTCCACCGTTAACAGTTACCTAAAATGGTGTTGGTGGTAAGAGACTTGGGGGAAATGGAGTGCAAGGGATATGGGAGGCCACTTCTCTGAGTTTACCTTTTGTTAGACCTTTAACTTTTGAAAGCGTGTGAATGCTTTACCTTTTTTTTTTTCTTTTTTTTGAGACAGAGTCTGACTGCGTCACCCACACTGGAGTGCAGTGGAGCGATATGGGCTCACTGCAATCTCCGCCTCTCAGGTTCAAATGATTCTCTTGCCTCAGCCTCCCGAGCAGCTGGGATTACAGGCACGTGCCACCTTACCTGGCTAGTTTTTGTATTTTTAATACAGATGAGGTGTCACCATATTGGCCAGGCTGGTCTTGAACTCCTGACCTCAGGTGATCCACCCACCTCAGCCTCCCAAAGTGCTGCAATTACAGGCATGAGCCACCGTGCCCGGCCAACCTACATTTTCAAAAACTGTTAAGTAAGGATGGGTAGTGGAGAAAACTAAGGTTGAAAGCAAGTTAAAGCAAATGAACTCAATTTTATTCCATAGTACGACTACATGGAAAGGAAAATAACATAATTTGTGGACAGGGCATTTGACAGTACACCTTCACTCTTTGGCCAAGAGAGTGAGGATGGTAAGGAGACAGGGGTGTGTGTATGGAGAAATGCAAACAAATCTTTAACTCTATTTATTTATTTGGTTAGTTGTTACAATCACCTACTGAACCTCTTTTAATGGATAGTTTTTGTTAGTAGATGGGCAAAGCAATTCCAAAACTATTGTATGTGTATTATATGATACAGCAGGTGAGTAAATATGCTAATCTTGTTGGAATTAGGGGTCTCAATGTGGAAAAAGGGACACATACAAATATAGAATGGGAGAATATAAGAAAGAATCCTGAAGAGATGAATGGATTGAAATGGGAGGTATGGGTGTGAGCTCATGATTTTTTTTATTTTTTATTATTTTTTATTATTTTATTATCATTTTATTTTTTTTTGGAGACAGGGTCTCTGTCCCCCAGGCTGGAGTGCAGTGGCGTGATCTCGGCTCACTGCAACCCCCGCCTCCCAGGTTCAAGCGATTCTCCTGCCTCAGCCTCCCGAGTAGCTGGAATTACAGGCACATGCCACCATGCTCACCTAATTTTTTGTATTTTAGTAGAGGCGAGGTTTCACCGTGTTGCCCAGCCTGGTTTCGAGCTCCTGAGCTCAGGTGATCCATCTGCCTTGGCTTCCCAAAGTGCTGAGATTAAAGGCGTAAGCCACCTCACCAAGCCGAGCTCATGATTTCTAAAATATGTATATGTATTTGTATGGGCATGAATACATGCGCATATGTGTATATATGCACATGCACATGTGTAAGTATATATGATTATATGTGTATACATGCACATGTATTTCCTAGGTGTTTCCATTAAAAGGACCAAGAAGCAAATATCATAGAAGCAGTTAGTACACTATGCCCCCGGATATTCCTCTCTAATACTCTTCCCCACTGAAAGAAATCAGGAAAGTACTGAGAAATGGCTGAATTTTGGGCTGGGGCAGGGTAGATGCAAATTAAGTCTGGAACAACTTGTTATGCAGAAAATAAGAACATGTTCAAAAGAATGATTGTGGCACTTTGGGGGGCCGAGGCAGGCGGATCACAAGGTCAGGAGATCGTGACCATCCTGGTCAACGTGGTGAAAACCCATCTCAACTAAAAATACAAGAAAAATTAGCTGGGAGTGGTGGCATGCGCCTGTAATCCCAGCTAATCGGGAGGCTGAGGCAGGAGAATCCCTTGAACCAGGGAGGTGGAGATTGTAGTGAGCCAAGATGGCACCACTGCACTCCAGCCTGGCGACAGAGTGAGACTCCGTCTCATTAAAATAAAAAAAAAAAATGATAGTAGCAAGCTACAAGGATCCAGAGGCCACTCGAATGGTTTTCCACTATGAGCAGGTACAGGCAAAGCAACCTCCAAAGTCCCAGGGAGATGAGAGGCCAAACAAAGTTTGACAAATCCAGTTTCTCAGAAAGAAACATTTAATAAAGACTTACAAACAGAAACCACATCTTGGGCTGCAGCCCGAGAGGGTGGATCCCTGCACTCACCCTGCAGAAAGTATCCTTTCTATAGCAAGCTTTTAGGGTAAAATATGAACAGCTGATTACACCTCAGACTGTCTCGCAAAACCCATGGCCACTGGGGAAGTTAGATAAGCAATTTTATGAGGGGTTATTCATGCTACATACATTGTTTTTGACCTTGCTGCAGAATACCTTGGTATGCAGGAGTCAAATATTAGTCATTATGATTGTTTTACTTCAAGATGGCTTTACTCCTGCAAGGCAAGAGGCTATGTTCCCAAAAAGGGGCTCTCCCTAATTAAATATGGGTAAAGTTGAACATCAATATAATTAAGGACAATAATGAGTTATAAATCACTGGGGAGAAAAGATTCCATGAGTCCATATCAATGATAGACATTTAAGTAAAATGGAGAAAAGGGAGGACTCTTGCTTAAAATAGAATGTTGTGTGCAGACTAGTAAATAAGTGGGGAAGCCAGGGAACACTTTATACTTTGATGATGCTCCCTTAACCTGCTGCATCTCCACCGTCAGTTCTCACACTTGACTTCCAAGCATGAGCTATGGTGAATTTTTTTTCTGCCCAAACTCCACCTCCCACAACACTCTTTAGCCCTCTCCTCTGCCCTCACTTTATTTGCTTTAGTTCAGTTCTCATTCCTCCGATCTCAACTTGACTTTAATGAGGCTTCTCTGGCTTCCATTATCTCAGCTTAGCTGCCTCCATCTATAATTTCTCAGCACCCAAACTGCCCTCATCATAACACCACACGTTTTAGTTTCTTTTTAATGTCTCTCTCTTACCCTCCAGCAAGCTATCCCAGTGCAGGGACCAGTCTTGAGATCTTGTTCCCTTTAGAGTCCCCATTGCTTAACACAGTGCCTAGATCAGGATAAGAGTTCATCAACACTTTGCTGGGGGTAAGACTTTCACCTAGTTATGATCTTCACCAGAACCCAGGATGGCTCAGTTTTACATTTTGTCCCAAGGCTGTCTGCACTGGTTGTTCCCAAATTTCTTCTCTCCATTCTTCCTTCTTCACTAATCCCAACCCTGCTTGCTTTTAAAGGGCACGTGTTTAACCATGATTAAAATAGAAGAGCTTGTGGAGTCACTGAAAGATGGGAACCTGTTTGCATGGTAAGGATTGAATTCACGATGGAAAAAGGTTCTCGTTCACATGATTTTTGGCCAGTGTCCTCTGGAGAAAGAGATCCACACGTGCGATTCTATATTTAGTTGTATACATTTAGTCGTTATTTGCAGAGGCCTCATCTGCTTCAGTGACCAGCACCTGGAGGAGTTATCAAAAGTTTGTGGAAATGAATGGAACATTTTGAGGCCTCACCCATAGTAAGCAAAGACTTACAAGGAACCTGTTTTCCATTCACCAGCCATTTCATTCCCAAGGCTTCACAAAGGAGAGCTTGTCCTCTCAGTAATCCTGACTCCTTTCCACTTCTCAGAAAGACTACGTTCTGCTGTCCACATCGCTGCTTTGCTCAAGGGAAAGTCTGGCCAGGGGCTGGGGGGTGCAAGGCCCTGGTAGTGCAAGTAGACATCTCTCTGAAAAGCTGTCATTGTCACATTGCAGGTCATGCGTTCTCACATGCGCTGCATTTGGGAAACTGACCTTTACTTCCCCAGGTCACACCAGCTGGGATGATTTTCACCTTTGGTGTTGGAAAAGATTTTTCGTGTCTTGTTAGTTTTAGACGAGAAATATAATGAGGTCTCCCCATAAAAGTCTGAAATCTTCCCATTTGTTAGGATCATTCCCTTGCCACCTCCAGGGTTTTACAGTTTGGAATTTCAGGAGGAGAAATTCACTCTCTCTCCTGCCTCCGTGCTTGCAAGTCATGAACAATTCTTAGCCACCCTCGTTCTGGGTTTGTTTGGCGGAGAAACTCAATGACGGAAGCACATTCTCACCTGTGCTGTTCTGATGAGGCTAAAATCAAAGACTTTCTCAAGTGTGTGTTTCTATTTGGGGCAAACTTCACGCAGAAAGTCTGAATTCTGCAGGGACCATTTTTGTTTTGTTTTGTTTTGTTTTTGCTGCTAACCATCTGAGTTCACGAGGCAGTGAGCCTTCTTACAAATGAACTACATTCCCCAGCATCCAGGTTTTACTTTTAGTTTTTAATGAGAAAGCAGAGGTAATAGAAAATCAGAAAAAACTCTCTCTTTAGGAAATAAATCAGCTTATAATTAAATGTAAACCATGATGCAACCTCAAAAGACCTAAATGCTTTTGAAAACCAGTTATGGTGGTGTCAATTTCATTTGAATGCTTATAAGCAAAAGGAATTTAGGAACTAGAAAACTGATTAGCAAATTACTAATCCTGTTGAAACAGCAGTCCCAAGTAAAGTTACTTTGATTGAGCTCGGTGATAATTTTTTTTTTTTTTTTTGAGACGGAGTCTCGCTCTGTCACCCAGGCTGGGGTGCAGTGGCGCGAGCTCGGCTCACTGCAAGTTCCGCCTCCCGGGTTCACCCCATTCTCCTGCCTTAGCCTCCGGAGTAGCTGGGACTACAGGCTTCCGCCACCACGCCAGGCTAATTTTTTGTATTTTTAGTAGAGACGGGGGTTTCACCGTGTTAGCCAGGATGGTCTCGATCTCCTGATCTCGTGATCCGCCCCCCCTTAGCCTCCTAAAGTGCTGGGATTACAGGCGTGAGCCACCGCGTCCGGCCGTCGGTGATAATTTTTTCTGCTGCATTTTCTTGCCATTCATTGTAAAGTTAGAGGAATTATCTTGTCAAATTGTTTCTGTGAGATTGTTTTCTCAATCAGAATCATATAGGTTTCCTTTTTTTTTTTTTTTTTTTTTGACAGATTCTCACTCTGTTGCCCAGGCTGGAGCGCAGTGGTGCGATCTTGGCTCACTGCAACCTCGGCCTCTCGGGCTCAAGCTATCCTCCTGTCTCAGCCTCCTGAGTAGATGGGATTACAGGTGCCTGCCACCACGCCTGGCTAATTTTTGTATTTTGGCAGAGACAGGGTTTTGCCATGTAGCCCAGGCTGGTCTCGAATTCCTGAGCTGAGGTGATCCACCTGCCTCAACCTCCCAAAGTGTTAGGGCATGAGCCACTGCTCCTGGCCTCACAATCATATAGGTTTTCAAATGGCATCAAGATTTATAAAACTTGGGCCGGGTGCGGTGGCTCACGCCTGTAGTCCCAGCGCTTTGGGAGGCCGAGGCGGGCCGATCACGAGGTCAAGAGATCGAGACTATCCTGGCCAATATGGTGAAACCCCATTTCTACTAAAAATACAAAAATTAGCTGGGCGTGGGGGCACGCATCTGTAGTCCCAGCTACTCGGGAGTCTGTGGCAGGAGAATCGCTTGAACCCGGGAGGCGGAGGTTGCAGTGAGCAGAGATCGAGCCACTGCACTCCAGCCTGGTGACAGAGCGAGACTCTGTCTCAAACAAACAAACTTGTCTGATAACTGTGCATAATTATAAAATTAGTAGCGTTCAGCTTTGGCTCTGGCTGAAAATTTTTTTAAAAAACACGGTAGTGAAAGCAATGGGTGTCACTAATTGATTAATTGTACTTATTGTCATCCTTTCAGATGTATCACTGCTTAGAATGAAATTTACCCACACAAATTCTTAGATTCATGCATAGTATAAACACATCCATGTAACTTTAGGATTTGAAACTGCCATTTAATCTTTAGGTATTTAGCTACAAGTTATAAACAAGCTTGCTGTGATTCTAGTGCTTCTGACAGTTTCAAACCTTAAATGTAGTCCTCAATATATCTTAAAAAGAGCACAGTGACAATATTTTATCATTGGTTTACTTTGTGCATGGGCAGAAAAGGAAATAAAGAAAACAAAACAGAGCTAATGGAAGAAATAGAGAAGGAAAAGGGAATAGTGGGATAAGGAAAGAGAAAAATAGGAAGGCCAGACTGCCCTTGAGGTGTGGATCATGAAAATCAAAAGATGCCATTGAGAGATTAACCCTTGTTTTCAAATTAACCATTCTTTTCAAAATTAACCTTTGTTATACAAACTTGAGCTTTATCATATTTCCAAATATCTGTTTTTCTTTTAAGAAAATTTTTATCTTTTAGCTTGGCCCAACTTTGGGACATATTCCAAATATCTCAAATGAATGCCAACGTCACCAAGGTCTGTTTGTGACCTATTGTTGTTTTCTGGATCTCTTCAAAGCCTGCAGGGTTCCCAAGGAAACTCTGCTGTGCTTAATGGCACCAACATCTTCATTATGAGTAAGGTAACTAACCACTGGGCCAAAGCATTGGAATCCGACTCCTGGGGTTTCTGCACTCCAGACTACTGGTTCACATGTAAGCTCATCAACAGCCTAATGGGTTCTTAGTTCTTTACCAGAAGCTGGAAACTACAAAATGGAATATTTGAGTCTTCAACCTCTATCTCTTTATCTCTTTATTCCCACGTGCCTGAAAATGTTGAATACCGTAGAGGAAGAATGCTTTCGGGATATAAAATGAATTTTAAAAACTAATCAAAAGATCCCAGGCTGCAGTGCATTGGCAAGATCTTGGCTCACTGCAGCCTTCGGCTCCCGGGTTCAAGCGATTCTCCTGCCTCAGCCTCCCGAGTAGCTGGGATTACAGGTGCGTGCCACCGCACCCGGCTAATTTTTTTTTATTTTTAGTAAAGACGGTGTTTCACCGTGTTAGCCAGGATGGTCTCCATGTACTGACCTCGTGATCCGCCCGCCTCGGCCTCCCAAAGAGCTGAGATTATAGGCTTGAGTCACCGCGCCCGGCCTAAAGGTGATTTTAAAATAAATTGTGATGGCACAGCTAACTTTACCTATGAAGGAAAACAAAGGTAGACCTCTCAAGTGTGTAAGAAATTAAGTTTCAGATAGATTACTGATTTAAATACAAAACATAAAACAACAACACATGCAGAGGAAATTAATAAGATAACTCAGAAGAAAAAAATATTGACTTGGAAACTGTTACACAAGACATATTTGAGCAAGAATGGATTAATAAAAATATGCTTCTATGAATGCCTTCAAAATCATAATAAAAATACAAACCATCTTAAATCAAATGTACACAAATAGGAAATTTACAGAAAAAAATGTACTTGAAAAATAGAAACGAAAGAGTCTGAGCATGAGATGACAAGGGAGTTGCTTTGTCCTATTACGATATTATTTTCATCAAAACACTGTCTTTAAGCTATTTTAATCCCTTGGAATCTTTAAGAATTGTAAAAATATTTTTGTGCTTTCACACATTGTTTTCCAGTGGTGTTCTAAAATGTTTCTTTACAAATTTAAATCATTCTAAAGAATGTAATTGCCAGCATATGATGAAATACAAATTAGAAGTGTCTAATGACTCAGTGAAATTTGTGTATTGGAACCTAAAAGCTAACAACCTGGCATGTACTAGGATTCTTTAAAAATATACTTAGCATAATTATATTTAACAGTTGAAAACGTGCATAAATTCTTTTTCTATCTTTAAAAGATATTTCTATTCCATATCTTCCATAGAATTTTAAGCCCACTATATTACACGTTTATGCTTAAAGGCTATGACTGACTGATCACTCCATCATAGCATTCTGAAACAGATTTAAAATTGATATATAATTTTTAGCCCCTACCAGTAATTATCTGTATTTTAAGTGTTTTTCCTCTGGCTTTAGTTGTTTTTAAATTTAATGGTGGTATTATGTAATCAATAAAAATTAAGTATATAATATTTGATAAGTACTTATAAATATATAAAAAATAAAATTGTGTTGAAAATATATCATTTATAATGCCTTACAAAAAAAAAAAAAGAAAATACATCATTTAACAAAAGGGATAAATCTTCCCACACACCATTTAACTCGTGTGTTTGTGAATAAAAGCTCCAGGATGGAATGAGAAAGGTGTGTAGAAATTGCATGATTGCCTTTATATCACAGAGAAGTCATACGACTGAAACTTGAAACAGCAGACTGGGTCCCACCGAGATTTGAACTCGGATCGCTGGATTCAGAGTCCAGAGTGCTGACCATTACACCATGGGGCCAAGTTCTTAGCGATTTTCCCTGAATTCTTTCATGACCTAGTTCTTCCTTTCTAAAGTCTGATGTGGTTTTCCAATGTCAGCACACCCCACCCTTCGCACCCCAGACCTTTCCTTCCAGGGGGTTCAGAAACTTGGTGCCCCCTCGGGCTTCTGTTTCTTCACTGGAAAAAAAGTGAAGTCGTCGAACAAAACCGAGCCCTTATCGTGTGCCAGGTTTTGTGACTAGTGTTCTGTATTGTTACCTCATGGAACGCTCACAGTAACCTGGTGAGATGCGAACTATTGTCTTTATTTTACAGGTGAGGAGCCTGTGAGAGACCTGAGATCTTTTATTCTGCTTTGTGATCAGATCCTATTGCTTTCACAAAAAAACGTCGTTTATTAGGGGTGGTGTATGGCGCGTTTGAGGACGTGCGTGGAAAGATTTTCCCAAGTTGCAGAGGAGACGTTGGTGTTTACGGAAAACTGAAATAAGTGAACTTGCAAGACAAGACTGGAGGAAAATCCCAGCATTCCTGGGAGCTCAACTGAGGGGGCGAAGGGAAGGGGAAAAGGAATGCCCCTCGGGAGTTTCCCGGGATAGCGCGCGGCCCCACGGGCTTCCTACTGCCGGCTCACCAACGGGAAATATGCGCAGGGGAGACTCCCAAACGGACACAAAAAAGATTCCTCATCCCTGCTTCTCATACCCCCTTTTTCGCACATACACAGGAGCCCATACTGTGAAAATCCACCCCCTACACCACAGCTGATTGCTGCGATGGGTCTCTGGGGATGTTCTCAGTCGGCCCTACCCTAGCATCTTTATAAACGCCTCCTGGTGGCTTTTAGCTGAGTAGGAGCGCCACGATATTCAGTACACATTTAGAAGCGAGCGCTTCAGCAATTTCCTTGTGGTAGAGAGGAATGCAGCTCTGCTCCAAGTAGTTTAACCTAGATTCGACGCCTGTTCATGGACAGCGTGCTTAGTGCAAATTGAATGTAACAGTTTGCAGGTTGGGGTTGGTTTCCGGGATTTCAGATTTTTAAACGGACACACCGACACTCTGGAAGTGGTCTTCGAGGACCGCATGCTCCCTCTTGTGGATGACAACAGTTCCCAACGCCAAACAAACAAGAAAACCACAACCCAGTAACTCTCCCTGCAAATACAGGCTTCTTTTTATCAGGATTCCTGCTGGATTTCTTTGCAACGGAATTTTTGCAACTGGCTGTCATTAGGCAAAATCTTTAAATTCAGTGTTTTCTGGAAAGCTGGGTTGGGAGTGTTCCTCAATCTTAGACTAGGTCTATGAGAAACAAATTCACCGTCCAAACCCAAAGAATGGACTCAGAGACCCGGAGAACAGCAAAAGTGAGAGTTTAACGACGATCTTGCAAGATCGGTTGTCTGATGAGCGGGCACACCCAGCACACTTTGAACAACCGATTTATCCCGTGGTGCGCAGGTCCCTCCCCGGGTTCCTCACAGGGTGAGTACTATGGGGTCACAACCTTCCCGGATGTCGCCTATTGATTGTTGGTTAGAGGCTTTAGGTGTTTCTTTAGGGTTGTCTTGCTGCATTTTGTTGCAGCCCACAATGCATTGCAATCCTAGTTAGCTCGGGGGCTCTTTAAGTATTTGACTTATGACCTAAGTAGCTGGGCAGGCTGATAAGAACAGACAAAACGAGCAATGTTGCAGGCTAGTAAACTTTCATCTTAGACTGAACTTTGGTTCGGGTGAGGGCGACTAAGAGGCGGGGAAAGAGAGGCGAGCCGATAAGCAGGCATCGCTATCCAAGCAGGGGCCTAGTGTATCCTGTTTCTTCTATAATTTGCTTACCTAAGACGATTTAAGGCACTTTGTCTTGGAAATGGACCACTGTATACATGATTTCCTTTAGGTCGAGGATGGTCAAGGACAGTCCTGTTTGCACAGAGGTGGCAGGAAACTCTCAGGAGAGAGGATAAAAATCCTCCAAGGGAGATTCCAAATTTTCAAGCCGTGGTGGAGACAAGAAAAGTTCCTTAAAAAAAAAAAAAAAAAAAGTGCTTACAAAGAGGATGATTTCAAACCTGAGTGGAGAAAGCCCCATAGATTTCTTGTCCCTGGACATAACCAGCCAGACATGAATATACTAGTTCAATCACATTTTCCAATGCCAAAGAGGAAAATAGTTCCTTTTTTTTTTTTTGAGACAATCTCCCTCTGTCACCCAGGCTGGAGTGCAGTGGCACGATCTCGGCTCACTGCACTGCAACCTCCGTCTCCTGGATTCAAGCAATTCTTGTGCCCCAGCCTCCCAAGTAGCTGGAATTACAGCTACCACACCCAGCTAATTTTTGTATTTTTAGTAGAGACAGGGTTTCATCATGTTGGCCAGGCTGGTCTCGAACTCCTGACCTCAAGTGATCCACTGGCCTTGGCCTCCCAAAATGTTGGGATTACAGGTGTGAGCCACTGCACCCCGCCCTAATGTTCTTGACCATGTGGGGTACCTGATAGGTTAAAAAAAAAAGAAGTGCACCACGTGTAGAACGGTGCCTGTGTCTTGAGCAGCGACTTCTGGGTTAGCATAAAGAATACATCTGTGCTTTTCCTGGGCTATCTCCTATAGCCTTCTCAGACTCTCACTCTCAGGCCAACTGTGATGAGAGCAGCAAGTTGAAATTCTATTGACCATGGTGAGAGTAAGTGCTGGGTTCAGAGGTTACCGTCTCCTCCCTGTATTCTCAGAAAGGACACAGGATTTATTAGCTTAAATCTTTGCTTATAGGTAGCAATTAAAAATCTTCAATTTAATCCAGAATGTTTAGTTACTACCTTCCAGAGGCTAGGCTGGTGTCAGGCCCTGGGCTCCCTACAACCGATAAGTACCCAAACTAGGCATATATGGACTTCTGGACCACCAGCCAAGAATGTAGTGAAAGGAACCTTTCTTCCAAGGTGAATTCTCTTCCAAAAATGTGAAAATATAGTGATCTAATCACATACCTCCCATCCCTATTTTAGCTATTAACTGAAAGCCCTCATTAAGATACTGTCATAATTGAAATTCATCCCCAGGGAGACTTCTGCTCCAGTCTTGGGTGAAGACTTGTTCATAGAGTGAATGTAGACTTGGGATCAGTGAAGGAAAAAGAGTGAAAAGAAACTTGTGAAGAAGCAGAGCAGAAAGATGTGCAACCAAATGGAGACAGGCTACCCTGGATTCCAGGTTAATCAAATCACATTAGATAAAAGTTTATGCACTCAGCAAGTATTTTTGAACGAACATGAGCCAGGCAAAATGAAACTGAAAAATGAAAGGTGAAAAAGACCACAGTACTGGTCTCTCCCCTAGGAGAACTTGCTGTCTAGAGTAAGAGGGAGAGCTTATTAAATGAGAATTAAATTATGAGGTGGTGTGAGAAGGAGATTGAGGGTGTTGAGGAGACATAGATGGGGCATCTAAGCTCCTATAAAGGGAGCCCAGTGAAGGCCTCAGTAAGAAGGTCTGGAAGGTCTAAGTTAATATTTGAAGAATGAGTAAAAGAACTAGCTCTCATAACGTGAGGGTAGAGGGGAGAACAAAAATGTGTTGCAAGTAGAAAATGAGAAGAGAGGGAAAAAACAAAGAATAGAAATAATTTTACCATGGCCGGTGACTAAAAGCTAATTTTGGGCTCTGTGTGTGGCAGGAATGGTGATGGATGAGGCTGGAGTTGTGTGCAAGTTAGGGTAGCAATCACTAAAATGCAAAAAATCTATCTCAAGCAAAAGGGAAAGGACTTGTGTGAGAGTCTCTAAGACGACAGCAAGGCCTGTGTGCTGATGAGCTGCTGCCAGCAGTTTGACAGTACCATGCCTATCAACTTAATCAAAGTGCAGAGGCTTTACCAAAAATAAGTCTAAGAAAGAACTTGAGAAATTTGCAACCAGGATAGGATGAGGTAGCCTGACCATTTGCTAATCCAGTACACTTTTCATGTGTGGGCTTGAATCCCATCCTCACTGAAAGTGTTCCATGGAGAGTGAAGCCTGGAGGGACAACAGTACCACTACAAGTTTGTTAACCTCAAATCAGATATTTATCACTTCTCATGTTAGATACTTTTTTTTCCCAGAGATAGAGTAATGTGGTCATTCTTTTAAAAACAGGCATTTCTCTATTATGCACACATACATGCCTTTCTAGGAATCAAGACATGGGGAGACATTTCAGACAGGCGCCTCTGTCCCATCTGTGTCTGGGAACAGGTTACAGAATTAGGGAGTTGTTCCTGGTAGTGTTGATTGTGCACATGGGCTTTGCTTCCACAGGTGGTCTCACACTTCTGAGGACTGACATAGATACTACTGCTAAGAAGATACTATGATGTATGGTGGACTGGATTACAAGGAATCACTCTAGTTTTAAGAGACAAGATAACTGGCAGAAGTGGGAAAAAAAAAAAAAAAAGAGCCAAGAAGGTCCCACCGAGATTTGAACTCGGATCGCTGGATTCAAAGTCCAGAGTGCTAACCATTACACCATGGGGCCACCTATAAGCCTGCTTATGAAGTTTTTCTTCTGACAAATATTTATCCCTGAGTCACTAGCTCTTAACTGCTAAGTATGAAATAATGGGTTTTTAAACAAAACTGTACTGCCCTCTACAGGAGTATTTTGGAAATGCCTGGGTGTTTTGCTTGTTTCAATGACTGGGGCACAACTGGCTTTCACAGGTCAGAACCAGAGATACTGGGAATCTTGCAATGCTCAGGACAATACTGCATAAAGAATTAACCATAGGAGTGCACAATTTTTGCAAAACGACCTTGGATCTTTCATCTAGGTTTTCTGGGGCCTTTTCTAATAGTAAAATCCGTGCTTCCATCCTTGTTTGTACTCTCCCACTGAATCATCCTCTCACATACAATTACAATGCTGTGTAGGACCTTGTTAGGATTTTGACTTTTATTCTGAAATGGGAAGTCACAGTTTCTGGTTGGATGTCCTGAGAGACTCACCTTCAGAATCTTGAGCTACTCTATGACAAGTCTGACCACTCTGAAGCCACCATACTGTTAAGTAGCTCAGGCCACACATGTAGATGCTCTGGCTGGTAGTCCCATGCCACAGCCAGCATCATTTACCAGCTATGCGAGTGAAGAGGCTTCCAAATGATCCCAGCCTTCAGCGGTTATCCCAAGAATCACCCTAAGCTGGTGAGTTTACACCTGATGCTCTAGACATCTTGGAGCAGAGGTAGCAATCCCTGCTGTGCTCTGTCCTATTTCCTGACCACAGAATCCATGAATATAATAATATGCTTGTTTTATGCCATCAAGTTTGGGGCTAGCTTGTTATGCAGTAATAATAACCAGAAAAACTCCAGAAACAGGAATTGTATCTATCTACAGTGAAAAGAAAATAAATATCAGGACCCCAAATCACTAACATAAAGGGAAAAGTCAAGCTGGGAACTGTGACAAGCAAAGCTGCCTCCCATTTTACTCCTAAATAAGATAGTTACAAAGTTTTATTTTATTTTATTTTATTTTATTTTATTTTATTTTATTTTATTTTATTTTATTTTATTTTATTTTATTTTATTTAAAGCTACATACCTCAGGCCGGGCGTGGTGGCTCACGCCTGTAATCCCAGCTCTCAGGGAGGCAAGAGGCGGGAGGATAGCTTGAGCCCAGGAGTTCGAGACCTGCTGGGCAATATAACGAGACCCCGTTCTCCAGAAAAAGGAAAAAAAAAAAAAAGACAAAAAAAAAAAAAGCGTAAAGCTACATACCTCCCTCACAATTTGCCCACAAGGAAATTCTTTGTGGACCTCAAGATCTTTACCCTAAAACAGTTCTGTTGAATTTCACCCTGGCAATGTAAGTTGATAGCTTATCTTCACAGAGGCAGGACAGAAAGTCATCCCTCTGTTCACCTGAGACAAATGCATATCTGATTGCTTCTTCTGCCCTATTGTTTATGTAAAAATGCAGATTCACTAAGTGGACTAAGGAATAAGTAATTATTTCTCTATCCATCCTCACATGTAAATTGTGTATTAAGGGAAAGGCTAATCAGAGACTCAAAAGAATGCAACCTTTTGTCTCTTATCTACCTATGACCTGGAACCTTCCCCCTACCCCACATTTTGAGTTGTCCCTTTCCAGACTGAACCAATGTACATCTTAACATATTGATTGAAGTCTCATGTCTCCCTGTATAAAACCAAGCTGTGCCCCTACCACCTCGGGCACATGTCATCAGGAGCCCCTGAGCTGTGTCATGGACACGTCCTTAACCTTGGCAAAATAAACTTTCTAAATTGATTGAGACCTGTTTCAGATACTTTAGGTTCACACTACTCTCTCAGTGTTGCCCAAAAAGCCTGTCTCAAATTTTTTGCCACCATAAATAATGCCTTAGTGAATATCAGTGTTCATGTTTCCTTTGTTATGTATCTTCAAAAATGGTGTTTACAAAATTGTTGGCCTGGGAGTCTGAAAGAGTGGGATAAAATGCGGAAAAGTAAAAAACTTTAAGTAGATGATTAAAGAAAATTCCCCCAAAGATACCCTCTATGTGCTATGTACTGTTATTATATGAAGCAATAATAAGACATTTGTTGGGTATCATTCACTCAGTATTGCATTTAATGCACTGGTCTTGGTGATGGGGTACAGCTGAGACCAATACTCCTTTATTAGAATTTATCCCTTTATGCATCATTGTACAAGAATATCATTTGCTTTCCTAGATCTAGATCTTAGCAGGGGCAGAGCCATTTTCTCTTTTTTATTTTGTGGTGCATTTTTTCAGCAGCTATTTAGAAAATGTGCAGGTTTTTGAGGCTCTATGTAGGAATCATTTTGGGCTAAGAGCCAAGAAGGTGAACGATGAAGCTCAAAACTTCTTACCCACCCCATGGCTGTCTTTGCTCCCACCACTATGGCCTAACCTGCTGTTCCCAGAACATGCTAAGCAGAGCCTGCCTCTGGTACTTTGCACTCATAGTTCCTTCTGCCCCAAACAGCTTCCCCCAGGTAGCAATATACTCTCTCACCAGTTTATGCCAATGACAGTTCAATGAGACCTCATTTGTATGCCCTCCTTAAAAATGCAATCTCCAGCTCCCTATCCCCTTTCCTGCTGTATTTTTATCTAAACCACTTATCAAGGTGATGACATGTTATGGAATTTAATCCCACCTCAAAGTACCATAAGAACAGGAATTTTAGCAGGCTATTTTCAGCGTGTATTCTCAATGCTAATATATTGTCTCTCATATATTAAGTGCTCAATAAATGTTTTTTTGGTTAAGTAAGTTAATTTCCTTTAAGCTGGCTGATGGGGTCATATAGAGGTAAAATTACTGGCTCTGAGTGATTTTCCTCACTTATAAATATAATTTGCAGTAATTTCTATATTATTCTTTTCCTCTTAATGCATGGTGATAATTATTTCCCTGTTACATATGTCTTTTTTGTTTGTTTGTTTGTTTGTTTGAGACAGAGCCTCGCTCTGTTTCCCAGGCTGGAGTTCAGTGGCGCAGTCTTGGCTCACTGCAACCTCTGCCTCCCGGGTTCAAGTGATTCTCCTGCCTTAGCCTTCTGAGTAGCTGGGATTACAGGCATGTGCCACCATGCCCAGCTAATTTTTGTAATTTTAGTAGAGACGAGGTTTCACCATGTTGGCCAGGCTGGTCCTGAACTCCTGACCTCAAGTGATCTGCCCACCTCGGCCTCCCAAAGTACTGGGATTACGGGCATGAGCCACCATGCCTGTCCTACATATATCTTATTCATTGTCTTATTCAATCATACAACTTCCTGATAAAATGAGGCTGATTTTCACCCCTATTTTGCTGTTAAGGAAACTGGTATAATGAGTGTCACTGACTTGTTTGTGATCACACAGTGGACAAAATGGCATTTGTTTCTTTGTGGTGATCTCACAAAGGTCAAGATGACCTTAGATCCTCAGTTTTGGCTGTTTTTTTTTTGTTGTTTTTTTGTTTGTTTGTTTGTTTTACACCAAGGAACCAGGTTCTAGCTCCTATGTTTGTTCATTGCATGGAAAGGAACAGGAAGATCTGGGGGCCACTGAATGGAAGGTTAGATCCATTTTCTTGGTTAAGCTTGTAGGTTTTCTCGTCTCTTTTCCTTCCTGCAGCACAATTCTTATGAATGGCAATATCTTCTATTAAAATTCTCAGTCTGTAGTCTTCTTGTCCATACAGAAAATAGATTTCAGGTCAACACATTTGATAGTCTGGACTGTGCTAACTGCTCCAATATTTGAGTACATCTTTTGGGGATGTGGGAATTTAGTGTTGTAGGCCTCAAGTGGGGTTCGTTCCCAGAATTTGGAGAGGCTATAGAAATATAACCTGGTTGGCCAGGCACGGTGACTCATGCCTGTAACCCCATCAATGTGGGAGGCCGAGGCAGGTGGATCACCTGAGGTCAGGAGTTCGGGACCAGCCTGGCCAACATGGAGAAACCCTGTCTCTACTAAAAACTTTTAAAAAATTAGGCGGGCGTGGTGGTACGTGCCTGTAATCCCAGCTACTTGGGAGGCTGAAGTAGGAGAATCCCTTGAACCCGGGAGGTGGAGGTTGCAGTGAGCTGAGATCACACCATTGCACTCCAGGGCAACAGAGTGAGACTCCATCTCAAAAAAAAAAAAAAAAGAAAAAGAAATATAACCTGGCCATAATATAAGCATAAATAAAATAGATGACATTCTTTCAAAGCTTTTCTTAGCCTCTTATGTTTCTCAGATATTAAATAATCGGGCCAGGCACAGTGGCTCACGCCTGTAATCCTAGCACTTTGGGAGGCCGAGGCGGGCAGATTAACTGAGGTCAGGAGTTCAAGACCAGCCTGGCCAACATGGTGAAACTCCATCTCTACTAAAAACACAAAAAATTAGCCAGGTGCAGTGGCACGCGCCTGTAATCCCAGCTACTCGGGAGGCTGAGGCAGGAGAATCGCTTGAACCTGGGAGGTGGAGGTTGTGGTGAGCAGAGATCGTGCCACTGCACTCCAGCCTGGGCGACAGAACGAGACTTCATCTCAAATAAAAATTTAAAAAAAAAATAGTCAAATGCAAAATAAAGTAACATTCCAGCAATTTAATGACAGATATTGAAGCCACCTTTGCAAAATTATGACTGAGACAGAGAAAGAGATGGAATTTAACCAACTCCGTCTTGCTTCTAACCTCCAAGCCATCCTTGTTCATTCCTGGGTGTAGGCTGAACTAATTTAGGGAGAAACTTAGTTTGTAGTTTATAGTTTAAACAAAGATGGTAACAGCCCTTTCCCAAAGCAGACCTCCTTCTTGCCTTGGGACTGGATTGCCTTTGTAGGACTAACATTAGCCACAAGATTAAAAATTATGGCAGCTGGAGGCTACAAGATTCTAACCCTCCCTAACTGCTCCTAAGATCAGTGCTTGAGATATTTTGCAGACGCTGCACTCAAGATGGGTCAGATAGCACCACCCAGATCTATTAACTGGCTCATCTGATCCTGTAGCCCCCACCCAGGAACTGACTCAGCACAAGAAGAGAGCTTCAACTCCCTATGATTTAATCTCTGACCATTCAGCACTCCTGGCTCACTGGCTTCCCCCCATCCACCAAGTTATCCTTAAAAACTCTGCTCCCCAAATGCCCAGGGAAACTGATTTGAGTAATAAAACTCCAGTCTCCTGCACAGCCAGCTCTGTGTGAATTACTCTTTCTCTATTGCAATTCCCCTGTCTTGATGAATCAGCTCTGTCTAGGCAGCGGGCAAGGTTAACCCCTTGGGTGGTTACAATATGTACATGGGAAAGTGGTTGGCCTGCTTGGAATTGGAACAAAGGCAAACTAAGCATGATGATTATCAATGAGTTGCAGCCCAAAACCAACCAAGGAAGGACTATTAGTTCATGCTAGATTGCCTGTGTGGCTGTTTAAGACAGGATTCCACCAACAGTAAGAGAGACAAGTTTTAATCCCATTCAAAATTATGAAACTATTCCTTAGTAACCAGGCTGTTTCATTTACTTTGATTTGTTACTTACTAAAGCAATTTCTGATTAACAATTTGTGGTCAGTTCTAAGTCCAGGCACATCTTCCACTATAATTAACACAATGAGTTCTAGCTTTACTATTTTCTTATAAGTTTTGTTATTGTGAATATATCCTTCAGATGCAAGCATCCCAATAAAATCTCTGCTTGAAAAGGCCTGGTGCAATGGCTCACGCCTGTACTCCCAGCACTTTGGGAGGCCGAGGTGGGCGGATCACCTGAGCTCAGGAGTTTGAGATCAGCCTGGCCAACATGGTGAAACCCCGTCTCTACTAAAAATACAAATATTAGCTGGGTGCGGTGGTGTGCACCTGTAGTCCCAGCTACTTGGGAGGCTGAGGCATGAGAATCGCTTGAACGTGGGAGGCAGAGGTTGCAGTGAGCAGAGATTGCACCACTGCACTCCAGCCTGGGTGACAGCGAGACTTCGTCTCAAATAAATGAATGAATGAATGAATGAATAAATAAATAAATAAAATTCCCACCTGAAGCATTCCATCAGTACATCCAGGTTATAACAACCGACACTCATGGAAACATTGCAGAGGAAGGCAGGCTAGGGGAGAATGTCAGGTTTGCAGGACCTTCTTTGGTATGGTACAAATGTGTCCCCCAAAATTAATGTGTTGGAAACTTAAGCCCCAGTGCAACAAGGTTGGGAGGTAGAGTCTTTTGGAAAATGTTTAAGTCATGAGGGCTCTGCTTTCAGGAATGAATTAATGCTGTTATAAAAGGGCTTGACAGAGGAAGGGAGTTCATCCCTTTTTGTCCTGCCATAGGAAGACATAGTGTTACTCCCCACAACCTTCCCCCAAAGACACAGGACTCAAGGTGCCAATTTGGAAGCAGAGACCTGGCCTTCAGCAGCCATGGAATCTTCTAGGACCTGAATCTTGTACTCCCAGCCTCCAGAACTGGGAGAAAAATAAATTCCTTTATAAATTACTCACTCAGATATTCCGTTATAGCAGCACAAATGAACTGACGTTGCTTAAGGTTTTCTAGCCTTAAATGCTATGATTATTCAATTATAGCTCATATCTTGTAAATATGTTCTGAGACAGGCTGAAGAGTAAGTTCTTATAAGGGAACATGAGGTTGTAATGAAAAAAAATCAATTTAGAAAAAAGCTTTTATGAAAGAAGTTGAGGACTGTACCTACGTTAAGCATGAAAATAACAAAAACAAAAAAATACCCTTATTCCTGACAATAAGCCAAAATGTTCATTTGAGAGAAGTATCACCTAGAGGGTAGACAATAAAGCCCTGTTGAAGGATACGTATGCTCTCTTATTCTCCTGTTATGAAATAAAATCCTCTTCCAGTCTTTTTATATTTCTTCATGTCAAATATCCATTCAGGCCTACTCCTTCTTATAATTTAATACCTACTAATAAAATTTTAGAACATGGCCTTGCAAATAATTTTTTTTTTTTTTTTGAGACAGGATCTCACTCTGTCGCCCAGGCTAGAGTACAGTGGCTCGATCTCGGCTCACTGCAACCTCCACCTCCCGGATTCAAGCGATTCTCCTGCCTCAGCCTCCCGAGTAGCCGGGATTATAGGCGCGAGCCACCATGCCTGCCTAATTTTAAAAAAACTTTTAGTAGAGACGGGGTTTTACCATGTTGTGTTGAGCAGGGCGGTCTCGAACTCCTAGCCTCAAGTGATCCGCCTGCCTCGGCCTCCCAAAGTGCTGGGAATACAGGCATGAGCCACCGCGCCTGGCTATACATTTTTTTTTTTTTGAGACGGACTTTCGCTCTTGTTGCCCAGGCTGGAGTGCGATGGCGCCATCTCGGCTCACCGCAACCTCCACCTCCCTGGTTCAAGCGATTTTCCTGACTTAGCCTCCCGAGTAGCTGGGATTACAGGCATGCGCCCCCACGCCCAGCTAATTTTGTATTTTAAGTAGAGACGGGGTTTCCCCATGTTGGTCAGGCTGGTCTCAGACTCCTAATCTCAGGTGATCTGCCCACCTCGGCCTCCCAAAGTGCTGGGATTACAGGCAGGAGCCACCGCGCTTGGCCCTATAAAATCCTAATTAACAAAATCATTCACACACACACACACACACACACACACACACACACACACACACAGATGTAAGGGCATGGTCTCTCTTCCTTGAAGCTACGGAATTACAATTCTCCTTCACAAAGACAGTCAAAGGATGTGATCTGATGTGTTAGATTTTCTCTCTCCTGTTCAATATGGAGTTTTGCATCTTAGTTTCTTTGGGCCGCTATAAGAAAATACACTAAACTAGGTGACTAACAAATAACAGGATTTTACTTCTTACAGTTCTAAAGGCTAGGAAGTCTAAGATCAAGGAGACACCATATTCTATGTCTAATGAGGCTCACTCTCTGCTTCATAGATAGCATCTTCTTGCTGCAACTTCGTATGGTACAGGGGGTGAACAAGCTCCCTCTTTTATAGGGGTACTAATCCCATTCATGAGGACGCCATCCTTATGACCTATTCACCTCCCAAAGGCCCCACCTCTTAATACCACCATAATGGGGATTATGCTTCAACACAAGTATTTGTTTCTTGTTTTTGTTTTCAACATAAATATTTGGAGGGTAACCATTCAGATCATAGTAGTACCAGTATCCAAAACTGCCACCAAATAGTTTGTTGTAAGTTAAGATAATTGCAGAGCATCACTTAACTTGAAAAGCATTTTCTAAAATGTCCAAATATTAGACACAGTTGAATATCCCATAGATATATATCTATTCAGTGTGCAATTTTGATTCATTGGCTTATTTAGTTATATATTGTGACGGTAACAATGCTCTATTTGGGCCGGGCGCCGTGGCTCACGCCTGTAATCCCAGCACTTTGGGAGGCTGAGGCGGGCAGATCACCTGAGGTCAGGAGTTCAAGACCAGCCTGGCCAACATGACGAAACCCTGTCTCTACTAAAAGTACAAAAATTAGCCGGGCGTGGTGGGGCGTGCCTGTAATCACAGCTACTCAGGAGGCTGAGGCAGGAGAATTGCTTGAACCCCGCGGAGCTTGCAATGAACCCAGATCACGCTATTGCACTCCAGCCTGGGCAACAAGAGTGAGACTCCGTCTCAAAAAAACAAAACAAAACAAAAAACAATGCTCTATTTGACATATCTCTTTTTAACTGGTGACAAATACTTGTAAGAGTCTAAAAGAGACTAATAGTACTTTCTTTTGCTTTTTCTCCCACATGGTCTGACCAACAAAGAAAACTCTATGACTGCTAGATTAACAAATAACTTCAGAGTCTGCTCATTTAAATAAATGTTATTTAAGTAACATTTAAATAAATAGTGTTAAATTGGCATCTGGAATTATGTGTAAAATATTTCAGAATCTCACTTAGTAAGTCCTTCTCAGATTATATCTAGTTGTTTTATCCTGAAGTCCTCATTTTGAGAAGCCTGCCGTGATACAGAAGGAGGCCACTGGTGTAGCATAGTCACAGACTACTTGCTCAGCCCCGTGGGTGCTCCCTTCTGCCTACCCCTGACTTTAGCCACACCACAATATTTCTGCGTTTTTGAAGGTGACACCCATTTTCTTATTGCCCAGAATGCTATTTGGCACTCTTCCCACTCCCACCCATAATATTATTTATTCTGTGCTCCTTAGGCTTTTTATTCATATCTCTACTGCAGCATTTATCATCTTATAATGTGTGTTTTACTGATAATCAAGTGAAGTGATTCTTTACGCTATTTTTTTTTATGGATGGACAATACACACATAGGATTCAAAATTCAAAGACCATAAGAAGTTACAATGAAAAGATCCTCCATCCATCCCTGTCTGTAGGACATCCAACTTTCTCTTTCCTCAGAGGCCACCACTGATAGCAATTTATCCAGTATCCTTCCAAAAATATTTTACATTTATACACACACACAAACACACACAAAATTCTACTGCACATTATCCTGTATCTTGCTTTTATTGCATTTGACAGCAAATTTTGGAAATCATCCCATTATTAGCACCTGGAGAAGCCGTATAGTATACACTGGTTATAAATAGGGATTCTGAAACCAGATTCTGGTTTTGAATCATGTTTTCACTACTCATTACCTGTTACCAACCTAAGTAACAAACATAGAGGCTCTCTAAAGACAAATACATTTATTTGGGAATAAAGCATTGTAATGGGAATCCATATGCTATAAAGTACATGTGTATTCAAGGAGGTAAAGGAAGACAAAGGTTTTTAAAGAAAAAAATAAGGAGGGTTACAATAACAAGGGCGATGCCAGTCCAAGGTTGGGAAGGCAGTTGTTGGACAAATGGTCTTGTAGAAGTATTTTTTGTGTGTGTAAGGTTTTGATGGCCTGTGTTTATGGTTGTGGCTCTTACCATCTTTTGTGATAGTTTTTGTTATTAGGCATACAAGCGTGAGAACTTTCTCTTTATGGCTTTTCTTGGCTCTGTGTCAGGATTTTCTTAACATTAGTGATTTCATTTTGATTGACAACTTTCCCACTGTACAATTTCACACTTTAGGCAATTTACTCGAGCTCTCTGAACCCCCATTTTATGATCTGTAAAACAGGTATAAAAATAGTAATTTTTCACAAAGTTGTTATGAAAGCTAAATGATTTAACATATGTAGAGAGCTTTTTAGGACATTATCTGGCACATGATAAGCAGTAAATAATTATGAAAAAGAGCCTTCTTATTTTTTACTAGATAGAATGATGTACTGTAATTTATTGCTAATCAGTCAAATTGCTTCAGTCTTATACTACAAACAGTGCTGCTGGAAACCCCTGCATATATTATTTTGCATATTTTCAAAAATAGTAAATTCCTAGGGGTGAAATTTCTGATGTAAAGATAGGTGCATTTTAAAATTTTGACAGGTATTACCAAATTTTCCTTTATGAAAGCACTACCAATTTGTGGGGCCACCAGCAATGATTGAGAATTAAGGTCTGGGAGGCTTATTCAGGATTTTCCATTCCTATAGCAGAATACTATGACTGGCCTATGGTGAATAGTAGATGCTTAATAAATGTTAGTAAATTGGATGGTAAATAGTATACGAAAAACAGTTGGGTTTGGGTGAAAACAAGAAAAACTTTTAAAAATCTACTCTGGCATCTTTTGCTAGCAGGCATTGACAATTAGGAGAAGGCAAGGTGTTAACTTTTACTGATCTCCCACTTTTTTTTTTGAGACAAGGCCTGGCTTTATCACCCAGGCTGGAGTGCAGTGGTGCGATCTCAGCTCACTGTAAACTCCGCCTACCAGGCTCAAGCCATCCTCCTACATCAGCCCCCTAAGTAGCTGGGACAACAGGGGCGCGCCACCACTCCTGGCTAATTTTTGTGCTTTTTGCAGAGACGGGGTTTTGCTATGTTGCCCAGGCTGGTTGCGAACTCCTGGGCTCAAGGGATCCGCCCGCCTCCACCTCCCAAAGTGCTGGGATTACAGGCATGAGCCACCGCGCCCACCCCTCTAGTTTCCAGTTTAGTCGGAAAGATTAAAAACGCCAGCCTTGTTTTCCTAGTGCTGTTTTTGGTTTTTACCTCGGGTCTTTTGTCGTGCCTTAAAATCATGTCTGGTTGCGCAAGTGAGGGAAAGGATTGGGTAAAGGGGGCGCCACCGCAAGTTGCTGTGCAACATCCAGACATCACCAGACCCACCACCTGGAGCCTGGCCTGGCGGTGTCAAACGCATTCTGGTCTCATCTTTTTAGAAACCCGTGGATGCTCAAGGAATTTCCGGATAACGTGATCCCGGATGCGCTTGACTGACTTACACGGAACGAGCAAAGCGCAAAGCAGTCCCTGCTAAGGACTTAGTTTATGCCCTCAAGCGCAAAGGTCGGACCCTCTATGGTGTTGGTAGCTATATGCACGTACCTCATGTACATTTCACCTTAAATGGCTTTCAAAGAGCTAGATTAATTTAGTGGATAGATCAAAATGATTTATGACCCCTCGCCCCCCAGTGATAGGAAGAGCGAACCAGCTCTTCTTTAGATAATAGTGAGTGGCTCTGAAAAGAGCCTTTGGGTTGGACAAGAGCTTGAGAATTTACTTGGAGCTGGTGTACTTGGTGACGGCCTTGGTGCCCTCCGACACCGCGTGCTTGGCCAGCTCCCCCGGAAGCAGCAGGCGCACGGCGGTCTGGATCTCCCTGGAGGTGATGGTCGAGCGCTTGTTGTAGTGCGCCAGGCGGGAAGCCTCGCTTGCGATGCGCTCGAAGATGTCGTTGACGAAGGAGTTCATGATTCCCATGGCCTTAGAAGAGATGCCGGTGTCGGGGTGGACCTGCTTCAGCACCTTGTACACGTACACGGAGTAGCTCTCCTTGCGGCTGCGCTTGCGCTTCTTGCCATCCTTCTTCTGGGCCTTGGTCACCGCCTTCTTGGAGCCCTTCTTCGGGGCGGGAGCAGACTTGGCCAGCTCGGGCATAATGAAACAATAGTGGCAAAACCAAAACAAGAAGTCGGTCTCCTCTTTTTATATAATAGTTTATGCGGCCGAGGTAGTGGGAAGGTCTCTGCTGATTGGTAATTATCCGTGGATGACGACAGATGCCAGTTTTGCCCAATCAAAATAGGTATCCTGCATAATCGAGTCCTATTGGTCTAAATAAAAATAAAACGTAAGCCAATCGCACAGCTTCCTTTTCGCGCCCAGTAGAGGCTATAAAATGTACGTTTTTCTAGTTTCACTTCAGTCTTTCTTGACCGTATAGATAATAGGCCTTTTGCCATGTCTGGGCGTGGCAAGCAGGGAGGCAAAGCTCGCGCCAAGGCCAAGACCCGCTCTTCTCGGGCCGGGCTTCAGTTTCCCGTAGGCCGAGTGCATCGCCTGCTCCGCAAAGGCAACTATGCGGAGCGGGTCGGTGCTGGAGCGCCGGTGTACCTGGCGGCGGTGCTGGAGTACCTGACCGCCGAGATCCTGGAGCTGGCTGGCAACGCGGCCCGCGACAACAAGAAGACTCGCATCATCCCGCGTCACCTCCAGCTGGCCATCCGCAACGATGAGGAGCTCAACAAGCTTCTGGGCAAAGTCACCATCGCACAGGGTGGCGTCCTGCCCAACATCCAGGCCGTGCTACTGCCCAAGAAGACCGAGAGCCACCACAAGGCGAAGGGCAAGTAGAAGCCTGGATTAGTTTGCAGCAACTCAATCCCAAAGGAACCAAAGGCTCTTTTCAGAGCCACCTACAATTTTGTGGAAGAACTGAGCACTATGTTTAATGTAATTTCTCGTCTTTGCCTACTTCTAAACCACTCCAAAGGTTACGTAGATCAGTCTTCGGTGTCTTGGTTAGGTAGTGACAATCTCGTTAGCTTTATAAAAAGCCTGGATAACATTAAAAGTATTAAACACGCCTTCATCTTAAGCTTAGTGGAAGAAAATTTAGTTTTTCCTAAGCTGGCATTATCCAAGTATGTTGAATTCTGTATGGTTCACCGTCGGGTTTTACTTTTAGTCTGTTGAAGCAAACATGTCTGCTTTGGGGCCAGATGTTTTCTGGGTCTTGGTAAATAACAAACCGGGCATTCGACGTTCAATCCAAATCTAGATCAACGACTTGGATTCTTCATTTCTGAGAAATATCTCTCGAATCTGTATAATTAATTGCATTTGAACATTAATGATTGAGTTGAGAATAATTATTAGACTAATTAGAACAGTTACTTATGGTGCCAGGTAGTTCTCTTTGAAGCATTTTCTGAAAATTCATTGAAATTAAAATTTCCCGAGCTTTCCCACCCCCAGCCACACAAATTGATTTCTTAGTACAGAGATGACTTAATTTGTTTCAGCATGGTAAATTCCACTTTTAAAATATCTGACTTGATGTTTTTAATCTGAATCAGATCTGGATGTACGAATGGAATAGATTCTTAAAAGAAAATGAATTACATTTCTAGAGTATTGGAAAAATAAGCTGCAATGGAATTACTTTAATCTAAAAGTGAAAAGTTCACATAAAGTTGTTTCTTTGACATTTTTTGGCCTTGAATTTCTCACATGCGAACCAGCTTTTCTTGGTTATAAAAATAGAAGTTTTTTAAATTTAAGTGGTCAAAAGATAGAAAATTGAGGGGACAGGTGTATAAGGCTGTCCTGTCCAGTATTGCAGCCACTAGCCAATTGTGGATAGTGATCATTGGAAATTCCATAGCATGAATTTTATATAAAATACACATTGCATTTGGAAAAGTCAGTGCCAAAAAGTGTAAAATACCTAACAATTTTAATTTCGATAACATTGAAATATGTTGGCTATATTGGATTAAGCAAAATATTAAAAATTAATTTTTCCTTGTTTTGTTACAATGTTCTCCTAGATAAGTGTAAATTACTTATATTGCTCTCATTTCCACTGGAAATCGCTAGTATAGTGAACAACTGTATAGCGAAAATAGAAAATAAAATATGGAGACCATGAACTGCTAAGTCTGTCAGAGGAATAGGTGAACAACAAAAATTTGAGTCCTTCGCCAATCCGGTTACTGTTGGGTAGGCCTTCAGCATACTTTTGTCCAATCAGCTTCAGACTCTCACTATAAATAAGCGGCTAGCTTTCTCTTTCTCCTGAAGTGAATCTAGCTCTGAAGGCATGGCGCGTACGAAGCAGACTGCTCGCAAGTCCACCGGCGGCAAGGCTCCGCGCAAGCAGCTGGCCACCAAGGCGGCTCGGAAGAGCGCTCCGGCCACCGGCGGTGTCAAGAAGCCCCATCGCTATCGGCCTGGTACAGTGGCTCTCCGCGAGATTCGCCGCTACCAGAAGTCCACCGAGCTGCTGATCAGAAAGCTGCCTTTTCAGCGTCTGGTGCGTGAGATCGCGCAGGACTTCAAGACCGACTTGCGCTTCCAGAGCTCCGCGGTGATGGCGCTGCAAGAGGCATGCGAGGCCTACCTGGTGGGGCTCTTTGAGGACACCAACCTGTGCGCCATCCACGCCAAGCGGGTGACTATCATGCCCAAGGACATCCAGCTCGCACGTCGTATCCGCGGCGAGAGGGCTTGAGTCTCAAGGACTCACTGATTACATACCCAAAGGCTCTTTTCAGAGCCACCCACATGCGCGCTGAAAAGATCTGTTTCTCTCAGGAATTCTTCCTGGTACTTGTTTTGCCTGTAGTAGATAGGGCCCATTTCCAGACGTTATACAATCTGTTTCGTAAGACTCAGCCTATCCCTTTTTGAATGCTAATTTTGGGAGTCTTAACATCTAATAATGTCCGGCATTTTTCCGTAAGCATTGAGTGTAGCCAAAAGTTCCTTCGTGTATTGCTCTCCCATCTCCGCAGCCCGGTTTTGACCGGATGGTGCTTCTAATTTTCTGCTAACCTGTACTGTGGTGTGTGTATATTTCTTGCCAACACGCCAGAAATAAAACTAAGGTTGTACTGAAGTTGGAAAAATTCAGGTTAATGTAGCTCATGCTGGCTAAAGTGAAACGTTCTCTCCCCGCCCCCCGTTCCTAAGCAGTGTTAAGTTTTCTTTGAATTTTTTCAAGCCGGATTTTGGGCCTGCTTAAACCACTTAAATGTAGTTAATGACAGATGGTTTGAGGTTTAAAAGTCTTCTGGAGAAAGCCCGCCAGAGAACATTCCCTTTGAAGCCCCATGTAAAAATACGTGTGGGAGAGAAAGTGTTTTCTCTGACTTCTGCTGACAGTGGCTAAAACTCTGAACTGTCAGGAGTATTCAAAATAAGACTGCCTTGTAGGTAAGCCTGTGGTAGTTTTTTTGAGCACAGGATAAAATACTTGAGTCTTTGCTTAAATGTTACTTTCTCAATGAGGCTTTGTATGACTAAATAAAATCTGTATAATCCCCACCTATTTTTTTCACCCTAGAATTTGTCACTATATGCTGTACCAGAGTTTGCTGATGTATTGCTTGTGTGTTCTAAAATACAGGCTCATGAGAGGAGGAACTTTTGTTTACTCGCATATCTCCAGTAACGTAGGAGCTTTTGATCAGTATTTGTTGGATAAATGAATGAATGCATGGGTATATAATAGTAAGGAGACATACCCACATGGAAAATCTCAAATGAAAGAAATACATCAGCTTGGTAGATATGCTCAAATCAGCTTCTTGTGGGCCAGGAAAGCCCTTACCTCATCCATTCTTGTATTCAGAATGCTAGATTTCTATAACTTCTTCTGTGAGCTCTCTAGCATTCTTATAAGTATTCAAGATTTTCCCTGGCAAATTGGCTTGTGTATGTGTGTTATCATCTCTGTCTCTCCTTAGCTTAACCTGTGAAGGATGTAAGTGGAAAGATCATAGTATTTTTACACTGAGTTTTAAAAAGCAGTTTTAATTCTCTATCTTGTTTCAGTTGGCTATTTATGTATCTTCAGTTATTAGAATTGGTTACATTCTTAATACACTTTTTTGGAAATTTGATATCAAGATCACTACTGCAACATTCACAATCTGCTCATCCTCATTTTCTTGTGTGTGGGTTCATGATTTCATTATTTCCACATATATGGAATTTAGAAAGATAAATAATTTATGATTAATATTTTACAAATTAAAATAATGCTTTAATACTTTTAATTGGAATCAACACCGTAAGCAAAACAAAATAGAGTTTTTCCCCTCTCAGAAATTAGCTTTCTTCTGGAAAGGAAGATACACTATTTTGGAGGGAAGCAGTGCCTCTAGGACACTTAGGGGCCCAACTGCTAAACCGATGGATATTGTTGAGTGTGTAAATAGTGCATTCCTTCTTTCTGTGCTGGGAAACTAAGAGCTAGTAATAAATCAGGAAGGGCTCACACAGAGACTGCCTGGTATGTACTAATCAATACTCTTGCTGGCTGGGTAGGGCATCCTCTCCTGGAGATATGCAGCCAAGATACTCCCAGTTAAATTTCCAGTTATAATTACATGAGGAATTATTTATTTAAGGGACAGTGAGTAGTTCTAGTTATGTGGAAATGAATACTCTATGTCTTTTCAAAACACTCCATGTACTGAATTACAATAGTCTGGTAACCATCCAACTCAGCTCATTTGTCAGGAGTTCATGACCAGCCTGACCAACATGGTAAAACCCCGTCTTTACTAAAAATACAAAAAATTTAGCCAGGTGTGGTGGCATGTGCCTGTAGTCCCAGCTACTCTGGTGGCTGAGGCAGGAGAATCGCTTGAACTCGGGAGGTGGAGGTTGCTGTGAGCCGAGATCACGCCACTGCAGTTCAGCCTGGGCAACAGAGGGAGATTCCATCTCAAAAACACAAAACAAACAAAAAATAAATAAATTTAAAAAAAAGGACATAATTCTTGTGTCTGAATTTCCTGAGATGGCAAAACTCATAAGTGGCATAACAATCCTTTTCAAGGCCCAAAATAAAAGGACCTTGATATGCCCATACAGAAATATGGACAACAGGCCGGGCGCGGTGGCTCATGCCTGTAATCCAAGCACTTTGGGAGGCCGAGGCAGGTGGATCGCTTGAGTCCAGGAGTTGGAAACCAGCCTGGGCAATGTGGCGAAACCCCATCTCTCCAAAAAATAAAATTAGCCAAACGTGGTGGCGTGTGCCTGTGGTCCCAGATACTCAGGAGGCTGCGTTGGGAGAATCGCTTGTGTCCAGAAGTTGGAGGTTGCAATGAGCCGAGATCGTACCACTGTCCTCCAGCCTGGGTGACAAAGCGAGACCCTGTCTCAAAAAAAAAAAAAAAAAAAAAAAAAGATAACATGAGGAACTGACCTCACTATTCTCAAAATAGCCTTTGGCTTTTCTCAGAAGAGATATTTTTTTCTGAGTGTAGGTATTCACCCACTAGTGCTCTTGGAATCAATAAGTATTCAGAACCAACCTTACCATCGAACATCACCAGCTTGGACTACTATGCTTGGCCATCTACTTATCCAGCAGTTACTAAGTATTTAACTCACTTACTAATTGTAAGTGTTTACAGGATACATTTGTAACATAACACCCAGGTACAAAAAGGTTAATTACATACAGAATTAAACAGAAAAATATCAGAACACATACAATGAAGTTAACTATTATTAACATGTGATTTCAGCAGTACACTAACATAAATACATGTAATTATTGGGTCACTGCCGAACATGTATATGTTTGAAAGACCCTTAATTAGAAAACTTCTAAGGCCAATTTTTTTTTATTCCAAACTCTTGTAAGTGCAAAAATTAAAAATAGAAAACAAAACATGACCAATGTATACATTGGTAAACATAAAACTGTCTGGTTTTGTTTAAATATACCCATTGAGCAGCTCCTTTCCTAGAGGCCAGGAAATAGGGCTGAGGACTCTACCCTCAGTTTTCAATCTAGAGACTGTGAAACTGTAGAGAAACACACTGTCTAGTAGCAATCCATATACTTTTTCTAGTAAGCATATTAAAAACCGAATACTATACTATATTCCTTACAGCCCAGTGAGTTTCCCAGAATCATAAATAAAACCCACCAGTACCTACTATGTAACTCCCAGTAAGAGGCTTTGACTTTTGTCAAAGTTGTGTCCCAGTAAAATGCCTTCAAGATACCACAAACTGGCCTGGCGCAGTGGCTCACGCCTGTAATCCCAGCACTTTGGGAGGCCTAGGCGGGTGGATTACCTGAGGTCGAGTCAGAGACCAGCCTGGCCACCAAGGTAAAACCCCTGAAAACACGTGTTAGCAAACGTACCTTGTTAGTATCTACATTAAGAAAAAAAAAAAAAAAAAAAACCTTGAAATTCAGGCAATGTAAACAGGTTAAAGATTAACACCGAAACATCATGAGTGTACTGTGTAGTGGTGAAGCAGCTGAAAACGGACTCGTGTCATCTTTTTATGATTGTTGAAGTGGCTCTGAAAAGAGCCTTTGTTTTTATGCGCTTTTCAACTCGGTCTTTACTTAGTCTTGTGGTGGCTCTCAGTTTTCTTTGGCAGCAGCACGGCCTGGATGTTGGGCAGGACGCCACCCTGTGCGATGGTGACTTTGCCCAGAAGCTTGTTGAGCTCCTCATCGTTGCGGATGGCCAGCTGGAGGTGACGCGGGATGATGCGAGTCTTCTTGTTGTCGCGGGCCGCGTTGCCAGCCAGCTCCAGGATCTCGGCGGTCAGGTACTCCAGCACCGCCGCCAGGTACACCGGCGCTCCAGCACCGACCCGCTCCGCATAGTTGCCTTTGCGGAGCAGGCGATGCACTCGGCCTACGGGAAACTGAAGCCCGGCCCGAGAAGAGCGGGTCTTGGCCTTGGCGCGAGCTTTGCCTCCCTGCTTACCACGCCCAGACATGGCAAAAGGTCTATTACCTTTACGGTCAAGAAAGACTGAAATGAAATTGGAAAAACGTACATTTTATAGCCTCTACTGGGCGCGAAAAGGAAGCTGTGCGATTGGCTTACGTTTTATTTTTATTTAGACCAATAGGACTCGAGTATGCAGGATACCTATTTTGATTGGGCAAAACTGGCATCTGACGTCATCCACGGATAATCACCAATCAGCACTGACCTATTCTACTCCTAATTTGCATAATAACATTTAAATAAAGAGGACGAAACAGCCCTAAGGTTGTCTTTTATTTTGTTTTCCACCATGCCTGAACCAGTCAAATCTGCTCCAGTCCCTAAAAAAGGCTCCAAGAAGGCCATTAACAAGGCTCAGAAGAAGGATGGAAAGAAGCGCAAACGCAGCCGCAAGGAGAGCTACTCTGTGTATGTGTACAAGGTGCTGAAGCAGGTCCACCCCGACACCGGCATCTCTTCCAAGGCTATGGGAATCATGAACTCCTTCGTCAACGACATCTTTGAGCGTATCGCCGGAGAAGCGTCACGCCTGGCGCATTACAACAAGCGCTCGACCATCACTTCGAGGGAGATCCAGACGGCCGTGCGCCTACTGCTACCCGGGGAATTGGCCAAGCACGCCGTGTCCGAGGGCACCAAGGCCGTCACCAAGTATACCAGCTCCAAGTGAGCCTCTCGCTGCAGTAACAGTTCCGCCGTGACCCACACCCCAAAGGCTCTTTTCAGAGCCGTCCACGTTTCTCAAGAAAGAGCCAGTTCACTGTTAAGTTTGTCTCCCATTAGGTACCCTTTGGGACTCGCTTCGTACATATAAATGTACTTGTATATGTGGGTTTTTTTTTGTTTTTTGTTGTTGTTTTTGAGGTGTAGTCTCACTTTGTTGCCCACCCTGGAGTGCAATGGCACGATCTCGGTTCACTGCAATCTCCACCTTCCGGGTTCAAGCGATTCTTCTGCCTCAGCCTCTCGAGTAGGTGGGACCACAGGCATGTGGCACCAGGCCCTGCTACTTTTTGTATTTTTAGTAGATACGGGGTTTCACCACGTTGGCCAGACTGGTATCGAACTCCTGACCTTAGGTGGTCCACTTGCCTCGGCCTCCCAGTGTTGGGATCACAGGTGTGAGCCACTGCGCCCGGCCCAAAATATTTTAAAGAGGATTATTAGCAACTATGAGTGACCGTGGCTTAGGGAAGACACAATCCCCCGAGACCATGAGAAAGTGGTTCTGAGGCAGTCAGAATGCAACTGTTTTGTACATTTTAGGGAAGCAGAAGTTATAGGTAAAGTCATAAATAAATATGTGGAGGGTTAGTCCAGGCGTGGTGGCTCACGCCTGTAATCCCAGCACTCTGGGAGTCAGAGGCGGGCGGATCACTTGAGATCAGGAGTTTGAGACTAGCCTGGCCAACGTGGTGAAACCCCGTCTGTACTAAAAATACAAAAAATTAAACGGGTGCAGTGGCACGTGCCTGTAACACCAGCTTCTCGGGAGGCTGAGGCAGGAGAATCGCTTGAACCCGGGAGGCAGAGGTTGCAGTGAACCGAGTCGTGATCGCGCCACTGCACTAACCTGGGCAACAGAGCAAGACTCTGTCTCAAAAAAAATCAGGTAAATCAAAGAAAATGAACTGGAAAAAATAATTGCTCTTAATATCACTGTGAATACCTAGTGAGTGTTCTGTAGATGTGTTACAGTTAAATTGCCAGAAATATTCTAGTTATGTTTAAATCAATTTTTAAAATTGTGAGAAAACTCAGATACCTGGAAGGATTCAAAAGGCATCTGCACTGAGATTGCTTTTCCAGAGCCTTTGAATCCTCACACTTCTTTAAAGAAACCCAACCTGAAAAATACTTTCTAACATATGTGTGATTTATGCTAGGAATTTCCAATTTAGGATTCCATTCAATAAATTATCAAAACGTTAGCAAAGACATATACATGTTAATAGATTAAGTAAGAATAATACATTCAAAGAGTGAAGCATATTTAAATAATTCCCAACTTTAACTTTAACTTTTGGTTGTCTATTGAAACTGTAGAATCCAAAGGAAAACTTCCCCTTTGTCCTCTGAAGGTTTGGTGAAAAGTCAACTCACAAAAGGCAGATTAATAGGAGAAAAGGCATACAAATTTATTAATGTGCATGGGGGAGAATCAGTGATTACTCCCTCCCCCTCCCCCCCACGCCCCATGCAATAGAATACAGATGATTACATACCCTTCTTCTCAGGGAAAAGGGAGTTGGGGAAGTGTGGATGATTTTACAGGGGTATTAAGTGATTTTTAGGGGAATTCAATAGGCTTGAATAACATAACAGCCTAGGACAAAGTCTGTTTGGCCCACAGACCAGACAATGATTTGTGGCAAAGGTTTGTCTCCGTGTGTTGACAGACTTCAGTCTTCTTGCGATATGAGTTTTCAGTTAATGAAAACTCAGAGAAGAGACCAGAGGTAATTGTTTTCTTCTTTGGCAGGTCTATACTTTAGAGAGATAAGGGAATTTCAGAGAACAACTTCATTCTCTGCTTTCAGATAGAGAAATGAGAGAGAGGAATAGGGGGAAGGTCCGAAAGACCTTGAGTACTCTTCTTCAGTTCAGTATGTCAAAGCTCCATATTTTGGGGAATCGGTTTCTGAGCCCGAACAATACAATCTCATTAGATGAAGCATCTATTCTTGATACAGGAGTATCATGTTAGAAACAAATTAAAGCTCAAAAGATTTTTTTAAAAAATTAGGCTGAGTGCGGTGGCTCATGCCTGTAATCCCAGAAATTTGGGAGGCCAAGGCAGGCAGATTACTTGAGGTGAGAAGTTTGAGACTATCCTGGCTAACATGGTGAAACCTCATCTCTACAAAAATACAAAGATTACCAGGGTGTGGTGGTATGCGCCTGTAATCCCAGCTTCTTGGGAGGCTGAGGCAGGAGAATTGCTTGAATCCAGGAGGCAGAGGTTGCAGTGCGCTGAGATCACACCACCGCACTCCAGCCTGGTGACAGAGCAAGACTACATCTAAAAGAAAAAAAAAAATTAGGAAAATACTATCCAGAAATCTTGGCAAAATTGTTTATGATTATTATTTTTGAGACAAGGTCTCACTCTGTTGCCCAGGCTGGAGTGCAGTGGCACAATCATGGCTCACTGCACCTTGGCTTCCCCAAGCTCAAACAATCCTCCCACCTCAGCCTCCTGGGTTGCTGGGACTACAGGCACAGGCCACCACCCTGGGCTAATCTTTGTATCTTTTTTGGTGGAGACAGTGTTTCACCATGTTGCCTAGGCTGTTCTCAAACTTCTGTGCTCAAGTGATCCTCCTGCCTTGGCCTTCCAAAATGTTGGAATTACAGGTGTGAGCCACTGTGCCCTGCCCCTATTTTTAATTTTTAATAGAACAAAACAGAATTTTGGGGTCGACACAATCTTTATATGTATGTACAGTCATTTTAGAAGAGATAAAATTCACATTTTGGTCACAGAATACTTAGCAAAACAATATTTAAAAGTTCTTTATTGAGTTGTTTTACCCATACACTAATTGATTTTACTTTCCCCATGCACTTGGAGAACTCTAACCCACTGTTATAGCCTATTGTGTAAGCCAATATTGGAGGTGTTGATGACTATATCTTGTTTTTACAAGTCATGTGGAGTGCAGACTGGGTTTCATTTTTTTTCCCCCTATAGTGCCTAGGTCAATGGTGACCCTACAAAATAAGGTGAATATAATGTGTCAATGTAATATAATGTACATCTTTATGAAGGAAATAAAAAAAATGGATATAAAAACAAAAAAAAAGCTTTAATTAATTAATTAATTAATTTTTGAGACAAAGTCTTGCTGTGTTGCCCAGGCTGGAGTGCAGTGGTATGATCTTGGCTCACTGCAACCTCCGCCTCCTGGGTTCAAGCAATTCTCTTGCCTCAGCTTCCCGAGTAGCTGAGATTACAGGTGCCTGCCACCATACCCAGCTAATTTTTTTTGTATTTTTAGTAGAGACAGGGTTTCACCATGTTGACCAGCCTGGTTTCAAACTCCTGACCTCAAGTGATCTGCCTGCCTCGACTTCCCAAACTGCTAGGATTACAGGCGTGAGCCACTGCACCTGGCCAAGAAGCTTAAATTTAAATGAGACAGAAATAGCACAGAGGCATTTGGGCTTTTGGGAAAAAAGTAGAGGCCGTTCAATGCAATGGGTACATTCAAGCTATGACTTGGAGGTTCATGGTCATGGTTGGGTGGATTCTACCTAGGAGTGCTATGTTTGTTAGTAACTTCACACTTAAATCCAAATGTCACAGCTGATTATTATTAAGCAAGGGTTAAATTCTTTGAAAAGAAAAAAAAATCTAGTTTTCTGTCTTTAGGCTTGTGAGTACTGTGAAGTGTCTCAAAAAGACTAATTCCTACAAGAAATGGTTATGGGCTTGGATTTATTGTGAGACAATAAAAGAGTAACATTCGAATAAGTTTTGAGTCTCACATTTTGAATAAAGGCAGGCACACTAGGCAAGGGGTAAGGGCCGATACTTAGGGTCTCCTTTTAGGGGAAGGATTCTCTGTCTCTTTTTTTTTTTTTTTTTTTTTTGAGATGGAATCTTGCTCTGTCAACCAGACTGGAGTGCAGTGGCATGATTTCGGCTCATTGCAAGCTCCACCTCCCGAGTTCACGCCATTCTCCTTCCTCAGCCTCCCGAGTAGCTGGGACTACAGGGGCCCGCCACCATGCCCGGCTAATTTTTTGTGTTTTTAGTAGAGATGGGGTTTCACCGTGTTAGTCAGGATGGTCTCAATCTCCTGACCTCGTGATCCACCCGCCTCGGCCTCCCAAAGTACTGGGATTACAGGCGTGAGCCACCGCGCCCAGCCAGGATTCTCTTTTTGGGTAGAGATTAGCTGTTTTTGAGTGAAGGGTGGCAAGACACACCACCCCAAAATATGCCACATTGACATAAAGAATATTTGAGTTGAGGGCAACTAAGAAGAAGCAGATACAAGAAAACTCTCTGCCCTCTCCCTATTTGCCTAAAAGCAGGACATAAATGTACGGAGGTGTCTCTCCTCCCCTCTCTACCAGAAAGGGCAAAAATTAATCACCAGAGACAACATCAGACTCTCATCAGCCTGGAGAGGGCACCAGAGCAATCTGCATAACAACTTTACTAACCAGCCTTTATCTACCATTAATTTCGTATATATTTGCCTTCCCACAATTTGTCACTCCTAAAAACTCAAAATCCTTTTCCTTTGTCTTCTAATTTCTCTAAAAACTTATTGATCTTATTAAAGATGCTGTATATAAACTGGAGTTTTAAGTCACATTTTTTAGTTACTCATTTCTGGGTACACTCACATGAGACATGTGCTGTACCCATGTTAATAAACTTGTTTGTTTTTCTCTTCTTAATCTGTCTTTTGTCACAAGGGCTCTAGCTGAGAACTCAGAAGTGTAGAGGGAAAATATTTTTTTCCTCCCCTACATGAGGCTTCCAGGAAAACCAGGTTTTCCTGACAAAATTAACGACAAACTTTGACAAACTTTCTACTCTCTTAGGTATCTTCTTGGTTTTCCAATGTTTTTCTTTCATATCTTAAATCTGTTTACTATGTATGTCTTCATTTTAACTGTATGTATAAACATATTCTCTTTATTGATATTGTGATGATGTTTGAAGTGTGAAATGAAGAACAGGCCTCAAAAAGAGTCTTCAGCCAGCCTCGGTGGTTCATGCCTGTAATCCCAGCACTTTGGGAAGCCGAGGTGGGTGGATCACGAGGTCAGGAGTTTGAGAGCAGCCTGACCAACATGGTGAAACACCACCTCTACTAAAAATCCAAAAAATTAGCCGGGCCTGGTGGCATGGCTACTTAGGAGGCTGAGGCAGGAAAATCGCTTACACCAGGGAGGTGGAGGTTGCAGTGAGCTGAGATCAAGCCACTGCACACCAGCCTGGGCGACAGAGCGAGACTCTGTCTCAAAAAAAAAAAAAAAAAAAAAAAGCCTTCATTTGATTATATTTGATTTTTATTTTAGCTATTAATATATTCTAATAGCTGTTTAGAAGTTATATCAAAACATAAAACTCTAAGCATTTATTCAAATATATTAGAAATTTAAATGACATAAAAATTGTTAAGTACTTTATTTGGACTAGTGCAAATAGCATAAATGTGAATTTAAATATATACAAAAAGTTAAGTAATTGAATATCAATAAAATATTAATAAACAGTAAATATAAATTTTCTATATGTGACTAGTGAGATCTACTAAGCTAGTCTAGCCATTTTTCTCAATTATCTCCATTATTTCCTAAAGTATCCTGTGGAGTAACTCTGATTGCCTTTACTCTCATTAAAAAGATGAGGAAATTAAGACAAAAACAGCAAAAGTATCTGCAACGAAGCCACAATTTCAGTCTAGGTTTGTTTGATTGCAGAGGCTGAACTCACTATTCTCCAAAGTAAATATTTACATGGAAACACTAAAAAACAAAGAAATTACATTTTAAATTGTGTCAAGATTACACTTTCTTTAGAGTTAAAAGAATTCCACAGTGTATCCATGCATGTAAAAAATATTAAATATATGAAAAGACGACTACTGCAATAGATAGGTATCATAAAGTTAATAGAATAATCTTCGGACTGTGATTTATAGATATTTTTTCAGTTTGCCTAATCTGAATTTCCTAAATTTTTAACTACGTACATGAATTTCTTTCTAGTTATTTGGACACCAACTGATGTACTTCAATTCAATTCAGGCACTGATTATTTGGAGTTAGCTGGACCTCACCAGTTAAAGGGCACATTTCCCAACAAGACTGTCCCAACTTCAGACGCCAGCTGCAAGTGGGGTTCCCAGGCCACTTGCTCTTCTGAGCAACTGGCTTCAAATCCAGGGATTCCCACTACCCCTTCATGTTCAATAATATGCTAGAATGACTCATAGAATATAGAAAGTGCTGTCCTTATGATTATAGTTTTATCATAAAGAATACAAATCAGGACCAGTCAGATGAAGAGACGCATAGGGCAAGGCTTGGAAGGGTCCTGAAAGCAAAGCTTCTGTGCCATCTCTATGTGGAACCAGGAGTCACCTCCCTAGGATATCTATGTGTTCACAAACCAATAAACTCCCTGACCTTGGTATCCAGAGCTTTTATGAGGGTTTTATTATATAGGCAGGATTGATTGAATCATTGACCATATGATTGAACTTGTTGGGGCACAGGGAAAGCTTCCCCTATGTACTCTGAAGCTTCACTGAAAATCACTGTCAAGAGGCAGATTAATAGAAGAAAAGGCATACACATTTATTTAACATGTACGCAGAAGCCTTCAGAATGAAGACCTAAAGATACAGGGGAAATTGTCCATTTTTATGCTTAGGTTCAACAAAGTATGGACAGCTATGTAGAAATATGACTGGACATAATGTGTATGATCTAATGCTAAGAGACTGAGTGGGGAAACCCAGCCAGGCCTGTCTAGATTCTTCTTGGGCGCTCTGTGTAGTATTTCTTTTGTATATGGGGCAGGGCCCTCTCTGGAACGGAGGTCCTACGACTTACAGTCAAACAAGGTAAGTCAAATAATTTCTTTGTGGCCAGTTTTTACACGAAAAAATAAAATTTTTAGGTTTCTTATTGTTTTTTTCTTTTCTTTTCTTTTCTTTTTTTTTGAGATGGAGTCTCACTCAGTTGTCTAGCCTGGAGTGCTGTGGTGTGATTTCGGCTCAATGTAAGCGCCGCTTCCCAGGTTCAAGAGATTCTCCTGCCTCACCCTCCTGAGTAGCTAATATTACAGGTATGTGACACCACGCCCAGTTAATTTTTGTATTTTTAGTAAAGACGGGGTTTCACCATGTTGGCCAGGTTGGTCTCGAAGTCCTGACTTTAAGTGACCTGCCTGCCTCAGCCTCCCTAAGTGCTGGGATTACAGGCATGAGCCAGCGCGCCCGGCCTAAACAAGCTTATATTAAAGATGACAATTTATTACTTATAAACAAATCAATAAATCTTGCTGGGTAACTAGTTCATTAACTCAAGACTCAATCAACAAAACTAAAAGTAAATTCTGAATGTAACATAGAATTTAAAAACCATAATACTCAATGCTGGTAAACATACACAGCAGTTACTGCTGGCAAAAGTGAATGGAATAAAACTTTTGAGGAAAATGTAGTAACAGTTATCAAAATACCTTAAAATCTGCATCCTTTGTGACAAAGCGCTTCAATTCTACATTTTCCTCAGGAAGTAAATTTTGTACAGTTCTCCTTTAAATTAGGAAAAGAAAATTAGCACATTATTGCTAAGTACTAGAAATACTGTGAAAGTGGACCTAGAAAATTCTTATGATGGAATATTAAGCAGATATAAATTACTGCTTTTAAAATTTTTCCTAATGTGAATTTTCTAAGCTTTTAACCGTGAACATAGATTCCCTTTGGCAAACCACCTTGATTAAATTATAGACAGAATAGAATTTTGGTAATAGTTCCGAGTATGTATAATGTTAAAGGTGGTACTTAATCCGCAGGGAAAAGATGAATTATTTAAAAAATCTGGTTGATTAATAAATTCCTAGGGAATTGGTTAACACTGTAGCAGGCAGAATTCAGGAGAAGAAATAATAAAGACATTAAAATCACTTTTGTAAACTTTTTAAATAAGGGAAATTGATTAAAACAACGCGAAGTTGTAAAATGCCATATACTGCATACATTTTGTGGGAAAAAATGTGCATTTATCTGCTCACCAAATTATCTTATTAGCTAGCAGTAGAGCTCTTTGTGTGATGGGAAGATGGGATAACAGGCTGTTGTTACTGTACTGGTTTTTTTTTTTAATATATTTAAAAAAAAGAGTGTCTCCTAAAGTGTAAGCGCTATCATGCTGGACTAATGTTTTAATTTAATTTAATTGTTGTCTTGGTAGAGATGGGGTCTCGCTATTTTGCTCACGCAGATCTCAAACTCCTGACGCCCAGGTACACTCCCATCTCGGCCTCCTAAAATGGTGGGATCACAGACGTCAGCCACCGAGCCCGGTCACTTTTTTGTATTCCCCACAGTATTGATGTATATCTTCTGCGTTCAAAAGCAATTTTTTAAAGCCTCATAACGTGGTAACAGAATACTTTGCACATTACAAAATTCAGAACACGGAAACAAGAAGCTCGCTTTTTTTTCCCCCCTATTTCGGTTTGGCCCTTTAGATTTCCCCTCCCCCACCGGGGCGGGACTTCCCGCCGACTTCTTTCAGGTTCTCAGTTCGGTCCGCCAACTGTCGTATAAAGGCGCTGCCTCAGGCCAGAGGCCTCACAAAGCGTTGGGTGAGACTCCTCTTGCTCGTCATGTCTGGCCGCGGCAAAGGCGGGAAGGGTCTTGGCAAAGGCGGCGCTAAGCGCCACCGTAAAGTACTGCGCGACAATATCCAGGGCATCACCAAGCCGGCCATCCGGCGCCTTGCTCGCCGCGGCGGCGTGAAGCGCATCTCCGGCCTCATCTACGAGGAGACTCGCGGGGTGCTGAAGGTGTTCCTGGAGAACGTGATCCGGGACGCCGTGACCTATACAGAGCACGCCAAGCGCAAGACGGTCACCGCCATGGATGTGGTCTACGCGCTCAAGCGCCAGGGCCGCACCCTCTACGGTTTCGGTGGTTGAGCGTCCCTTTCTATCAATAAAAGGCCCTTTTCAGGGCCACCCTACTTTCTCAGCTGAAGAGTGGTAACACTGAGGAGTGGTTTTGGTAGGTACGGAATTTTGCTTGGTTCTGAGTCAGTTCTGGGGGGAACAGTTTTTTGAACACAGCGGCACACGTGTGGCCATTCACCCGGGGTCACTGTAGGCAGGACTAATTACGAGATGTAATGTCTAAACTTGCTCAAAATTCGTAAGCTTGTTTACGTAATGGAGAAAATACTCGTACACAGAATGTGCAGTACCAGAAACGTTTATGTAACCCCCGTAGTGAGCTTGACAGTGGTAATCGGAAATCGTTTTTGAAAAGCCTCCAAATCCACAAGTATTTGTGGGTTTTTTTTGTTTCGTCTTTGTCTGCGAGTTGGAGTGCAGCGGCGCGATCTCGGCTCACTGCAACTTCCGCCTCCTGGGTTCAAGCGATTCTCCTGCCTCAGCCTGCCGAGTAGCTGGGATTACAGTTTTGCGCCACTACACCCAGCTAATTTTTGTATTAGTAGAGATGGGGTTTCACTATGTTGGCCAGGATGGTCTCGATCTCCTGACCTCGCGATCCGCCCGCCTTGGCCTCTCAAAGTGCGACCTCTTAAAGAATTTTAAGATAATTTTTTACTTTCCTCCACCCTCATTAAGGTATGACAACTTACATGTACAATCTGATCTGACATATATTCATTGTGTAATGATTACATCGAGCTTAACATCCACCTCACTTTCTGTGGTGAGAACATTTAAGGCCTATCAGCAATTTTCCAGTATCAAGTACATTAACTATTATCACCATGCTTTAAAGTAGATCTCCAGTATTTATACCTCCCGAGTCCCATTGTTACCTCCATCCTTGTTCTCTGGCAATGACAATTTTACTCAGTTCAACATTTTTAGATTCCTCATGTAAGTGAGATCACGCAGTTTTTGTTTTTCTGTGCCTAGTTTGTTTTACTTTGCATAATGGTCTCCAGTTTCATCTATAAGAAATGACAAGATTTATTTTAAGGCTGAGTAGTATTTCATTGTATATATGCCCCATTTTCCTTATCCATTCATCTGGCATTGGACACTTGATTTGAGTTTAAATTCATAAATGGAATCTAGTGAGTAAAAGCTATTTTTTGTTTTCTTTTTGGTGAGGTTCAGTCACTTATTGTTATGATGATGAAAATGATGGATGTGTCATTGGTGACATCAAAAGATCTGGAAGGACAATAATAGTCGCATTGATTCAGTTGAAGCAAAAGTACAAAACTCTGTAGTCCAAGTAATTACCACAAAGGAATTGTAATCATACTTTTTTTTTAATTTGAATTTTTGTTAAGGGAAAAAAATTGTATTTTACATGAAAAACAATTATTTATTTATTTATTTATTTATTTTATTGATCATTCTTGGGTGTTTCTCACAGAGGGGGATTTGGCAGGGTCATAGGACAATAGTGGAGGGAAGGTCAGCAGATAAACAAGTGAACAAAGGTCTCTGGTTTTCCTAGGCAGAGGACCCTGCGGCCTTCCGCAGCGTTTGTGTCCCTGGGTACTTGAGATTGGGGAGTGGTGATAGGCGGTGATAGGTGAGATAGGCGGTTTTTCCCCATCTCAGTAGATGGAACGTACAATCGGGTTTTATACCGAGACATTCCATTGCCCAGGGACGGACAGGAGACAGTTGCCTTGCTCTTGTCTCAACTGCAAGAGGCATGCCTTCCTCTTATACTAATCCTCCTCAGCACAGACCCTTTACAGGTGTCGGGCTGGGGGACGGTCAGGTCTTTCCCTTCCCAAGAGGCCATATTTCAGACTATCACATGGGGAGAAACCTTGGACAATACCTGGCTTTCCTAGGCAGAGGTCCCTGTGGCCTTCTGCAGTGTTTGTGTCCCTGGGTACTTGAGATTAGGGAGTGGTGATGACGCTTAAGGAGCATGCTGCCTTCAAGCATCTGTTTAACAAAGCACATCTTGCACCGCCCTTAATCCATTTAACCCTGAGTTTGACACAGCACATGTTTCAGAGAGCACAGGGTTGGGGGTAAGGTCACAGATCAACAGGATCCCAAGGCAGAAGAACTTCTCTTAGTACAGAACAAAATGAAAAGTCTCCCATGTCTACCTCCTTCTACACAGACACGGCAACCATCCGATTTCTCAATCTTTTCCCCACCTTTCTCCCCTCTCTATTCCACAAAGCCGCCATTGTCATCCTGGCCCGTTCTCAATGAGCTGCTGGGCACACCTCCCAGACGGGGCCGTGGCCGGGCAGAGGCACCCCTCACGGCCCGGATGGGGCGGCTGGCCGGGCGGGGGGCTGACCCCCCCACCTCCCCCCCGGACGGGGCGGCCGGCCGGGCAGAGGGGCTCCTCACTTCCCAGTAGGGGCGGCCGGGCAGAGGCGCCCCTCACCTCCCGGACGGGGCGGCTGGCCGGGCGGGGGGCTGACCCCCCCACCTCCCTCCCGGACGGGGCGGCTGGCCGGGTTGGGGGCTGACCCCCCCACCTCCCTCCCGGATGGGGCGGCTGGCCGGGCAGAGGGGCTCCTCACTTCCCAGTAGGGGCGGCCGGGCAGAGGCGCCCCTCACCTCCCGGACGGGGCGGCTGGCCGGGCGGGGGGCTGACCCCCCCACCTCCCTCCCGGACGGGACGGCTGGCCGGGCGGGGGGCTGACCCCCCCACCTCCCTCCCGGACGGGGCGGCTGGCCGGGCGGGGGGCTGATTCCCCCCACCTCCCTCCCGGACGGGGCGGCTGGCTGGGCAGAGGGGCTCCTCACTTCCCAGTAGGGGCGGCCGGGCAGAGGCGACCCTCACCTCCCGGACGGGGCAGCTGGCCGGGCGGGGGGCTGACCCCCCCACCTCCCTCCCGGACTGGGCGGCTGGCCGGGCGGGGGGGCTGATCCCCCCACCTCCCTCCCGGACGGGGCGGCTGGCTGGGCAGAGGGGCTCCTCACTTCCCAGTAGGGGCGGCCGGGCAGAGGCGCCCCTCACCTCCCGGACGGGGCGTCTGGCCGGGCGGGGGGCTGACCCCCCCACCTCCCTCCCGGACGGGACGGCTGGCCGGGCGGGGGGCTGACGCCCCCACCTCCCTCCCGGACGGGGCGGCTGGCCTGGCGGGGGGCTGACCCCCCCACCTCCCTCCAGGACGGGGTGGCTGCCGGGCGGAGACGCTCCTTACTTCCCAGACGGGGTGGCTGCCGGGTGGAGAGGCTCCTCACTTCTCAGACGGGGCGGCTGCCGGGCAGAGAGGCTCCTCACTTCTCATACGGGGCGGCTGCCCGGCGGAGGGTCTCCTCACTTCTCAGACGGGGCGGCCGGGCAGAGACGCTCCTCACCTCCCAGACGGGATGGCGGCCGGGCAGAGGCGCTCCTCACATCCCAGACAGGGCGGCGGGGCAGAGGCGCTCCCCACATCCCAGACGATGGGCGGCCGGGCAGAGACGCTCCTCACTTCCTAGATGTGATGGCGGCCGGGAAGAGGCGCTCCTCACTTCCCAGATGGGATGGCGGCCGGGCAGAGACGCTCCTCACTTTCCAGACTGGGCAGCCAGGCAGAGGGGCTCCTCACATCCCAGACGATGGGCGGCCAGGCAGAGACGCTCCTCACTTCCCAGACGGGGTGGCGGCCGGGCAGAGGCTGCAATCTCGGCACTTTGGGAGGCCAAGGCAGGCGGCTGGGAGGTGGAGGTTGTAGCGAGCGGAGATCACGCCACTGCACTCCAGCCTGGGCGCCATTGAGCACTGAGTGAACCAGACTCCGTCTGCAATCCCGGCACCTCGGGAGGCCGAGGCTGGCGGATCACTCGCGGTTAGGAGCTGGAGACCAGCCCGGCCAACACAGCGAAACCCCGTCTCCACCAAAAAAATACGAAAACCAGTCAGGCGTGGCGGCGCGCGCCTGCAATTGCAGGCACTCCGCAGGCTGAGGCAGGAGAATCAGGCAGGGAGGTTGCAGTGAGCCGAGATGGCAGCAGTATAGTCCAGCTTTGGCTCGGCATGAGAGGGAGACCGTGGAAAGAGAGGGAGAGGGAGACCATGGGGAGAGGGAGAGGGAGAGGGCGAAAAACAATTTTAAATCCTCAAAAGTTGTCAGATCTGGAATTGCTAAGTGGGCCTAAATAAAATTTTTTGCATATAAATAATGTTTCTCTTTAAGATGTAAAAAATAATATATATATTTTAACTATGTATGTCTATACATATAAATATATATATATATGTATATATATATATATATTTTTTTTTTGAGACAGAGCCTTAGTCTGTCACCCAGGCTGGAGAGCAGTGGCAGGATCTCGGCTCACTGCAACCTCTGCCTCCTGGGTTTTCGTGCCTCAGCCTCCCAAGTAGCTGAGATTATATACGCAGGCCACCAGGCCCAGCTAATTTTTGAGTATTTTTAGTAGAGAAATTGCCTCACCATGTTGTCCAGGCTGGTCTCAAAGTCCTGGCCTTAAGCAATCTGACTGCCTCATCCTCCCCAAGTGCTAGGATTATGGGCATGAGCCATCGCACCAGGCCAAAAACACATTTTTAAAGTTAAGACTTAAATGTTGTTTTATAATTTTACACCACCAAAGTGATGTGACACGGTGAAAAATTTAAAGCACAATCATAAGAAGCAGATTATTTGCAACCAAATCTGTAACAATAATATTCTACTTGTGGGATCTTGGGTTGAGGTGCATATGCTCTCTAAGCCTCGATTTATTTTTGTAAACAATTATGTGATGATGATAAAAATAGTTCCCAGCTCTAAGGGTTGTTGTAAGGATTAAATGAGTAGGGCCGGGTGGCTCACGCCTGTAATCTCAGCTTTTGGGGAGGCAGAAGTGGGAGGACAGCTTGAGCCCAGGAGTTGGAGACCTGAAAAAAAAGACAAACAAGTGTAAATGAATTGGTAAATAAAAAACACTTAGAACACTGACAACAGTAAGTGCAGTGTGAAACACTTAGCATTACTTTTATGCCAAATTCATAACCTGTAATTGCATCTGACCATCATCCCTGGGTAAGAGCAATCTTTTTTTTTGTTTTGTTTTGTTTTGTTTGGCGACACTCTGTCACCCAGGCTGGAGGGCAGAGGTGTGATCTCGGCTTACTGGAACCTCTGTGTCCCAGGTTTAAGCGATTCTCAGCCTCAGCCTCTCAAGTAACTGGGATTACAGGTGTGTGCCACCACGCCCGGCTAATTTTTTGTATTCCTAGTAGAGACGGGGTTTCAACACATAGGCCAGAATGGTCTCCAACTCCTGGCCTAAAGCTGTCTGCCAGCCTTGGCCTCCCAAAGTGCTGGGATTACAGGCATGAGCTACTGCATCGGGCCCAGAGAGCAACCTTTTCTAACAGCCACATTTTAGTACTCTAGATTCAGCCAGGAGTTGTGTAATTAAACCTTTGTCTATTATGAAATCATAGGAAATACCTGTGTCAAGTGCATTTTTTCACACAATTTTTGCAAATGGAGACATCTTCATTATTCCTATAGTATCATATGTTTTTAAAGTTTGTACTCACACTTTGGGTGATAAATGAAGGACAAGATCCTTCCCTATCCTTGTGAGGATGACTACAGCATGACTGGATGGGCTTGCTATGATTTTTATCTTTCCCTGTGTTCTCACTACCGTTTTATTAATCTCAGTTCTTTTTCACAGGGTAGCACAGAATTTAACTAGCAGAAAGAGATCCAGCCATGTAGACCAGAGATTTGTCTAAGTGACGGCATGTAAGAATCAGGAAGGAAAGTTTTTTGTTTAAATACCAACAGGTTCCTTCCTTAAAGCAATTATTATTTTTCAAATCTAACCCACAAGGTGATAGTATCCTTAAACCAATTAAATCAGAATCTCGGGTTGGATAACCTCAAATATGACTTATTAGCACTTCCCATTAATCACTGGTCCTTCAGGCCTTTAAGTTTACTTACTAGGAATCTCACTTTTAATACCATCTTATCAACTTCAGTTGTAAATAAGAGAACACTCAAAGGCTGAGGAATTCTCAGCGGTAAAGCTCTGCCCACGTTAAGTAACAAAGGATAAGTTAGTCTTTGTTGTGATCACTTTGTTGTACTGATAAGCTACGTATTTCTACTCAAGGATTCAAATTCTCACCTTTCTCAAGAATTGGGCCAAAACCGATAAACTAAACTTATTTACGGTCCACTGATTAAAGGTTGTTGCATAATAAGTTCTTGCTATGTTCAGCAGTTGGATTCACAGCGCCAGAAACCTATAACTGCTTGACTTTCCTCCCCACTACACTGCGAAAATTGCCCCTTAAATGTAACTAACCCTAAAACCTCAACAGTATCGTGGCCAGGCGTGGTGGCTCACTACTGTAATACCAACATTAGGCATAGGCGAGGGGATTGAGGCCAGGATATCGAAACTAGCCTGGGAAACACACGGAGACCCGGTCTTTGGAAAAATAATTAGCCTTGCGTGGTGGTGGGCGCGAGGTTCCGGCTAATCGGGAGGCTACAGTGAGCCATGATGACACTGCACTACAGTCTGCGCGACGGCCCATGTCAGTAAGCTCTGGAGCACCTGAAACAAGTTGTGTTGGGTATTTTATTTACTGGAGAGCGATTAGTGACTGATGCCTACTTACAGCGACTAGAGACGCATGCTCCGATAGCAGCACAAACTCAGCAGGCGCGAACAAATGGTAAAGAGAAACTGGGCAAACAAGCATCACGGCTCCTCAGCTGAGAAAGTGGGGGCCCTAAAAAGGGCCTTTTGTTGATAGAAAGGGACGCTCAACCACCGAAACCGTAGAGGGTGCGGCCCTGGCGCTTGAGCGCGTAGACCACATCCATGGCGGTGACCGTCTTGCGCTTGGCGTGCTCTGTATAGGTCACGGCGTCCCGGATCACGTTCTCCAGGAACACCTTCAGCACCCCGCGAGTCTCCTCGTAGATGAGGCCGGAGATGCGCTTCACGCCGCCGCGGCGAGCAAGGCGCCGGATGGCCGGCTTGGTGATGCCCTGGATATTGTCGCGCAGTACTTTACGGTGGCGCTTAGCGCCGCCTTTGCCAAGACCCTTCCCGCCTTTGCCGCGGCCAGACATGACGAGCAAGAGGAGTCTCACCCAACGCTTTGTGAGGACTCTGGCCTGAGGCAGCGCCTTTATACGACAGTTGGCGGACCGAACTGAGAACCTGAAAGAAGTCGGCGGGAAGTCCCGCCCCGGTGGGGGAGGGGAAATCTAAAGGGCCAAACCGAAATAGGGGGAAAAAAAAAGCGAGCTTCTTGTTTCCGTGTTCTGAATTTTGTAACGTGCATAGTATTTTGTTACCACGTTATGAGGCTTTAAAAAATTGCTTTTGAACGCAGAAGATATACATCAATACTGTGGGAAATACAAGAAAGGACAAGAAATTAAGAAACTACAATGTTATCCCATCACACAGGCTAGTTAATCATGTATTTTGCAGAGCAGTTGCACATATTTTTCCAAGAAAATGTATACAGTGTTGTATATGGAGTTTTGTAACCTCCTTATATTGATTATAATTTAACCAATTTCTATTAAAGAGATAAAAGTGATGTTTTGGTGTCTATGTTTCTTAGGAATTATCAATAGTTATAATCAGTTCCCCAGCAATTTTTTAATCGGCTGTATTTTAAAAATAATGTTTTCCACATTCAACATAAATGTACTTTTTCTCTATACTTGGGACCAATATTGAAATTTATGATTTTATTACACCAAAATTTAAATTTTATTACATTAATATTTAAAATTGTATTAGAGGTCTCATGATTTGGTACTACGGGTCTCCGCATTATTTCCTTTCCAAATTTCCTAATCTGTTTCACCAAGGTTTCTGGACAACTTTAGAGACCTTTTGTGAAGTTTGAATAAAATCTCTTCGAGATTTTGATAATTGCATTAGCTTTAGGACTTAATTGGAATAGAATTAAAATCCTTAAAACAAGCTCTTATAACTAGAAAATTGGTGTTTGTAGGTTTTGTGTGTGGGGTTTTTTTTTTTTTTTGGAAGGAGTCTCGCTCTGTCGTCAGGCCGGAGGGCAGTGGTGCAATCTCGGCTCACTGCAACCTCCACCTCCCGGGTTCAAGCGATTCTCATGCCTCAACCTCCGGATTAGCGCGGACTACAGGCATGCGCCACCACGCCCAGCTAATTTTTTGTATTTTTAGTAAAGAACAAGTTTCACCATGTTGGACAGGATGCTCTTGATCTCTTGACATCGTGATCCGCCCGCCTCAGCCTCCCAAAGTGCTGGGATTACAGGCGTGAGCCGCTTCGCTTGGACGCTTGTAGGTTTTTAAAAAGACACTTTTATATGACCCAACTAAAGATTTGTTATCAACCATTATGGAGCAACTTTGATTCCGTATATTTGATTTTCTTTCTTATTAATAAATACAGGGTTATACTCTGAATTTTTTTTTTTTTTTTTTTTTTTGTGGAGACGGAGTCTCGCCCTTTCGCTCAGGCTGGAGTGCAATGGCCCAATCTTGGCTCACTGCAACCTCCACCTCCCGGGTTCAAGCGATTCTCCCACCTCAGCCTCCCCTGAGTAGCTGGGATTACAGGCACTCACCACCACGCCCGGCTAATTTTTTTGTATCTTTAGTAGAGACGGGGTTTCACCATGTTGGCCAGGCTAGTCTCCAACTCCCGACCTCGTGATCCATATGCCTCGGCCTCCCAATGTGCTGGGATTACAGGCTTGAGCCACTGCGCTCGGCCACTCTGAAATTATTTTAACATCAATGAAAATTATAAAACTCCTATAACTATTCTAATATAATCTCTTAGTATTCAATTCTTTGTTTAGAAAGTAGTTAAGAGTTGAAACTCTGGAAATAGAAAACTTTGGTTTTAGATTAAATGTTTACCTTTCAGACTCGAGCTGACTTGTTACCGATCAGACACGAGGTGACTTGTTTATTCTTTTTAAATCTTTGCTCATCTACAAAGTTAGAATAGGATAGTGACGGTACTGTTGGGGTGCAGAATGATTCCCCAAAATGTGGTTCTTGGGCATGCTGAGCGCTTTTGAACATTGAAAGGCCTCAGAAATAAGCTTCAGAATCAAAGCCCCTCTAACTTCGTCTTCTTTCCCATACATGCGAAGGGACTCTGACATTTCCTAATCGGACCAAGAAAATTTCTTACCAGAAGTAACAATTGCCTTCTATCCCCTCCCTGTTATTTCATTATTGCAGAAAAGAATACTGAATATGGATTTTTCAAGATAATGTCTGCCTCTCGGTCTCATTTAAATTACCAAGACATACTAGGTGCTGTGGCTCCTCCCACTAATCCCAGCACTGTGGGAGGTCGAGGCAGGTGGATCCCTTGAGCTCAGGAGTTCGAGACCAGCCTGGCCAACATGGCGAATCCCTGTCTCTACAAAATATACAAAAAATTAGCCAGGTGGTGTCACATGCCTGTAATCCCAGCTACTTGGGAGGCTGAGGCAGGAGAATCACTTGAACCTGGGAGGCGGAGGTTGCAGTGAGCCGAGATTGCACCATTGCACTCCAACCTGGGCAACAAGAGTGAAACTCTGTCTGAAAAAAAAAAAAATTAGCCAGTTGTAGTGGTGCATGCCTGTGGTCGCAGCTACTAGGGAGCCTGAGGTAGGAGGATCACTTGAATCCCAGAGGTGGAGGTTGCAGTGAGTGGAGACTGTGCCACTGCACTCCAGCCTGGGTGACAGCCTGGGAGACGGATTAAGACCCCATCTCAAAATAAATAAATAAATTATGAAGACAATCATTTACAAGCTAATTTCTTTCTGTGGCCCATTTATTTTCCATAACAAGCCTTTATTGCCCCTCAAAGGAATTGTCTACCTTTCCCATCTCCTCCTTCCCCTATGAAAAAAGTTACATAAGCTTCTGTACTCCTTTAGGGACTGGGGTAATCACTTTGTAATTCTCCCTCGTGCACATTATTAAATTTCTGTGCCATTTCTCCCATTATTCTGTCTTTTGTCAGTTGATTTTCTATGAAACTTCCCTTAGCCCCTACAGTATTTACCTCTTTGAGGTACTGTAAGAATTAATGGAGGCCAGTCTCAGTAGCCTGCCTGTAGTCCCAGCTACTCTGGAGGCTGAGGTGGGGGGATTGCATGTGTTCAGGAGTGGGAGGATTGTGCAAGCTCAGGAGTCAGAGATCAGCCTGGGCAACATCACAAGACCTTCATCTAAAAAATAAAAAAAATTAAAAAAATAAAACAATGGAGATAATGTATGTAAAATATTAAGCAGAAAGCCAACCTCTATTTAATATACGTAATTTTTTTCTTTACAACTAATTTACAAATATTTTGTTTATATTATACTTTAAATATGTTAATACATCAATTTATCTAATTATGTATAACACATTAAGTAGTTAATTTAAATAACAAATATTTATTTTTAGTACATATTGTCAATGTCGGGGCTCAGAAACCAATACCCCAAACTATGGCATGGTGACAAGCTGAACTGCAGAAGCCTCAAAGTCTCTTTGACCTTCTCCCACTCCCCAACCTTTGTCTTCCTGTTATCTGGACTCACCAAAAATGAGTCCCTGTAAGACGAATGTAATCACACCCGAACAGCTCATTTCACAAGATAAGGTACAAGTTTAATTTCTTTTCCCTGATCCATTCATTCTTCCTAGTAATCCCCTCAAATGAATTCCTCTTCTCCCTCCCTCAAACTGTTTTTCAAGGATGGTATATAAACTTCTGAACCACGTTCTGGGGTGGGCAATCACTGATTCTCCCCATGCACATTGTAAATTTGTCTGCCTTTTTTTCTATTAATCTACCTCATGTCTGATTTTTCAACAAACCTTCAGAGGGCATCAAATCAGTAAGGACATTCATTTAATTCAATATTTCACAGATGATATAATACCATGAAGTGATAAGGCACTATAAATGTTCCTAATTGCTCCTTGCCCCTTGGATCTCTCTGATCTTTAGGTTGCCTCCTCTAGTTTACTTACTGTGAAGCTACTCATTTAACAGCTCCTCCATTTTCCTTTACATGTGTATGTGGAATTATAAACAATGATATATCACACTTGTATATTTTATTTTGCTTAATACATAAGTTTGCATGTCAATGTTTTGATTATGAGTACATTGATTTGAGTTTGCATAAATAACACCCAAAATTATAATAATTATAAAGCAAAAGTTACTTTACAAGCTGTTTAGCTTAAAGAATTTTACTTCTGGAACTCACGAACTCTGAAAAATATTACTTAGCTAGCTTTCATGATTAAATGGTGGTTCTTGGGAGAAACAGAATCAATGGAATAATTTTATTATCAACTTCAATGATCATAACAGCATATTTTATTTAAAAACTTATTTTAATTTCAAAAATCTTACAGGCCTTCTATGGAGCTGTATCATTTACTCTATATTGAGAAACAATTATTGAAAATTTATACACATAAATAACACAGATGACATTTTAAAAGGGAACAAATGAATTAATTCATTGAAATCAGGATGGAGTCCTCAACATCAAATAATAAATTTTTTTAAACAATGTGATATTTATGATTTTTGTGATTGCTGTTTTATTCCAAGAAATACTAGTTGTATGTGATTGCAATCAAGACTTAAATCTAGGAAATAAAAATGTGTGAAGAGACTCAAAAATTAATGTATTTCAATGGACTGGAGATCCTGTAGAAATTCATTTTCATTAACATGTCTGTATGAGGAAAACAGTAGCTTATATAAGTTTAGGTGGAGAGGAATAGAAGGCCCTCTCTATAGCTAGGAGGACTTGGTGATCTGAGAAGGAAAGGAGTGATCTTGGTGAAAGAAAGGAAGCAGGAAAAACTGACAGGAACAGGAGTATATGACCATGATATAATAAAAAACCTGACTTACAATGTCCTTCATTCATACTGTTTTTAAATAACACGTTCTAAAGTAATCTCACACCCTAACCCCAACCCTTTCCCATCATTTATATAAACAGTCCATTATGACATGTATTCTTTGCCCAAGCCAACTTGAAGCTCCTTTTGGATAGAGACTTTATGTATCTGGATTAATATTGTATTCCCATTTAGGAGAGTGCCTGGCACACCATAGATGCTCAGAAAGATTCAATTGAACTCGAATAGGTAGGCCAAACACACACGGGGTCCTAAATTGTGCAGAAGGGTCAGATACCTAAATTTTGCTTCCATGGTCTTATGAAGTATAAACTAAAAGCCCAAGTAAGGAGCAAAGGTTAGTTTACCAATTTTATCTCTGGAACCCAGGTACACTGAAAAGTATTATTTAGCTAGCTTTCAGTCCTCTGTAATACAGAAAGTAAATATCTGACACTAGGTTCATTTGAAACACTCTTGCTCTGTCACACAAGCTGGACTGCAGTGGTGCAATCATAGCTCATTGCAGCCTCGAACTCCTGGGCTCAAGTGATCCTTCTGGTCTCAGCCTCCCGAGTAGCTAGGACTACAGGCTATGAGACGCCAGGCACGGTTAGTTATTTTACTTTTGTAAAGATCAGGCTGGCTTCGAACTCCAAGGCTCTAGCGGTCCTTCCGCCTCGGCTTCCCAAAGCGGTTCTGTTTACCGGATGGTGCCAAACAGTTCCAGGCTCTTGGTGCCCGGTAGAAATTGGACGACACACACACAGATAGCAAAGCAAAGCAGCAAAAGTTTAGTAAACAGAGTATTACACTCTCGGGGGTGGGAGAGAGCGGACTGACCTCTGCGAGGTGAGATCAGCGTCAGCTTGCTGTAGTTTGAGTCATTTTATGTGTGTGCGTGCGTGTGTGTATGTTTTCTGTTCCCAGTGCTGCCTAATCTATAGCCAGCATCTGCCCTTTTATTGATAGGTTTGTTGCTTACTTTGTCCTCTGTGGCTTGTGCCTCTATCTTATAATCTTAAATATATGCATGATATGTAGCCCATATGCATGAACCTTAAGTAGCTGATTATCATACGGGCTTTTGTTAAGGATACTTTTCCTCTCTAATACGCATGCCCATCTCTGAAGAGCTGCCTCTTAAACTGGTTTGTTCCAGATCTTGCCGGCCACGAGGTCCTTGCTCACATTATCTCTTTTGTTTCGGCTGCAAAAGGTTCACTGCTTGTTATCTCGCTTCTTGTTCACCCGCCCATCTACCTTACTTCTGCCCTTTGCTTTTACTTATTCTGCCCTCTAACTTTCAGCTCCCTTTGTTATTCTCTTGCCTCACTTTTCTTATTGTTTCAGCTGTATTGCAGGCGCGAGCTGCCGCGCCTAAATTTCTTGATGTACCGTAAACATTTCAATGTCTACTTTCTATCTCAAAACAATGTGGTGTAAAAGCCGTTTAGTTTTGCTTCATCTCCATACAGCATTCCAGTGCCATTGCAAAATGACTCGACTATCAGATAAAACTGAACACAGCTCTACTTGGTGAAAAAGTAGGTGGCTCTGAAAAGAACCTTTTTGGTTTGGACCGAGGTATGAGTAATGAACTGCTCCAGCCCCGCTACTTGCCCTTGGCCTTGTGGTGGCTCTCAGTTTTCTTAGGCAGCAGCACGGCCTGGATATTGGGCAGGACACCACCCTGGGCGATGGTCACTTTACCAAGCAGCTTGTTGAGCTCCTCGTCGTTGCGGATGGCCAGCTGCAAGTGGCGCGGGATGATGCGGGTCTTCTTGTTGTCGCGGGCCGCGTTGCCAGCCAGTTCCAGGATCTCGGCGGTTAGGTACTCCAACACCGCCGCCAGGTACACCGGCGCTCCGGCACCGACCCGCTCAGCGTAGTTGCCCTTGCGGAGCAGTCGGTGCACTCGGCCCACTGGGAACTGAAGACCCGCCCTTGAAGAACGGGTCTTAGCCTTGGCGCGAGCTTTGCCGCCCTGCTTGCCACGTCCCGACATGACGTAAAAAATTCAATCAGTAACGTTCCTGAGACTGACGTAACGCTAAAGCTCCGCTACTTATAGTCAACAGAGGCACGAAAACTAAGCTGTGCTATTGGCTAACATTACAGTTTCGCTTTAACCAATGGGATTGCGGTTTTGAAAAACACTTATTTTGATTGGACAAAGTTAATATACGTTTCCAGGACTCACCACTGGTTAAACGCACAACTTCATTCTCTACCCCACTTGCGTTAAGAAGCAGTGAATAAGCGGTAGGTTGACAGAGCTACCGTCTTCCTGTTTTTTTCCTCCAATTTTCCGGCAGTTACTCCCAGTCATGCCCGAGCCCTCAAAGTCCGCTCCTGCCCCGAAGAAAGGCTCCAAGAAGGCAGTGACAAAGGCCCAGAAGAAGGACGGCAAGAAGCGCAAGCGCAGCCGCAAGGAGAGCTACTCCGTGTACGTGTACAAGGTGCTGAAGCAGGTCCACCCCGACACCGGTATCTCGTCCAAGGCCATGGGCATCATGAACTCCTTCGTCAATGACATCTTCGAGCGCATCGCCGGCGAGGCTTCCCGCCTGGCGCATTACAACAAGCGCTCGACCATCACCTCCAGGGAGATCCAGACGGCCGTGCGCCTGCTGCTGCCAGGGGAGCTGGCCAAGCACGCGGTGTCGGAGGGCACCAAGGCCGTCACCAAGTACACCAGTTCCAAGTGAGCCCGCCCACCGCGGAACGTTCGGTCAGTCTCGGCCCACACCCCAAAGGCTCTTTTCAGAGCCACTCAGTCTTCCCAAAGAGAACTGGCACTCACTGTTCTTACAGCAGGTATTTCTTACTTGCTACAAAGACGATTTCCAAGATTCCTTTAGCCTTGTTAGAAACTAATTTTGGCTCAAGCCTCTAATCCCGGTTCGGGAAACCGAAGCGGGTGGCTCACCTGAGGTTAGAAGTTCGAGACGAGCCTAGCCAACATGGTGAAACCCGTCTCTACTAAAAGTACAAAAAAATAGCTGGGCGTGGTGGCGGACGCCTGTAATCCCAGCTACCCGGGAAGCTGAGGCAGGAGAATCGCTTGAACCCGGCAGATGGAGGTTGCAGTGAGCCGAGATCGGGCCATTGCACCCCAGCCTGGGCAGTAAGAGCGAAACTCTGTCTCAAAAAAGAAAGAAAAAGAAAAGAAATTAATTAGCACTGCAGTGTACTGCATGTTGCAGCAACGCTTGAGACAATTTTATATCTGAAGAAGGATGAGGTTTATCATCAGACAAACCTAGTAAAGGGAAAATTCAGTTCCTGTTGACCCCAAAGAAAATATAATACTTAAGTGTCACTGGTAAAATATCCACAGTGCTTCCGGCGCTCTGTCCCTAAACTTCATGTGTACTTTAGTAATGAAGCAGTTGGCACACACACAAACGTACAAATCGACTTGTTTGTTTTGAGAGTGGTGCTGTTTCTCCTCCCTTGTCCCCAGTTTGGATTTGCTAAATATTAAGATAGAAAGGCAGTAGAAAAAAGTTTGAACCCAGTTTACAGCACCGTACACGTCAATCGGGCTGAGTTGATGTCAATGGCCAATCCCGACACTGCGAGGGCAGTTTGAAACTTGGCCACCGTTTTCTCTGGTGAGTGTTCTAGTTGGGAAAATTCTTGGCAGTGCAGGTTTTTTGGAGGAATCTTGCTGTCTTACTCATTCCCATAATTCTCTTGTGTGGAATTCCTATTTATGAACATAGTTTCTATTCCCTACTTTTTCTGTTAGGGTCTGCTCCATGTTTTCTTGTCTGTGTCACTTGCGTTTACTGTATCTCTAGTAATTGGAAGAAATGTTAAAAGAAAAAAAAATAGAGGAGGAGAAGGGCTGTTCTCCATTGTTTTCCCCCACCCCCAACTCAGGAAATCAAAATGAGTGTCTTCATTTTAAACACTTAGGAGTGGCATATTTAAAAGTATTTTGGTCTTTGCCAAGAATCAGTGTGGGAACTCTTCCACATCAAATTGTATTTGCTGAAGGTTTTTGATAATATTTTTTATCCAGTAAGTGTACTCCAGTGACCCAACCATTCGATTCCTAGCTGTTTACATGAAAGAATATTTTGCACACATGCAACAGGAGACATATGAGAATGGAAAAAATGCCATTTTTAATAGATAAAAATACTAGAGGCAACTACATGTTCATGGTCAAAATAATGCATTTATTGAGGTACACACAGTACCTGGTTGAATTTTAGAAATGTAAGTCTCAGAAGGTTCATATATAATAACATTTTTTTTAAACTCAGAAGTAAAACCATGGCTGGGCATGGTGGCTCATGCCTGTAATCCTAGCACTTTGGGAGGCTGAGATGGGAGGTTTGCTTAAGCTCAGGAGTTCAAGACCAGCCTGGGCAGTATGGTGAGACCCTACCTCTTAAAATAAATAAATAAATAAATAAATAAATAAATAAATAAATAAATAAATAAAATGAAAATAAAACCAAATTATACATTGTTGAAGTGTATATAGAAGCGCTTATACAGAATAAGTATACACAAGTGCGTGATAATGAAAACTTTTAAGAGAGTTTTTAAAATACCTGGCACTGGCTATCTTAGCGATAAAGGCAAGACATGGGATGGGGAAAAACACAGAGGTAAATACAAGTTGTCGTCAATATTCCAGTTTTGGGTTAGATGTTTTATCATGGGTTTTGATATAATTTGATTTAAACTTTATTTTTATTTTTATTTTTTTGAGATAGAGTCTCACCGTTTCGCCCAGGCTGGAGTGCAATGGCGCGATCTCGGCTCATTACAACCCTCGCCTCCCAGGTTTAAGCAATTCTCCTGCCTCAGCCTCCCGAGTAGCTGGGTTTACAGGAGCCCGCCACCACACCCAGCTAATTTTTTGTATCTTTAGTAGAGATGGGGTTTCACCATGTTGGCCAGGCTGGTCTTGAACTCCTGACCTCATGATCCACCCTCCTCGGCCTCCCAAAGTGCTAGTATTACAGGCATGAGCCACCATGCCCAGCCTGATTTACACTTTAAATATATGTTACATGTATTAAACTTATGTATCAAATACTATACTGGAAAATATAATAGGAAAAAACCCCCTGTGTAAAAACAAGTTACAAGCATCACATAGTTTGTCATAAAGGAAAACTTACAGGTGAGAAACTCAAACTTAATAGTGTTCCTGTAAATATTATTCATTTTCTAAATATTATTCATTCCTTCTCCTCTCTTAAGGAAGAGAAAAAGAAGATTCACAGAGAGCATTAAGAAGGCCCATGGATTCAGAAAGCTCAAGATTTGGCTAAAATTAAGAGTCAGCAACCAATCTCCAGGTACCCTTGCTTCTCAATCTGTAGACTAAAGACCCTAGACCAAAAATCCTGATTCCCAGGAAGTGCTTGGAGGATCTTGATGGTGCTTCATTACAGTTGGTTTCTTTACATTATTTGATGTATTGAATCTGCATTTGGCACAGAATTGATACAATTCAGACTTCATGAAATCCATTTAATTAAATGTTCTTTCTCCCTGCTTCTCCATCTATCTAAATCCTAACTTATCCTCCAAAGTTCACACAAGTCTCACTCTCTGAAGCCCTCTCTATTAGAGCCTAGCTGAGCTCTGTCTTCCTTTAGCTCCTCTAGCTCTTATAATCTCTACTTAACTTCCCACAAAATCTTTGTAACATCTCTCTGGAGGCTGTGTGTGTGTATGTATATATGTATTTTGTATATATGTTATGTATGTGTATGTGTGTATACTCCTCTCTCTGTTAGAACAGAGATTATACTTTTTGCATTTATGTATCTCCTCTCCTCCCACCATTTCACACCAAAATACTTGAGAACAGTAAATTCATCATACATTTGAGTTTTTTCATCACAACTTTTCATAGCACAGGTGCCTTTGAGCCTCTCCATTAATACAGATAATCAGCAGGAAATTCTGATATTGGTTTGTTTTATGGAATGGAGGAATCTGTAGTTAAAATCCAGAAGAGAAAGTGAGAAGGGGATTTGGAAGGATTAAGATACCTAAACACATTCTCCAGGCCAGAATAAAGAATAGTGAAGTGACTCCTTATTAAACATACAGAGAATATAGATAGATGTCTATATTTCTGCATCTATATGTCTATATGAAGTTTGGGCCATCAGGGACTACTTGAATAACCTGGAATTGTCAGCAGGGAAGAAGATGTCTAGAAGAATATTGTGTGTGCGGTGGCTAAAATCTGTGTGGAGAATGGAGAGAAGCATTCAGAAAAAAATTGAACACTTCTTTACAAAGTTCACATATCAGGCCCATTACTCTCAGTTATTAAGAAGTTAAAATTTCTAAAACAGAGAGATAAAGAGAAATAAGGACTCAAAGATAGATCTTTTAAGTTATTTGCACCTGATAGCCAAGCATGGTACCCTCTGTTGCTGAAACAATCTTGATTAATTTATGACATTGCTAATGAGCCTTGGGGAATTGATTAGAGCTAATCCAAACCAGGTTGTCATGTTAGTGCTTTACACTGGAACTTTTATATGGTAGCTTCAAGAAAGCACATGATTCATGTTTTGCCCCAAATAACTTTTTGTGTATGTATATATATATATGTCTATATATATGTCTATATATATATGTCTATATATATATATATATTTTTTTTTCTGAAGAACAATTTGTAGGGCAAAAAGGAACAGATTGGAACATAGAATTATATGAGAGAATCTGGTCCTAAAGGACTTTTTTTTTTTTTTTTTTTTACAGCTATGTCTTGAAAAAACAACTATTTACCTGAATAAATGGTCTTTGGCCAGACTAGAAAAATTTATATTTTCCTCATTGGAAACAGAGCACTCCCTTCCATGGAGATTGCAAGAAACATACTGACAAAGCCTAATTCTTTTTCACTCATTTCTAGATTTCATGCAGTCTACCATTCTTCAGTTATGACGTAGTACTGGACATGCTCCTTTTTTATTTATTTTTATTTTTATTTTTTTTTTGTTTATTTCATTACAGCAAACATTGCCTGATAAAGGGCATGTTAAATTAATGTGATCACAACTTATCTGAGGTCCATTTCCTATTACGTGATGTGGAAAACATGGTGTGAATTTAATCATCCATTCATTTCTAAACCATCTCAAATATCTGTTACTTCTGCAGATGGCCAATTTATTCATTTCCCAATTCCTTTTAACTTGTGTTTCAGAGCCTCTCCTTTTCTGATACTGTCACCAAATCATAAAGGTTGGGAGACTGCATGAGGTAAAGCAGATGCGTGGTACTAAAAAACAGGAGAAAATGTTTCCATACTGGAATAATGATAAAAATGTCTGTCCAGGTGTGCCGGCTCATGCCTGTAATCCCAGCACTGTGGGAGGCTGAGGTGGGTGGATCACCTGAGGTCAAGAGTTCAACACCAGCCTGGCCAACATGGTGAAACCCCATCTCTACAAAAAATACAAAAATTAGCCAGGCATGGTAGTGTGCACCTGTAATCCCAGCTACTCGGGAGGCTGAGGCAGGAGAATTGCTTGAACCCGGGAGGTGGAGGTTGCAGTGAGCCAAGATTGCGCCACTGCACTCCAGCCTGGGTGACAGAGCAAGATTCCATCTAGGAAGGAAAAAAAAATTTCTATCAATTTCCAAAGTTGAACACGCACGTAAGTATCTCTAGGGGGTTGGTAAATGTGAGTGATGAAACTTAGCAAGGTTTTATTGAGGGTCAGAAAATGGAAAGAACAATGGGGATAGACTGTGAGAACAAATAACCTCATCCCCTGACAGTAAGAATTCCCACTGATACAAGGAAAAATAAAAGAAGTGCCTCAGCCATAGTTCTGTAATTATACTAGAGAAAAGGAATTATTTTTGATGGAGAAATTGAGAAAAGCTGTAAGAAAACACTGGGATTCTAAGCATATTAATTTGGGAAGAGCCTTAAAATCCCAAGGCACAAGGGCAGCAACTCAGGCTTTGAAATCATATAGTCAGGTCCTGGTGCAACCATTTGGAGTAGCAGTGAGGGTTGTGACCTGTATTTATCGACCCTCTGTGAGGTTGGTGCTTGTGTAGCTCATTAAACAGGGCTTACAAATGAGAATATATAAAAAGCAGTGGTTCTCACACCTGTCAGGCCTAGGCTCCCTTTTTATGTCTAATATTTTTATGGTCCTTTTTACAGCCTGTAATTAAATTCTTAGGTAATACTATTTAACTTAATTTTTCAAAAATTGCTAAAGCAACTTAATATGATTTAAAAGCTAAATAAGGGATGGTATTTTAACAATAAAGATGATACTTTCAACCTATAAATGCTTGGGCCCTATACTAGAAAACAAAATGAAGTAGTTGGATGTTCCAGCTCTGTATGGGACTATCCTGAATGCAACAAGGACCAAACCAACTGACTCAGGTAACTCAAATACCACAAGGGACATTACTCTCAGTAATGTGATTTTTTTCTTTTTGAAAAGGCCAGTAATGCTGAGTGACATTTGAACACAATAAAATACAGTCTTCTCTTAATTTGTAAAGTGATTGCATTCTTGGAAAATTCAGTGCACATTAAACTATGCACACACACAGACATTTCATGCTTATGTGTAAAAGGAATTCTGTTTTAGCCTCAAATAATCAGGTTTTTCATCTTCAGATTGATTTTGAGATACCTGGAAGTCATGCATGAGTTGAGGCTTCTTCACAGGATATCTAGCATCCCTGGTCCTTCCCTAAATGTCAGTAGTGTGCCCTTTCCCAATCACCAGGACAGCAAAAAAGAAAAAAAAAAAACCAGCAACAACAACAATAAAAACCCAACTTATTTAATTTCCAGAATGCTCCGTAAGAACCAGTACTGCTCTACGAGAACCATGACATTAATTACTTTCATTGCAGAAACTACATAGAGGACATGTCAAAGCTGAGAGTGGCTGGAGGGCTTCTAATAATGCCAGAATGTCCTCAGAAATAGTCTGCAGTGCTGATAATCAGTTGCAGAAGAAAAATACTTGAGGCATCTGCCCTAGGTAGGCCAATTTGTCCATGCACCTGGTTGGCTATCTCTAAACTTCTTTTCTTCCCTCTAGAGGTTACCTGTGGACATGTGAATAAGCAGAGGGTCTTATTACCGAGAAGAAGTGGACAGCCTGTGATGGCAAAGGGTCGTTAATTCAGAAGTCCTCCCCATTTGCTATTGCTCAGGCCAGTTTATTAAAGTTCTGCTTCTGTAGGTATAGCACTCCATTGGCTTTGAACTAAAGCAGCAGCCATCAGATTCACATTCAGCTTTGGTCTGATAAACAAAAAAGCAGAGAAGGATATTGAAATGTAAGTAGTTGGCCACTTCTGTGGGGTCCACTGTGATACTGGAGCTCCTGTATACATCCTAGACCTTAAGAACACATGGAAACTCAGCTCTTCTAAAAATGTAATACAGAACCATGCTGATCCCAAAGAAGGAATGAGTTCCCCGCAGCCACCTTCTCGGTGGGGCTTTGCAACAGGTACCTCACTGCAGATGTCTCAATAGCTTCTCTCGTCTGGCTACCAGCAATACCTCTTAAACAGATATGTCTTCACCTTGTTAAATCAGTCAGAGAGATGTTGACGAATTCCCCTTCTTGGAACTTTATTGTTAGATGTGGAGCAAGAACATATTCTGGGAAAGATAAGGCATATTGCAACTGCTTATTCTGAGACAGATGCTCCAAATCTCAGAATTTGCTTTCTAGTCTTGTGTCCTTTTTACTGACATGTTGTGCCAGACTAGAAGGAAAGGAATGAAAATAAATGTGGGTTTGGGGGAAGGGGAGGCATGGAGGAAGGCCTACGTAGGCCAATTTGTCCATGCGCCTGGTTGGGTATTTCTAGACTTCTTTTCTTCCCTCGAGAGCTGTGGGCATGTGAATAAGCAGAGGGTCTTAATGCTGAGAAGAGGTAGACAGCCTGTGATGGCAAAGGGTCATTATCTCGGAAGTCCTCCACATTGATTATCATTGAATGTGTCCTTGGAGAAACAGTCAATACAAAAGAACATGGTCACTGTCCTAAAGGACATACATCCTAAAGGACAACTAAAGAAGTCTTAATGATATATACAATTTATATATCAGGATTTAGTGTGGTGTGTCCTAAGTCAGAGAGATGGGACAGAATGGGCAAATTCTTCAACAAAACAGATACCATCTTCCAGGGCTCAAGAAACACAATGCCCAGGCTGATTAGTTTAGATTTATGTGTGTGGAAAGGAAAGCATTGTTTTGAAAAGTGTCTTTGCTGGGCGCGGTGGCTCACCCCTGTAATCCCAATGCTTTGGGAGGCCGAGGCGGGCGGATCATGAGGTCAGGAGATCGAGACCATCCTGACTAACACAGTGAAACCCTGTCTCTACTAAAAATACAAAAAATTAGCCAGGTATGGTGGTGGGTGCCTGTAGTCCCAGCTACTCGGGAGGCTGAGGCAGGAGAATGGCGTGAACCCGGGAGGCGGAACTTGCAGTGAGCCGAGATTGTGCCACTGCACTCCAGCCTGGGCAACAGAGCGAGATTCGTCTCAAAAAAAGAAAAAAAAAAAGAAAAGAAAAGTGTTTTTAACAAGAAAAAAAGTGACATTTGGAGGTTTTAATTGGGCAGAAATGAACAGAGTAATAAGACTAGGAAAGAAGACTCCTTTGGCAGTAATCTAGGGATAAGTAATCCATACTGGGAGCCCTTTACTTTCCATTGCCAGTGCTGACCTACTCTGCACCCACCTCCTCTCTCCTGGTTATTACATAGCTTCTACCTGGTGTACCTGCTCCTATCTCTGTGCCTCTCCAGTCTGTGCTCCCCTCAGCATCCTGATAGCCTTCTAAAAGTTTCGGTCAGATCACCTGCTCCTTGACTCAGAAACTTCCAAAGCCCTTACCTTGCCCTATGAAGTTTTGCATACTCTGGCCCCAGTGATGTATTTGGCCTCATCTCCTAGGGCTGTCTTACTTGTTTCCTCTACTCTAGCTACCCTGGCCCCGTTGATGTTCCTCAAACTGCTGAGCATTGTGTCCCTGTGAGCCCCTCTACGTTATTTTACCTCTGACTGGAACACACCTCCATCATTTTTCCCTCACTTCCTGCAAGTTGCTGTCTAAAGGTGACTGTTCCACATTTTTGTTATGATAGAGGGTCCTTATTGGTACCATGTGAGAAATTACCTTGATGCCCTGGTAGGCTCCAAGTATAGTCCCATGCAAGCTCTCCCAGAGGACACAGCACAAATAGGTTTGCAGACTATGCAGTGAAATGCTCAAATCACAGCTTCATTAAAAAACATAGCAAGCAGCAAGGGGAAAAAGAAGAGCAAGTTAATGGTTTAGTGTGTAAGTGAATTGGAAGAACCACACTATCTGACTCAAGTGTGAGCAGTTTCCGTATATCTGATCTCTTTTACATCGCTCAATCAGCCTGTAGGATAGACACAGAGATATATATGCCTGGACCCAACCAATTAGTTGGTTGAATAGCCATGGATTTTATTTTTGTTCCTAAAGTAGAGAACTTATGGTGTCTCCAATTTGTGGCTGACTCAAGGCCTCATGAATAATGAGTCAGTGCTTCGATGTCTCATATATCTGTGAATTCTGAATGTGTGGCTCCTTTTGTATATTTTGTGCATCAGGAACATTAGGTATCTTTTGACCCTTCCATCCCTTATATCTATATTTAACAACATATGCTCTTTTTACTAACTACTTATGTCTACTTAAAACATCTTAAGCATTTTTGCCTACATTTTACTAACTAAAAGCATATTTATCTTTTATAATAGAATTGCTCATTTACAAAAGTAAATATGTGTTACAATCCATATCATTTATTGGTGTATCCCTGACATATAGTAGGCACTCAATACATATATGGAATGAGAGAATTGTGCTTTCTCTCTCCCTTTTCGCCTTCCCCTCCTCCTGCTTTTTCTCCTACTCTCACACTGTCTCTCTCTCTCAAACACACACACACACACACACACACACACACACACACACACATTGGACAGGAATCCCAGAGATCTGGGTTCTGGCGTGACAGCATGTTTTTCACAAATACTTCTTGGTTTCCATTCCTTCAAATGTAAATAAAGGTAGGGTTTAGTAAGATGATCTTTGAGTTTCCTTCCAGGATTCAGAGTTTCATCAATAATTTCTTTATTCCTTTGCTCTACAAGGTTTCTTTGTGCTGTGGCTTTAATGTAGCCTATCAAACACATTTCAACAAAATCAAAAGCCTTTTGTTTTGCCCATCACCATTTCTAGGAGGATCACTGCCAAGATCCCAAAGTAGAGGAAATTTTTCCTATAGAACATAATTGAATTTTGTATTAAGCAAGCTAAAACCAGAGAAAGATTAGATTTTAAAACCTTTAAAAGTGAAGCTAGGAGAGGTGCCTCATGTCTATAGTCCCAGCTACTTGGGAGGCTGGAGTAGGAAGATAGCTTGAGCCCAGAAGTTCAAGGCTGCAGTAAGCTAGGATGGCCCCACTGCATTTCAGCCTGGGTGACTAGCTGGACCACATTACTTAAAAAAACAAAACAAAATGTACACAATCTTTAAAAGTGATATGAAATCAAAACAATAACAGATTTATAGGTAAGTCTACGGAAGTTTCCAGAGCTGTCTTTTTAATTACCAGAAAAACTAGAATAACATTCTTATGAAAGGATTAAACAACAATTGAATAACATTATGGATTGCCATCATTGTAAAAAACAAGAATTAAAAGGCAATATAGGCTAGACACAGTGGCTCACACCTGTAATCGCAGCACTTTGGGAGGCCAAGGCGGGCGGATCACCTGAGATCGGGAGTTCGAGACCAGCTTGACCAACATGGAGAAACCCCATCTCTACTAAAAATACAAAATTTGCCAGGTGTGGTGGCGCATACCTGTAACCCCAGCTACTCGGGAGGCTGGGCAGGAGAATCACTTGAACCCGGGAGGCAGAGGTTGCAGTGAGCTGAGATCGTGCCATTGCACTCCAGCCTGGGCCACAAGAGCAAAATTCTGTCTTAAAAAAAAAAAAAGGGGGGGGGCAATATATAGTTGTTTATGTATTTCTTATCTATTTAGCTACTAAACTTCTGAAAAACATCTTGTTACTCAAGAACAAAAAAATACACTATTTGACCAATTAACCACTTACTGCGGTATTTCCCTTTTGTTCAAATTGCATATGAAGGTACATATTGGTGACCTAATTTGTTTAATTTGCAATATTCCCAAGATAAAAACTAGTGGTTGCCCATTAAAAGTCTTTCAGGCTGTGGTCTTGAGATATGGAAAGGAGAGGCACTTTGAATTTTTGCTTAAAGCCTCGCATTCAAAGCTAAATAGGTATGGACTATATCTTTCTGGAAGCCATATTATATTAGACACTACTTTACAAATAATAATTTTAGTTTAATATGTTATACTAAAACATAGATACAAACTATTTCCCAGAGGATTTCTTCAGATGCTTAGAATGAAGAAAAGTATCCATTAATATATTAAGGGATTTTTTTGTGTGTGTTTTAATTTCTTAAGGCTATGTTTTATATCATGTTTGCTTTAATAGTAGAATTAATACAGAATATAAAACTGAGAGTATAGACATGGCCTATTCATGCAGAAATTCAAGTTTTACATAGGACTAGGATGTCCGGTAATTATAACTTCTAAAGTCTCTGCACTTTTCAAAGAAAAAAAACCTGTAAATTTACATCTCAATTACCTTAATTAATATTAGAAGTTTGTGCATGTGAAGTGAATATATATGTGGAGTTGCACCTAAAATACATTATAGCCCAAGTATACTAGTATCGTTTACTAGTTGGTTCTTGTGAAATGGTGTTTCAAGAATATTGAACTATATAAATAATTGCACTAAAATTTTGGAGATAGCATTGTAAATATTACACTGGACTTTAAAAAATAATTCTAGATATTAATTTTAATGCTTTGTAGCTTGATCATAATTTAATTACTTTTTCCAGCATTTTAAATCGACATCTTGAAAATAAACTGTAGATTATCAACAAATTCTGTGTATATTAAGGTATTTATATGTGGCCACATTATTGTATGCTCATGAAGCTCATCTCAGCAGCAAGGTGGAGAATACAGATAGGTCCAATCTTTTGATGGTTTAGCTACATATTCTGTGAGCCAAATGACACACTTTACACATACATACACTCAATTTATTATTCATATTATATTTAACGGAGTTAATGGAATAATAATAAACTGAACATCAATGATACCTTTGTAATTTTGTTGTTCTCTTGGAGTAAGAGTGTTAGAAAATTAAAATTCCATTTCATTTTCTTTTCAAACAACTGCTATACACATAATAAAAACTGGGAGGCATCATTTAGAATTATAAAGTACAAAAAAAACCCACGGTAACTACATGCATTTATTAGCTGTGGAGTATATTAGTTGTCCTAAAAGCTCAATGTAGAATGTTAAAGTCACTACTGTGACTTTAATAATACGTGGATAAAAGTCCATTGTGTGCGTTCTAAAATTTTAAATAATATTGTTCTTTAAACACGTTATTTAAATTAACCCACAATATAGTAAATTAACCTTGGTAAGGGAATTGTTTTTATGACAGAGAAGAATGAAGCTTTTTGATCGTGAAGAAAAGTGAGTTAGATTTAAAAAGGAAAACTTTTTAGGAAGGATAAAGGACATTCAGTGAAAGGAGTAACATGCACTCATCCTCTAAAAACAGTGTTCTTTGATATGTGAGAGAGGAGGAAATAAAAGAAAAAAAGTCAGTGTTTTAAATCTGTCACTAAATATCATCTAAAAGTCCCATAAGTCAACCAGGTGCATCAGTGCACACAGAAAACAATGTAACGTAAACCGTAGTGTAGATATTTTTAGTTTCTAGTCAAGAACCCAACGTTCTTGAAGAGGATCCAATTACAAGTTTTGGGGAATAGGAAATCCTAATGAGTGTAGGACATCATGCTGACGGAAGGTGAGGATAATCTCAGATGTCTGGAGAAGCAATAAAAAGTAAGTTAGGGCAGGAGAGAGGCAAGAAAGCCTGAAAGAATCCCCACTAATAATTAGTATGGCTAACTTGAGAATTTTAGTTAAACAGAACACTTACAGTTGTCAATTGGAATAGATTCAGCATGTAAAATGCCAGCAATCCATGATGATAATCAATTGGAACAAACAGTATGATGAGCTGAATAAGAAGCTTACACTGTGTTCTAGGATTTGTCTTCTCCTAGGTCATTGTGCCCTACATCTCTGAGATGAGCATCATGCTCTCCAGGAGGGTCCCATCCTTCCATTTGTAAGGTTCTATTGTATTTACCTTGGGGAAAACTCCACCTCCCACCAAGCTGTAGAACAAGGTTCAAAAGAGAGCTCCCTGGAAAACTCCTTGGTGCTTTGTTCACTGAAATGTTATGTTAGGAGAGCTTATTTCATCTTAGTGGCTGTCATTGCTGGGAATCCAAACTCTAATTCCCAAGGCATTCTCAAATTATCATCTGCATCAGCTTCTGCCATAGCCATCCCCACCAGTGTCACCAACAATATTGTTACTAAGAAAATAATTTTCAAAAAATGTTTGCTTTTTTTTTTGTCCTAAGGACAGTGATTTCTATAATGGCAACAATTGCAGTTAATTTCAAAATGTGGTCTGGGGACCCCTGAGGCCCTTGTAGTGGGTCTGTGGGCTAATATTATTTCATACTAATTCTGACACTAATTTTTCTTTTTCATTATTATTTTCAGATGACATTTATATTGCAAGAGATTGAATGCAGAAAGAAGAATTCAGCTTTCTTTTATTAAACAAGGCATTAGAGAGATTTGCAAAATTGTAAAACAGTGTCACTCTTTTTATTTTAAAAAATAGCTATTTTTCATAAAATATGTATGCTAACATAAAATGGGTTTATTACTGTTATTTTTAAATGAATTAACCAAATTTTTTTGTTTTACTATATAATACGGTAAATGTCAATAGTTATAACCTACAGAAACACAAATTCTTTGGATTGCAAAGCTCCACCACCTAATATGCTATAGATCAAGGTTCAAAAGAGAGCTCCCTGGAAAACTCCTTGGTGTTTTGTTCACTGAAATATTATTTAAGGAGAACATATTTTATTTTAATGACTGTCATTGCTGGCATCCGAACTCTAATTCCCAAGGCATCCTCAAATTATCATCTGCATCACTTCATTACTTTTTAAGAGTGTAAGTGGGTCATGAGACCAGAAGGTTCAAGAACTGCTGCCTTAGGGTATATACCACACTAGTAATGTTCATTTGTGTTCAAATGACTATTTTTCAAAGTATTTGGAGTATCCCTTCCTGCACACTTATGTTATGATCTAGATATACAGATCCATTTACTTTGTTTTGCTGTTGATGTCTAGGATTGGACTTTTTAATGTTTGGTTCTATCATTACATAAAATATTTTTACATAGTCCCAAGGTCAAATCAAATTATATCCAAAGAAATCTTTCTCCTTCATGCTAATAGCCTCTCTTGCCTTAGAGTAATAATTTTAAAGGTTATGATATATCCTTCTGTTGTTTATTATAAGCATATATGTATGTATTCTTAGGGAATATTAACTTCATTTTGCTGTTGATGTCTAGGGATTGGACTTTTTAATATTTGTTTCTACCGTTACATAAAATATTTTTACATAGTCCCAAGGTCAAATCAAATTATATCCAAAGAAATCTTTCTCCTTCATCCTAATAGCCTCTCTTACCTTAGAGTAATAATTTTAAATGTTATGATATATCCTTCTGTTGTTTATTATAAGCATATATATATGTATTCTAGGGAAGATTAACTCGTATCACAGGAGAGGAGACTGGAAGTTGATACTATGCAAGATAAACTTTGTCACAGACAGTCACCTGTTCTTTGGAGGGCCCATTCATCTTTCCCAAAAATAATTTCCTCTCCCCTACATTGCCTACATCCCCCTTCCTGTCTTCCCTATGAAGACAGTATATAAGCTTCTAGATCTCACTGGGCTTGGGGGGCATTCACTTATTTTTCATGTGATACCTCCATGCACAAAATAAAATTTTTTTTTTTCGAGACGGAGTCTTGCCGCGTCTCCCAGGCTGGAGTGCAGTGGCGCGATCTCGGCTCACTGCAAGCTCCGCCTCCGGGGTTTAGGCCATTCTCCTGCCCCAGCCTCCTGAGTAGCTGGGACTACAGGCGCCCGCCACCATGCCCGGCTAATTTTTTTGTGTTTTCAGTACCGATGGGGTTTCACTGTGTTAGCTAGGATGGTCTCGATCTCCTGACCTCGTGATCCGCCCGCCTTGGCCTCCCAAAGTGCTGGGATTACAGGCGTGAGCCACCACGCCCGGCCACAAAATAAATTTTTATATCTTTCTCTTATTAATCTGCCTGCTGTCAATTTATTTCATACACTTAATTATCAAACCCTCAGAGGGCAGAGGGAGTCTTCCCTCCCCTACAGTTCCAATCAGATTGTTTTCTAGTTAGCATGAGGGTTGATCTAAGATGTCTGGTCTACCATTACTGAAAATAATTACTAAAAATAGAATCAATGGTATAGTATTTGTTAACATGTTTTAAAAATATCAATAACTAAATTATCATAGGGCTTCCAATTCTTAAAATCTTCAAAATGCAGTTGTATAAAATGATATAGATCAGTGCCGTCATACTCTCTGGTCCAGGGATGGGTTTCCCATATAAATAATTCAAATTCTCACTAACGATGTTTAAGTTAGGAAATTAGTTGCCATGTTGGTTCAGTTGTGTATCACCACCAAAGAAGTGAGTTGCTAAATTAAATATAAATAAATACTTAGCCATAGAACTAGAGGAAAAGATTAAACAATGTATTGTTGGATCAAGAAATCATGTTTCAAAATTTAAATCAATGACTTTTATAGTTCAAGTGTCTGTGAAGTCTAAAATAAAAATACAGACATTAATTGCACTACCTTATTGGTAGAAGAAATAGCAAGTACCTTAAAAAGTGCATGTCATATTGGAATCAAATCTCTTGAAGGCTAGGCTAGTGGTAAAAGAAATAGTAGGTACCTTAGAAACTACATGTCATATTTGAATCAAATCTCTTGAAGGCTAGGCAATTCATCTTGACTATATTTTTGTCACCAAAGAGCTTAATATTGAACCATCAAAATATATTCACTTTACCATCTGGGACATTTTAATCAAACCTCTCATCTGTTCAATCACATCTTTCACTTCAGAAAGAACTTTCACTTCTGCCTTGTTTTTCAGAACTATCTATAGCCACCACTTTTCACATTAAGATGATCCTTCTCAAGCCATCAGAGAACTAAGTGACATCTGCAATGAAATGGCTTCACCACTTCTGTCCTCGGGTAATTCTGCAATCTATTTTTGCTGGATCCAATCCCTGAAGACCATCCTGCCTTTCTAAGGGATGCTTCTCCCTTTCAGCTACCTTCATGTCTTTTAATGCAATTGTTGCTTCTTTCTGTCCTGGTGTTGTACTTTGGCAGTGGTCACACCCATGGAGCACAGACTTCTACAAGGCACAAGGCATGACTTTGATTTTTCTGTTGTAATTTGATGGAATTGGCCAGGCGTGGTAGCTCATGCCTGTAATCCCAGCACTTTGGGAAGCCAAGGCAGGCGGATCACCTGAGGTCAGGAGTTGGAGACTAGACTGGCCAACATGGCAAAACCCTGTCTCTACTAAAAATACAAAAATTAGCCGGGCATGGTGGCGGGCGCCTGTAATCCCAGCTATTCGGGAGGCTGAGGCAGGAGAATCGCTTGAACCAGGGGGTGGAGGTTGCAATGAGCCGAGATCGTGCCATTGCACTCCAGCCTGGGTGGCAGAATGAGACTCTGTCTCAAAAATAATAATAATAATAATAATAATTGATGGAATTAAGAAATATTGAAAAATATATACCATTCACTGTGAGAAAAAAGTTCAACTCCTCAAACTGGGAATCTCAGTCCATTTTATGTATGAAGGTGATGGCCTGCACTAACCTTTTGAGGCTGCTATCATCCTATGCCTATTTTATGGGTGAAAAAATTGATGGACAGAGAAAGGGAGCATTTTCAGTATATCACCTAGAGAATCAGTGACAGAGTCAGTCTATGAATCTTGTGGTGGTGGGTGGCCTTCACTGTAGAAAGGATAGATTCCATGATCTTTTGTACCATCAAATAAAATACTTACAAACAAATGAGAATTAGCCATTTGTATTTGTTTTGTTTTAATAGTGCAAATAAGATGTCATTCTAGACCTAAAAAAATGTTTTTCTCCCTTTTGTTTCCAAATTTTAGGATAAAAGGCAAATAAAAATCTGTTCTTAGAGAACACTGGACAAATTCTCTTTGTGAGGGAGGATCAAGCAATTTCACCATATCATCATCACACAATAACTTTTGCCTTTCCTGTGGGAAACAAGCATGTATAGCAGTCTGCCTATTGAGTATTGTACTGAAATTAAGACACATTAAAATCTGTATGAAACTTTTTCAAAAGAGACTATTGAAAAATTGCAACTTATAGGTCACATAATGCCTGCAGACGCCCTCTATGTCATTTGTCTAAAATGTCTGCCAACTTGCAGCTGACCATTATTGCTGTCTTGAAAGCAGTGATGAAGTAACATGAAGTAACTTTAGATAGGGAATTATGAGCACTCTCTGTCTAAAGTAGTAGCCCCAGTAGAAAGAACCCCTTTGCTCACCCTCCTGGAGGGTGGGCAGGTTAGATCTGCCCAAGTAAAGAGCTGAAAAATCTCATTGTGGAAAAGACATAAATGTTTAATTATTTGCAATAAATTTTTTAAAAATGTAGCAGTTTAAACATTAACATATCCTCATTCTTAGTTTTTGTTTTGTTTTGTTTTTGTCTGCCTTATTGCTTATTATCAAATAACCAAACTTAGGCCTAGCCCAAAGAAGGGAGTCACCCATCTCTGACTCTTGTGGACTGTTGTCCATGTAGGAAGGCAGTTATTAAGGGCTAAATTGTGTGCCTCCCCATCCCCAATAAATGAACTCCTAATCCCCAGTACCTCAGAATGTAGCCGTAATTGTTGATAGAGTCTTTTTTTTTTTTTTTTTTTTTTTTTGAGACGGAGTCTTACTTTGTCGCCCAGGCTGGAGTGCAGTGGCGCAATCTCGGCTCACTGCAAGCTCCACCTCCTGGGTTCACGCCATTCTCCTGCCTCAGCCTCCCAAGTAGCTGGGACTACAGGCGCCCGCCACCATGCCCGGCTAATTTTTTGTATTTTTAGTAGAGACGGGGTTTCGTCGTGTTAGCCAGGATGGTCTCAATCTCCCGACTTCGTGATCCACCCGCCTCGGCCTCCCAAAGTGTTGGGATTACAGGCGTGAGCCACCGCGTGTTGATAGAGTCTTTAAAGAGGCAATTAAATGAAAACGAGGTAATTAGAGTAGGCCCTAATCCAGTATGACTGGTTTCCTTTTTTTTTTTTTTTTTTTTTTTGAGACGGAGTCTCGCTCTGTCGCCCAGGCCGGACTGCGGACTGCAGTGGCGCAATCTCGGCTCACTGCAAGCTCCGCTTCGCGGGTTCACGCCATTCTCCTGCCTCAGCCTCCCGAGTAGCTGGGACTACAGGCGGCCGCCACCGTGCCCGGCTAATTTTTTGTATTTTTAGTAGAGACGGGGTTTCACCTTGTTAGCCAGGATGGTCTCGATCTCCTGACCTCATGATCCACCCGCCTCGGCCTCCCAAAGTGCTGGGATTACAGGCGTGAGCCACCGCGCCCGGCCCTGGTTTCCTTTTAAGAAGAGGAAATTTGGGGCCAGGCATGGTGAGTCAGGCCTGTAATCCCAATACTCTGGAATGGTGAGGTGGGAGGATAGCTTGAGACCAGGAGTTCAAGACTCCGTCTCTTAAAAAAAATTTAAAAACTACAAAATAAGAAGAGGAAATTTGAACACAGACATGCACAGAGGAAATATGACCTGGAGACACAGGGAGAAGATGCCATCTACAAGCTAAGGAGAGAGAGAAGAAAGGAGGAGGAGTAGGAAAAGGAGGAGAAGAAGAGGAGAAGAAGGAAGGAGAAGGAGAAGAAGAAGAAGAAACCAACACTGCTATGTCTCAAAAAACAAAGAAACCAACACCTTGATCTCAGACTTCCAGCCTCCAGAACTGTGAAAAAATTAATTTCTGTTGTTTAAGCCACCCACTCTGTGGTACCTTGTTATGGCAGTCCTAGCAAACTAATACAGCAGTCAATACATTAATACAATATAATGCTACAGGTCCAATCCTTTGTCTCCTTATCTGTAGATCATAGATACCACTAGCACTTACCTCCCAGGCCTGGAAAAATAAATTAAGTAATGCATAATATCTAGAAGATAGTACACACTCAGTAAATGGCAGCTGATGACTAATGTTATTTTTTCCCCAATATGGCAAAAGCAAGATTTAAGTATCATATGGTTTAATCCTTGTGGGCAGATCATTAAATGCAGAGCCATAATGTAAATTCTGACATTCAGGAGTCCCTAACAGAGTATTAGAGCAAACTAAATCAAGAATTTTCAGATGTACAGGGAAATAAGCAAGATAAATATGTGAATAACAAAATATTGAAAATAGAAAAAGTGGATGTCGCACTGAAGCAGGTTGTTCTGATATTCCACATTAGTGAAGAACCTACCAAGCTGCCTAAACAGAGGGAAGGAGCATAGCCCTGGGAGCCCCTTGGAGATTGATATCCTACTCCATATTTGCTAGCCTGGTAACTTAAATACCTCAATGAGTGTGTAATTCTCTTGATTGTCTGCAAAATGGAGATAATAATAAAATCCCACTTTTCTTACAAGGACTTTATGAGATGATGTCCCTGCTTCCAAGCATGTTCTTGGAACCTGGATGAGGTGTATATATGAAAGTTACTGTGAAACAGTCATTACAATTTACTTTTCCTTTCAACAAAATAAGCTTGAGAAATAAAAGTAAGTATAATTTTGTAAATGTTCCACCACAATGTAAGCTTCTCCAGGTCATATATTTTTATATTTCCTGAGTTGGGCATACAATAGTGGCTCAAATAAATAATACATTAGTGAAACCAGTGTTTTCTCAGATCTGTATCAAGTACCACTAGAGTTGTGGAAAATGTTTATAAGTAGTTTATGAACTTTGCTTTTTTAAATGTTGGAACAGAGAATAAGAATATCATTCTCTTTTCTATTCTCTTTAAATCTTTCTGATTAACTGACTGGAAAAGTGTCAATTTGGTGCTAGTCGATGTTTAAGGCCTCTCTAACACTTGTTAATCTTTCCTCTCTCTCTTTTTTATTTTTCAATTTTATAACAAAGAGCAGTTTTTAGGCTCCAAGTAGTAGATAGCAAAGAGCATATAACTATAATTGAATATTATTGTTTTATTTTATGCTGTTTTATAGTTACCTTCTCTTTATTATCAGAAGTAGAAATTTTCCACTAGAATAGTGATGTAAAGCTTTTAAAATAAATTGATTTCATTTTCTACATAGTGTAGCTTGTATCCAAATACAGGAAAAAGAAAAAAAATTTTAAAGTGCTACTCACGTAACTGAAGTTTGAACAATACTACATAAAATAATATAACCAATGTCATAAAACCGGAAATGGCAAAAGATACTATGGTTATACATCCAGCCTTCTGTATATGTGCATTCTGCTTCCATGGTTTCAACCAACCAAGGATCCAAATATTTAGGGGAAAACATCAAAAATAACAACAATAAAAAAGTGATATGAAAAAACCACAATATAACAACTATTTATATATTATTTGCATGTTTTAAGTATTATACGTAATCTAGAGATGATTTAAAATATAGGGAAGATATATGTAGGTTATATGCAAATACTACACCATTTTATACAAGGGATTTGAACATCCAGGGCTTTTGGCATGCTAGAGGAACCAATTCCCCATGACGCTAAAGACTACAGTATTTTACATTATCTTTATAAATTATAAGTCTATTTATGTTATATGAAATATAAATTATGCTGTAATATTAACTGTAACTGCTATACGAATTCAGAAAGGGTAAATATTCTGGAATGCTATAATTTGGGGAAATTTTTTGGAAGAGCTATGACAAGGTTCAACCTTTATTCAAGAGTTATTACCTTTGTTCAAGAGTTATTACCTCTCAGAGCTATCTGAGGGTCAGGAATCTGGGAGCAGCTTAGCTAGATGGTTTTTACTCACTGTCTGTCTCTCATGAGGTTTCAGTCAACGACTGTGATTACCTAAAAGCTTGACTGGGACTGTAGCTTCCAAGTTGCAAGAAGAGGTTCCCTTATGTCACTGTTGGCTAGAGGATTCATTTTCTTCCCACACATCTCTAGAGGGCTACTCTTAATAAGGGCTGGCTTCCTTCCTCTAGAGTGAGTGATCCAAGAGAGATGGGCAATGATCAAGATGGAAATCTTTTATCTAATATTGGAAGTGACATACCATCACTTCTGCCATATTCTGTTGACCAACCCTGGTGCAATGTGGAAAGGGCTACCCAAAGATGCAAATATCAGATGCCATCTTTTAGGCTGTTTCCACAGTACACACTGAAAAATGTGTCTCTCAGCCCTTACAGGCATAATATCACCCGGGGAGTTTCAAATATACCAGATGCGGCCAGGTGCGGTGGCTCACGCCTGTAATACCAGCACTTTGGGAGGTCGAGGCAGGTGGACCAGCTGAGGTCGGAAGTTCTCAAGACCAGCCTGACCAACATGGAGAAGCCCTGTTTCGATTAAAAATACGAAATTAGCTAGGCGTGGTGGCGCTTGCCTATAATCCCAGCTACTTTGGAGGCTGAGGCAGGAGAATCGCTTGAACCCGGGAGGCAGAGGTTGCAATGAGCCGAGATTGCGCCATTGCACTTCAGCCTCGGCAACAAGAGCTAAACTCCATCTCAAACAAACAAACAACAACAAAAAAACAAACAAAAAAAAACTGATGTATAATTGAAAGGGCCATTTGATTATTACCTAATTATGTGGATAATGTACTACACAAGGAAATATGAGAGATTTCGCTGTCTTGCTCTGAGACAGGTAGAAATAAGAAGTTGCAGAACACTGAAATTCAGAAGTAGGGACATGTATCACATGGTGGGCATGGCTTTAAATGTTTGAAACAGTCTTATTTGTCACAGGCCCATGTTTGTGGTGTTTCTGATGCTCCCAAACTGGACACACATTCAAAATTCGTGATTCTCCCACCAGCATTTGTTTAGTTCAGGAAGCTGTGGGGAAAGAGTACTATTCTGGGGGAAAAAAAGGCAACTGCTGAGAGTGAAAGACTTTGAGTTCCCATATCTTTAGGGAAGGGTCTGGCACTTATTTGGGATTCTTCATACCCTGACTCACCCTGGGAGGTTTTCCTTCCTTATGTCCTTTCTGAGAAGTTGAACAAAGAAGTAATGACACATGTGGAGTGCCTTGCATGTTGTCCCTTTAAAGTCCAGGATCAGGGGGTTAAGATGAGTACAGCTGGTCACACAAAACCCACAGCTTTCTACAGCTATTAAAAATTTGAAATATAGGACAATACTATCCAAAGATACTATAGTGTCATATAAGTTCCTACACATTCTTGAAGCTGCTTCCCCATTTCTGTTACTCCACTTCCAGCGACTTTTCTCCTTGTTCCCTCTGTTCCAGCCACATTGACCACTTTGCTGTTCCTTGACTAATACCAAGTATCTCTCCTTCCCACAAACACCTCAGGGCCTCTTTACTTATTCATTTTTTATTCTGCCTACAATCCCCAAAGGCCCACTCCCTCATCTCCTCATCTTTTTAAAAATTTCACCTTCTTGATGAACATTCTGTAATTATGTTATTTAAAATAAGAAATACAAAGCCTATCTTTCTTTTCTGCTTTATTTTCCTCCCCAACATTTAATATTATCTTACATCATAAAAGATATATATTTTTTGTTCCCTTATTAGAAAATAAACTGTGAGTGCATAACTTTTTGTCTGTTTAGTTCACTATAATATTTCTGGTCTAGAAGAGTTTCTGGCACACAGCATGTGCTCAAAAAGTATCTACTGAAAGTAAAAAAAGAACTGGAAAGCAGCACTGCATGGGCGGAGCTTTGTGATTCAGTTTGATAGATAGGCGAGGGTGCCCTAAGCCTTTCAAATGCTGAATAAATATATAAGATTCCTCTTTAATATATATGAAATATGTGTATAATCATAATTCACAAAGTATTCTCACTGATCCTTACAATGGTCACATGACTATGAATTGCTGTTATCTCCAACTTACAAATATAGAAGCTGGGTGTCAAAGAAACCAAAATCTTGACCTCCTGAAGTGGTCATTTGTTTTAGGAGTTGGTCTCCTAATTTCAACACTGAGTACCAGTGTAAGTCCCATAGGCCAACCATAAAAGAGAAGACAGGTAATGTGGGTTAAAAATAGATTACCAAAAATTAAAAAAAAGAAAAAAATGGATTACAAAACAAAAATATTAAAGACAAATAGAAGACTATGTAGAAACAAATTGTATTTCTGAGATTATTGGTTCTAAAGGAACTGAAATTATAAAGATACAGGAAAGACAAGAAGGTCTCTGCTTGCTCATAGGCAGGGTGTATATGTGTGGGAATGGTTCAAACAGGAAGGAACTCTAGAGAAGCTTCAAGACAGAAAAACAATGCAAATTTTAAGACATAAAAAAGGTTTCAGGGGAAGTAAGACTTGGGATTGGCCTCAAAGTGTGGACAGAATTTGAATGGTGAACCAACAGTGACTACAGAAATGGAGGACAGCTATAAGAAACATTTCAGGGAATAATAATTGTACTTTGTGAGCCTAATATTATTTCATTCCTTGACTGTATCAGTAACAGTACTAATTTCAGATTGAATAATGTGGGTGGATCTAGTAAAGCAATAGACTTCTTCTTTCTCTTTTTTTTTTTTTTTTTTTTTTTTAGTTGGAGTCTTGTTCTGTTGCCCAGGCTGGAGTAGAGTGGTGTCATCTTGGCCGACTGCAACCTCCACCTCCCAGGTTCAAGTGATTATCGTGCCTCAGCCTCCCGAGTTGCTGGGATTACAGGCGCATGCCCACCAGGCCTGGCTAATGTTTTTGTATTTTTAGTAGAGACGAGGTTTCACCATGTTGGCCAGGCTGGTCTTGAACTCCTGACCTTAAGTGATCTGCCCACCTTGGCTTCCCAACAGGCTGGGATTACAGGCATGAGCCACAGCGTTGGCCTAGCAATAGACTTCTGTAAATGTTTCTAGCAACATTTTGGAAGTTGGAGAGAAGACAGTCACTAGCTTTGTCTGCAGACTTGGCTGCTTAACTGTCCTTGGCGCCTTAACTGTCCTTGGCTCTCTGAGCTCATAAATTCAGCCTAGATTTTGTGCTTTTCATTCACATAGGCCCTTCTAAGGCCTCCAGCTTTTTGATGAGAAAAGATTGACTAATACCTAGAAAAACAACAAAGGTGTTAGGTTTCATGATCCTGGTATCTGACAGTCTGTAGAACAATTGGGACTTGTATTTCCACACTGATTCCTGGAAAAGGCAAAATGGCTTTCCCAGCCTAAAAACTGGGAGACTGCACTTCTCTCTTGGAGAAAAGGCCTTCTCATGACTCTCCCACTTTCACATTTCAAAAAGATTGCCTTTTTGTTTAGAATTTCCCCCTTATTACAGAAAAAAACAGTAAGGAGAATATAGAGTGAGATGAAATGTGGAGCTGACTCAGAAAAGAAACTGACCTACATTCTAAACTCTTAACCAAGAAAAAATTTGATCATATTAAAATTATGGTAAACAAATGCCATTCCTTATAATGATGAGACATTAAAGGTGAGGAAAACATGAAGCATAATCAATTTACATCTTAAATTAGAGGAACTTCATAGGACAGGTGTGAAAGTGGGGAGAAGCGTGGAGTACTTTGGTCTACTTAGGACAAATGTAGAAAAAAGTAATTAGTAGAAAAATTCCATCTGCCAGCATGGCATCTGGATTAGCAAGGAAGGATCCAAACCTCATTTCTAACTGGTGGGAAGAGGTAATATAAATTGGTTCTAATTTCTTTCCTTCCTCTTTCTCCATTTTAATCTCAACACCTTTAGGTCATTTTGTGCAAATTAGGCAAGAAAGCACATTCCCTGCTTTCATGTTATAAAAGAAAAATTGAAAGAGAATGCCACCTGGATTACATGGTAGTCACTGAGTATCCTACCAGGTGGCCTGAAAATTGTGGTGTAACCTGCAAAACGTCCAGTGATATTTCAGTAGAGGTTGATAGGACTTTTACTTTAAATACTTGGTTTTCTAGACAATAACTCAACAGGGGATTCTCGGTGTTGAAATTGAGCCTGGATAAGTGAAATTCGCACAATAAAACTCCCGTTTTGTGTATTTGACGTTTGTAACATAAAATACTTAGTAGCAGATAATATTGGAAATATCATAAGGCCACAATGTATCTTTTGCATAAATTAAGAAGCATTTATGAAAGGCTTTAGGTTAAAGCTAACTGAACATTTCAAAACTAGGGATAAACGAGCGTCAGTTCTATTTAGGAAGTGTGAATATCTCTGAAAAGAGTCCTTAGGGTGTGGGTCAGGAAGAACCTAGTGGAGTGTGAGTCAGGAAGAACCTAGTGGGGTTCCAAGTGGACGAACCAGCAAGGAGCTCACTTGGAGCTGGTGTGCTTGGTTACGGCTTTGGTGCTCTCGGACACAGCATGCGTGACAGGCGAACAGCCGTCTGGATCTCCCTGGAGGTGATGGTCGAACGCTTGTTGTAACGCGCCAGGCGGGAAGCCTCGCCCGCAATACGCTCGAAGATGGCATAACGAAGGTGTTCAAGATCCCCATTGCTTTGGACGAGATGCCGGTGTTGGTGGACCTGCTTCAGCACCTTGTACAAGTACACGGAGCAGCTCTCCTTGCGGCTGCGCTTTCGCTTCTTGCCTTAGTAATAGTCTTCTTGGAACCCTTTTTCGGGGCTGTGGCCGACTTGGTGGGGTCAGGCGTGTTGTAGTTTAACTGCAGAAAGGGTACAAGGAATAGGAAAAAGCGGCCGGGCGCGGCGGCGCACGCCTGTAATTCCAGTACTTTGGGAGGCGGAGGCGGGCGGATCACTTGAGGTCAGGAGTTCGAGAGCAGCCTGAACAACATGGCGAAACCATGACTCTTCAAACAAATGTAAAAAATTAGCTGGGCGCGTGATGCACTCCTGTAACCCCAGCTACTGGGGAGGCTCAGGGAGGAGGATCGCTTCGGCCAGGAAGGCGGAGGTTGCGGTGAGCCACGATCGCGCCACTGCTCTCCAACCTGGGCGGCAAAGCCAGACCCTGTCTCAAGGGAAAAAAAAAAAAAAAAAAAAAAAAAAAGTCGCCGGGCGCTGTGGCTCACGCCTTTAATCCCAGCATTTTGGGAGGTTGAGGCAGGTGGCTCACCTGAGCTCAGGGGTTTGAGACCAGGATGACCAATATGGTGAAACCCTGTCTCTACTAAAAAATACAAAAATTAGCCGGGCTATGGTGGCTGACGCTTGTAATCTCAGCTACTCAGGAGGCCGAGGCAGGAGAATCACTTGAACCCAGGAGCGGACGTTGCAGCGACCGGAGATCGTACCACCGCACTCCAGCCCGGGCGAGAGGGAGACCCTGTCTTAAAAAAACAAAAAAAGAAGAAGAAGAAAAAGCTGTGTGTTGTAACGTCCTGTTCACGAATTCTTATGCAAATGAGGTGATTAATAAAATAGTGTGTAGGACTGGTGGCGATTCTAGATGACGTCATATACACGTTTGTCCAATCCAAAGAAGCATGTTTCATAACAGCGATTCCATTGGTTGAAATAAAACTGTAATTTGAGCCAATGGCACAGCTTTATTTTCGCGCCCAGTATTGACTATAAGTAGTGGAGCTCTGGTGAACTTCTCTCGGCTGTTCTCAGTTCCTCCATTTATCGTTTCTTCGTCATGTCGGGACGCGGCAAGCAGGGAGGCAAAGCTCGCGCCAAAGCCAAGACCCGCTCTTCTCGTGCCGGTCTCCAGTTCCCCGTGGGCCGAGTGCACCGACTGCTCCGCAAGGGCAACTATGCTGAGCGGGTCGGGGCCGGCGCGCCGGTGTACCTGGCGGCGGTGCTGGAGTACCTGACTGCCGAGATCCTGGAGCTGGCGGGCAACGCCGCCCGCGACAACAAGAAGACCCGCATTATCCCGCGCCACTTGCAGCTGGCCATCCGCAACGACGAGGAGCTCAACAAGCTGCTGGGCAAAGTAACCATCGCTCAGGGTGGTGTCCTGCCCAACATCCAGGCTGTGCTACTGCCCAAGAAGACCGAGAGTCACCACAAGGCCAAAGGCAAATAATGTCTCCATAGAATCACTTTCCAATACAACGGCTCTTTTCAGAGCCACCTACTATTTCTGCGGGAGAGCTGGGCCACTGGTTAAACATTTGGAACGTTTGTTATGAAAAGATAAAGCATTTTTCATCTAGAGCTTAGGAATGACTTTTAGGAAAAACCTTACAGGATTCAGGTGACATGTTTAAGTCAGAATGTGAACTAGTTATTTAATGTAGGGCTTACAAGAATGTTCGCTGTGTTTATTCATCTCGTGTTATATGAACTAGAACCAATAAAAAAAAATCCAGAGCCAGGCTCAGTGGCTCACGCCTGTAATCCCAGCACTTTTGGAAGCTGAGGCGGGAAGATCGCTGGAGCTCATGAATTCGAGATCTGCCTGGGCATCATAGCGGATACAAAAATTAGCCGACCGGGGTGGTGCACGCCTTTAGTCCTAGCACTTCACAGAGGCTGAAGTGGGACGATCCCTTGAGCCGGGGAGGCTGAGGCTGTAGTGAGCCGAGACCACGCCACTGCACGCCAGCCTGGGTGACAGCGAGAACCTGACTTGAGGAAAAAAAAATAATCCAGTACAGAATGACACGGTCATATCAAATTGGCATGTAATAGAGACCCCATCTTGAAACTTGCTACTATATTGTCTTGTGCGTTGATAGCATATTATATTAATGCCGAACACATTAGTGACGCCGAAGTAGCTGGTGCCTAAATGGCTTAAACGCGGAAAAACCACATACAGATGATGGAACAAAAACTGGCCAATCAGATTATAGAGCGGGCTTTTTAAAATATAAGAAGCTTCTTTGTAGCTAGGCGTCTGACAAAAAGCTTGACACCAACTTAACAAAAACCAACGGCTGGAATTCATACTCTAATAACAGACTGCATGGGTAAACTACGTGGGGAGTCCAACCAACACCCTGGACTCTTGCTTGCCTTGCGTTACTCGATTAGGGTTGAGGGAGAACTGCCCGAGATTTTTCGAATGCAAGGAATCTTGCTGCCTGATCTAACATGTTGTGCACAGCCATTTTTTAGAGGTCTCTGGGTGGCTCTGAAAAGAGCCTTTGGGGCTTTGTTGCGGTTTTCACACGCCAGCTTCCTACTTCTTTTTGGCAGCCGCCTTCTTGGCCTTTGCAGCTTTAGGTTTTGCTGCTTTGGGCTTAGCGGCTTTGGGCTTTGCCGCCTTCGGCTTAACTGCCTTGGGCTTGGCAGGACTCTTGGTTGCCTTTTTCGGTTTGGCAGCGGCCTTGGCCTTCTTAGGGCTCTTCGCCACCTTTTTGACGCCAGCCGCCGCGGGCTTCTTCGCCTTCTTCGGAGTCTTCTTCACTGCCTTTTTCGCCCCTGCAGCCTTCTTGGCCTTCTTAGGCGTGGCCCCCGCGGGCTTCTTAGCTTTAGCGGCGCCTGCCTTCTTGGCTTTGGGCTTGGCTTCCCCGGAGGCCGCCTTCTTGTTGAGTTTAAAGGAGCCAGAAGCACCAGTGCCCTTGGTCTGCACCAGGGTGCCCTTGCTCACCAAGCTCTTGAGGCCCAGCTTAATGCGGCTGTTATTCTTCTCCACGTCGTAGCCACCGGCCGCTAAGGCCTTCTTAAGGGCTGCCAAAGAAAGGCCATTGCGCTCCTTAGAAGCAGCCACAGCCTTGGTGATCAGCTCTGAGACTGGGGGCCCCGTCGCTTTGCGCTTAGCAGCGCCGGCGCCGGCAGCCTTCTTAGTTGCCTTCTTCTTAGCCGGGGATTTCTCCACCGGCGCTGGGGTGGCTGTCTCGGCAGGAGCGGTTTCCGACATGGTGGCAAGAAACTGCTAGAAGAGAATAAGCTCGAAATCTAAAGAGCAGGTTTTGCGTTGCTGCTATGCTCGGGCCCCGGGCTTATATAAGCCGGCGCTGCCCTGTGATTGGTGGAGCGTCCAATCCACCGCCCTCTGGCCGCCGCCGCTCGCGGTTGGACTCCCAAATTGTGTTTGTTAGTCCTCAAAATTTGATTAAATGCTTAAAACAATGGTACAGAATTTGGCACTTTGAAGCTCCAAAGGAGGAAAACAGCCTCCAGGTTCACATACTTGTTTGTGTTTTCAAGAATCTTGTGCAATTGATGAAAGATATTTTAAAAAATCCCTTCAGCTTTTCATAAGAATCCATTGGGCTGAGGGCATCATGTTAGTTAGTAGCGTGTCGCGATAAATTTCTACTAAGTATCCAGTGAAAGTTATTTTTAAAAATTTGCCCATGAGTTCATGCTTTGATTTTTGCAAGAGAAAAGACACTGGGTTCCTTGGTTTGGGCATGAAGTTTGTTTCTAACTGTAGCAAGTAACACAGGCACAGGACAGCTGGTTGCCTACAGCCCCAACTTAACCACATAGACTTGACTTTACAAACTGGTTCTGTGTCCTAGGAGTTTCCATGTGCTAATGTCTTTACAGAATGGGATTTTGCAGCTTGGAAGAGTTCCACAGTCAGAGTGACTTCTTCTGCATTGCAGCACCAGTAATACAAATCGCTTTGACTTAAGGATCTAACTACTCAGATTCACATTCAAACTTAAATGTGTTATGTTTTCTAATTAGAGTGTTTTCTCTTTTTAGTTCCTGGGCAAATCCATTAAAAAAGGGGAAGAAAAATAATATAGATAATTCAGTTTAGAGAAAACTCAAACTTGTGGAAAATTATTCAAGAGCTCCCAGTGATCCTCAAATGCACAAACTGTTTAGGTGGCCCAGGACACTGTCAGGTTTTCGAAATGTTCTCACTGCTCCCCCTGAATCTCCACCCACATTTAACAAGCTGCACCATCAGGAATACTCTCTTCTATGAGCAGCCAGGATACATCAATATGGGTATTTTTGTGTGTTTTAGCGCTAATATTTTAGAAGAATATCTGGCTATTGACTGTGAAAAGGTTGGATTGGATATTGAGCGACTTCACATTATAGAGGTTCAGAGGAACTCAGGAAAACATAGGCAAATACACTGAGGTTGAAATAAATGAAGTTTACAATTTATGGGAGGTGGAGGGGATTGGACAGGATGCCTGGATGATAAAAATGATCAAATGATGATTTGGATTCCTAATGAAATCAACAGTCACTTATTTCTCATTCTTGAAATGCTGTGCAAGAAAATTTAAAGTAGCCAATGCACTTCATCTTCTAAGAACTCCTGGAGAAGTTGGCAGACTATGGCCAAATCTGGACAATGGCTTTTTTCTGTATGGCCCTCAAGCTAAGAAGTGTCTTTATGTTTTAAAAGTATTGTTAAAAAAAAAAAAAACAAAAACAAAGGCTGGGCACGGTGGTTCATGTCTGTAATCTCAGCACTTGGGGACACTGGGATAGGTGGGTTGCTTGAGCTCAGGAGTTGGAGACCAGCTTGGGCAACTTGGTAAAACCCCATCTTTAATAAAAATACAAAACATTTTGCTGGATGTGGTGGCACATGCCTGTAGTCTCAGCTACTCGGGAGGCTGAGGTGGGAGGATCACTTGAATTCAGGGTGTCAAGGCTGCAGTGAGCAATGATAGCAGCACTGCACTCCAGCCAGGGCAATGGAGCAAGATCCTGTCTCGAAAAAGCAAACTAACTAAAAACTAAAGAGTGTGTGACAGAGACTATATATGGCCTTTAAACCCTAAGCTATTTATTACCTAGCCCTTTTGCTGTGTTATAAATTTCTCCACAGAGACACAGATATTGTATAGGCCTCTTACCGAACAATGCAAATTGAGAACTAAAGAAAAGGAGATCTTCATGAGCAAATGATCTAACCAAGCACTTTCCACTGTTCCAAACACAAAACTTAGAAGGTCCAGGAGAAAAAAACCCCAAAACTCCATGTGTAATGGAGCCAGGGTATAACAATAAGAGCTGACACTCATTCAGCATTTACTACCTGACAGGAAGTAATCTTAAATATGTTCTACAGGTTTCTATTAATTTGCTACATTTACAGCTATACAAGATGAGGCCCAGATAGAGAATTAATAACTTGTCAAAGGTTATACAGCTATGAAGTGGCAGCTCTAAATTTTAAACCTAGAAACATGGCCTCAGCTCTATTATGGAGGGAAAATCCTTGAAGAGGTGAGAAGAGAACTATCTTCAAAGCTTGGAAGAGGCAGTGTCAAGTTGTTCCTACACCTAGCAAACAGCCACTAAAAGAGCTCTAAGTTAATTGTGGGAAGAGGCTTCTGGCCCCATGGATCAAAAGTGTTTTTTTGTTGTTTGTTTTTCTGAATCAAATCTTAAGTTTCCAAAAACTTTATACCTGTATCCAACCCTTTGAATGTGAGGACTTTTTTGTTCATCTGTGATGGTGGATATCACAAAAATTATGCACAGACTTTTCTTTCTTTCCCTTCCTTCCTTTTTTTTTTTTTTTTTTTTTTTTGAGACAGAGTCTCACTCTGTCACCAGGACTGGAGTGCAGTAGCGTGATCTCGGCTCACTGCAACCTCAGCCTCCCAAGGAGCTGGGACTACAGGCGCCTGCCACTATGCCCAGCTAATTTTTTGTATTTTTAGTAGAGACGTGGCTTCACCATGTTGGCCAGGCTGGTCTGGAACTCCTGACCTCGTGATTCGCCCGCATCGGCCTCCCAAAATGCAAAGTGCTGGGATTACAGATGTGAGCCACTGCGCCCTTCCTTTTTCCTTCCTTCCTCCCTTCCTTCCTTCCTTCCTTTGTTTTCTTTCGTCAGCTATCTTTAGTGATCCTGTATTTTAGGTGTGGCCCAAGACAATTCTTCTTCCAACGTGGCCCAGGGAAGACAAAAGATCGGACACCGCTGCACCAGTTGCTGGGATACATGCCTCTTTGCAAGAGTGAATCCAATATGAGAAAGGAAGGCACAGATATGAGGCTGAGCTGGCTGAGAGCACTAGGGAGAAAAATTGCCTTCACATCTCTGCCAGATATCTCCTAGGTCAAGATGTGTGCTTCAAAAAGTTTAAGAGCAAAATGAGGTCATGATAGTCACATATGTAGAGCACATGAGGAAACTCTAAAACAGCTGGAAATAATGGAAAAGTTTGGTTAGAAACCAGGAAGAGCTTTAAAATACCACTTGAAGTTTAATACCCAGACTGATTCTCTCTGAAAAAAAAAAAGAAAGAAAAAATCTCATGAAAATCCAACTCCACAGTCTATGACAAGCATATGGTGAAATGACAGGAAAATATTTTTTAAGGTCCACTTAGAGCTAGAAGTTCATTTCATAGATGACAGCATGCAGTAGGTTAAAGTATCCCTCCTCAGAGGCCCACTACCTAACACATGGCTTGCTAAACATTACATTGAAACAGAACAAAAGTGTCGAGCTTTTTGTCAAAACTGTTACTTGCATGGGGTACGATGGCAACTTTGTTATGTGCATATGCTCCAAGGTGGTCAAGTTACATGGGCTATACAAGAGCTAAATAGCTTACATTGTACCAATTAAGTAACTTATCATTCATTCTTTCCTCCCTTCTGAGTCCTTATTGTCTATTGTTCCACTCTCATGTGTGTAGTTTTTAGAGCCTGTTGTTTTTTGTATTTTTGAGGCGGAGTCTCGCTCTGTAGCCCAGGCTGGAGGGCAGTGGCGCGATCTCGGCTCACTGCAACCTCTGCCTGCCAGGTTCAAGCGATCCTCCTGCCTCAGCCTCCCGAGTAGCTGGGACTACAGGCGCGTGCCACCACGGCCGGCAGTCTTTTTTTTAGTGGACAGGGGGGTTTCACCGTGTTAGCCAGGATGGTCTTGATCTCCTGACCTTGTGATCCGCCTGCCTCGGCCTCACCAGAGCCTGTGGACACTCATTGTGCTACTTGTTCCCTTCAGTAGGGGCAGGTAGATACGCAGGAGACACATTCCTCAAGGATAAAAACAGGAATACTTTTCAAAACTAAACTTCATCTGTAAAATTGACCCCATGACATGTCTTTTTTGAGTGATAATCCTTATCAGTAGGAACAGGTTCTGTATGTGAAATTGATTTAGCATACCAACAGCCTGTGACCTGACTCCTGCATTATAGTGTGTTGGGCCACTACCACGTTTTGTCCACAGCTTGTATTTAACATGGAGCTAAGACACGTCTCAAAAGCTACAGCTTCCTTTTGGTGACAATTGAGGGGCTCTGAAAAGAGCCTTTTGGGGTTGGACAGACTTCTTGGGCTGATAGGAATATTTATGCCCTCTCCCCTCGGATGCGGCGCGCAAGCTGGATGTCTTTAGGCATAATAGTGACGCGTTTGGCGTGAATGGCGCACAGGTTGGTATCCTCAAATAGCCCCACCAGGTAGGCCTCGCAAGCCTCCTGCAGCGCCATCACCGCCGAGCTCTGGAAGCGCAGATCGGTCTTAAAGTCCTGTGCGATCTCCCGTACCAAGCGCTGAAAAGGTAGCTTCCGGATTAGCAGCTCGGTCGACTTCTGGTAGCGGCGGATCTCGCGCAGGGCCACGGTGCCGGGGCGGTAGCGGTGGGGCTTCTTGACGCCACCGGTGGCCGGAGCGCTCTTGCGAGCCGCCTTGGTGGCCAGCTGCTTGCGCGGCGCTTTGCCGCCGGTGGACTTGCGAGCTGTTTGCTTTGTTCGTGCCATGGCTAAGTAGACGTACCTACTCAACACAAATGAGAGAAAAAAACTGATCATCCCGGTATTTATAGCTGCCCTCGCGTTCTGATTGGACAGTAGACTGTGCCATGCCACGTCTCACACACGGAATTGGCTCCCAGTTTAATCTGCTAGTGAAAGGGAGACATTCCGCCTCTGTTTTGGGTCAAGAAACGTAAAATGGTTTTGCTAGCTAAAGAAAAACAAAAACGGAAACAAAAAAAAATCCCCCAAAAGTCTAGGATTTTTCATGCATCAAAATCCTGTTTAAATATAAGCTTGATAAATCTAAACTTGCCTTGCACTATTTTAATTACGAGGTGTCATTACTGATTTGACAAAAAGTTAAAGAACGTAAAGGAAAAGTGAAACTAGAGTAAATTTGTAAATGGAGGCATTGAAGGGGATATGAAATTCGAGCGTTGTGGTATGCCAGTATTTCTCAAATTTAAACGTACTTAATGTTTTAGAAGTTGGCCGACTTTTTCTGTAAAGGGCGATATTAAAACATTTTGGGCGTTGCGGACCACAGTGTCATAGTTACACAGCCCTCGCATTGGTAGCGGTAAAGTAATCGATACAAGATAAATGAGACCGGCTGTTTCATTATGACTTTTGCAAAAACCAGAGAGGCGTTATAGATTTGGCCGTGTATCAGAGAAGCCGGCACTTTTAACCACTAAGTAATGCTGAAAGGGGCACCGAACCTCAAACTTCAGCGACTGCTTATGTGGAATCGCTAATTTGCCAAAACTGCCATACGTTTAAGTGTTCTTAAGAAATTAACTATCTTTAGTCTACAGCTCTTTCACAGACTTCATGGGTGGCCCTGAGAAGGGCCTTTGAGGAACCGTGTAAGTAAGTAAAACACTCAGCCGCCAAAGCCATACAGGGTGCGGCCCTGGCGCTTGAGCGCGTAAACCACGTCCATGGCTGTGACTGTCTTGCGTTTGGCGTGCTCCGTGTAGGTAACTGCATCGCGGATTACATTCTCCAAAAACACTTTAAGAACTCCGCGTGTCTCCTCGTATATAAGGCCTGAGATGCGCTTAACGCCTCCACGCCGTGCCAGGCGTCGGATGGCGGGCTTGGTGATGCCCTGAATGTTGTCGCGCAGAACTTTGCGGTGGCGCTTAGCGCCTCCTTTGCCCAGACCCTTCCCGCCTTTGCCGCGCCCAGACATGTCTTGTACTAAACAAAATGCAACACGGCAAGCCTCGCAGCAGTACTTTATATAGTAATAAATCGGACCTGATTGGGAACTCTCCACACCAGCTGCATCCGGTCGGCCGATTCACAGACCTTGCGCCCTGCCCACGACTTCAGGAAAAAATGGAAAAGGGGGTACTTAAACTCCAGTTTCTAAAAATGATGCCCAGTTAAAAATTACTCAGCTCATCTTGCCCTTCTACAGTGTTTTAGGCTGACCACCGCTGCATTCCATTGTCTGGGTCTTTGCAGCCTGTTTTTCCTGTCACCTCTTAGCATCGATTGTTCTAGTGCTTTGTGGCTGCTGGAATCAAATGGCGCCATCTCTAGAGGGGTAATCACAGTCGTTTCGGGCATTTGTGAAATAGCGTGTAGAAACTGCTTCCGTACAAACTCGAAGTGATCAGCCTATGGAGTGGCTGACTGCAAAAGACGACGCCTGATGATAGCTCCAAGGTGGGATTCCTCACCTTTCTCAAATTTGGTTCTCTATTCTTTTCCTTATATTTTACTCTTTCTGTAGCTGTCCTTTCTGTTCCTTTCTCTCCCTCGCCAACCACATTTTTGGGGCAAGAACTTTCTATTTTTTTTTCCTCATTCCACCTAGAAACACTTCAGGAAGCTGTTTGAGAAAGAAAGGTGGCTTTTACCCTGTATTTCCTTAGAATTGTGAAGGTGCCGCTTGAGCTCCCTCATGTTCCTCTTTTCTGTTGAACTAGGAAATCAGCTGTGCCCAGAAACCCTGTCTTTTACATTTACAAATAAAGTGCAGGAGGAAAAGACCGAGGATGACTTTATTCCAAGAAAAAGAGTTTCAAATGGCCGGACGCGGTGGCTCACGCCTGTAATCCCAGCCAGAAGGGAGGCCGATGCATGTGGATCACAAGGTCAGGAGTTCGAGACCAGCCTGGCTAAGATGGCGAAACCCCTTCTCTACTAAAAATAAAGAAAATTGGCCTGGCGTGGTGGAGGGCGCCCATAATCCCAGCTACTCAGGAGGTTGAGGCAAGAAAATCGCTTGAACGCAGAAGGCGGAGGTTGCAGTGAGCCAAGATCGAGCCCCTGCACTCCATGCACTCCAGCCTGGGCAACAAAGTAAGAGTCCGTCTCAAAAAAAAGTTTCAAATAAATGTTGTGTGACCTTCCTGACCTAGGCTGGCTCTGCCTTGCCCTGCCTTCCAGCTATCAGATTTCGTTTCTCAGTAATGTTTACCTTTTATATTTCAAATGTGTATGATTATTTACCTCTTTAGCAAATATCTAATTTTATTCTAAAAATCAGTCTCTGCAAGTACATTATGAACTACTCTATGATTACTGTATGTGCAAAACATTACATACTCATGTTGTAATAGTTAATCAGTTTCTCACTGAGCTAGGCTGGCCTCTTTTTCCTTTTTTTTTTTTTTTTTTTTTTTTTTTTGACAGAGTTTTGGTCTTGTCACCCCAGGCTGGAGTGCAATGGTGAGTTCTCTGCTCACTGCAATCTCCCCCTCACGGGTTCAAGCGATTCTCCGCCTCCCGGATTCAAGCGATTCTTCAGCCTTAGCCTCCTAAGTAGCTGGGATTAAAGGCACCCGCCACTACGCTCGGCTAATTTTTGTATTTTTAGTAGAGACGGGGTTTTGCCGTTTTGGCCAGGCTGGTCTCGAACTCCTGACCTCACGTGATCCGCCCACTTCGGCCTCCCAAAGTGCTGGGATTACAGGCGCGAGCCACTGCTCCCGGCCTTATTTTTTGTATTTGTAGTAGAGACGGGGTTTCAGCGTGTTAGCCTGGATGGTCCCTATCTCCTGACCTGGTGATCCACCCGCCTCGGCCACCCAAAGTGGTGGGATTACAAGCGTGAGCCATCGCGCCCGGCGATTAACCTCTTTTTTGTTATTAGTTCAGGCTGTGACCCTTATGGTCTCACAACTTCTGTACCCTACAGCATTGACATCTGTGTTTTTCAGAGGTGTAAATTTTTTTTTTTTTTTTTTTTTTTTTTTTTTGAGGCAGGCTCTTGGTCTGTCACCAAGGCTGGAGTGCGATCTTCCCACCTCAGCCTCCCCAGATCCTGGGACTACAGGTGTGAGCCACCACCCATTCCCGGCTAATTTTTGTACTTCTTGTAGAGATGGGGTTCCACCATGTTGTCCAGGCTGGTCTCAAACCCCTGGGCTCAAGCAATCCACCTACCTCGGCCTTCCGACGTGCTGGGATTACAGGTGTGAGCCACCACATCCGGTCCCTACTAAATTTTCTATGTTAAATCGTTAAATCAGATACTTTGTTAGTTCTCTTCTCCTACCAGCATGCAAACAAATAGATTTTTTAATTTAAAAAGAAAGTTTGTGGCCGGGCGCGGTGGCTCACGCCTGTAATCCCAGCACTTTGGGAGGCCGAGGCGGGCGGATCACGAGGTCAGGAGATCGAGACCATCCCAGCTAAAACGGTGAAACCCCGTCTCTACTAAAAATACAAAAAAATTAGCCGGGCGTAGTGGCGGGTGCCTGTAGTCCCAGCTACTTGGGAGGCTGAGGCAGGAGAATGGCGTGAACCCGGGAGGCGGAGCTTGCAGTGAGCCGAGATCCCGCCACTGCACTCCAGCCTGGGCGACAGAGCGAGACTCCGTCTCAAAAAAAAAAAAAAAAAAAAAAAGAAAGAAAGTTTGTTTCATTTAAATTAAGTACTTTTTAAATGACTCCTTTTTGTTTTCCTCACATGATAATGTTAATTGAAATGACAGTTGCTCAGTATATCCTTGTTGTTTAATCGGGATAAATTGTGTATTCTCGTCACGTTAAAAAAGAGTGGTACTGCCCTAGGCAGGTGGATCTCTTGAGGCCAGGAGAGTGAGACTAGCCTGCCCAACATGATGAAACCTCGTCTCTACTAAAACACAAAAAATTAACTGGGCATGGTGGCCTGTGCTTGTAACCTCAGTTACTCGCGAGGTTGAGGCACAAGAATCAGTTGAACCCAGGATGCAGAGGTTACAGTGAGCCAATATTGCACCATTGCACTCCAGCCTGAGTGACAGAGCAAGAAGCTGTCTAAAAAAAAAAAAAAAAAAAAAAAAAAAAAAAAAAAAAAAAAAAAAGTTGTACTTCTACCATGCTTCAAGATTGACTAGGAAAAAAGAAAACAAAAGAAATAAATAATAGAAATTAAAAAGATATTTTAAAAAGAGATTTAAAAGATTTACTTTTCCTGGCCAGGTGCGGTGGCTCACGCCTGTAATCCCAGCACTTTGGGAGGCTGAGGCAGGCAGATCACCAGGTCAGGAGATTGATACCATCCTGGCTAACAGAGTGAAACCCTGTCTCTACTAAAAATACAAAAAAATTAGCCGGGCATGGTGGCACGCACCTGTAGTCCCATCTATTCTGGTGGCTGAGGCAGGAGAATCGCTTGAACCCTGGAGGCGGAGGTTGCAGTGAGCCGAGATCGCGCCAGTGCACTCCAGCCTGGCCGACAGAGCGAGACTCCGTCTCAAAATTAAAAAAAAAAAAAACTTTTACTTTTCCAAGAGAAATGTTGCCAATGTTTTCATTTCCATATAATTCTTTCTATGCTTAAGCAAATGAATGAATGAAGTGTGCTTATCTTTTCGATGTTCTGAGGGATGCTTGCTGATCTGCAGTTGTCTCTGACAGTTTCTTAATGTCCTTACTTTAGAGTATTTTAACCGCCAAGTTTGCCCCTGCCTAGACAGAGCCGATTTATCAAGACAGGGGAATTGGAATAGAGAAAGAGTAACTCACGCAGAGCCAGGCATTCGGGGAGTACAGTTTTGTTTTTTAGCGGTAGCAAGGTTTATTGTGAAGAGCGAAAGGACAAAGCTTCCACAGCATGGAAGGGGATCCGAGGGGGTTGCCCGGGGAGTACAATTTTTTTTTTTTAGGTTTTTTAAACCCACTTTTATTAATTAATTGTAAGTAATATAAATAATCCAAAAATTTAAACAGACACTTAATGGCGTCCTGCATTACAAGTTTTTGAATGCAACAAATTTATCAAACCATGAATCTGTAAGCAAGGTAGTCAGAATCTCATAGCCCACTCACAGTGGAAAGCAGATCCCCTACCCTCCAAATGGCATCTTGAAGGGGGAAAGTGGCACAAAATGGAATATGATAAGCAAAAAAGCTGACGAGGCCCAAAGAGGAAGGTCCACTCCAGGGGCAGGCCCTACAACGTTAAAAGAATGGGGCAGCTGGCCCGACCTCTGGCCTCCTCTTCCTGGCTGAATGTAGATATTTACCAGCATTTAGAAAAAAGGATAAAAAGACAGAACTAAACCCCTGTTTAGGAAAAAGGGACCAAGGGACAGCAGTGGTTAAGTCATCCACTGAGGACCTGAAGGGGAAAATGGACTTACCTTTCTCATATATTTGGCCTGGCTAGGACACTGGGTGCCAGACAGCCTTCTGAGGGTATTTTCTTTCTAAATGAAGCCTCAGGAACAGGTAGGGGCAGCAGAATAGAATAGCATCCATTTCCCAGGGAAAGACTGCCTTTACATAGCACAAAGCAGCATCTGGGCCACTGTTGCCAGAGGTGAGTTTATACATTTACAAAATGCTTAAAATCTTTGGGAAGCAGAAGGAAGCTAAACAGAAGGTCCCAGGTTAACTGAAGGCAAATTCACTCAACCTCTTTAGTAAGGGACCCATGGGCTACCGAGCGTCCCCTCTACAATGTGCAGAGTGGAAACCCTTACCTGACCCTTTTCCAAACTGGTCCTGTATCCAAAGCTCCCCCTATGAGAGGGACACGAACATCAGGCTTTTGATTTAGAAGCCCAATCAGAGAGACACAGTGTGTCCCTTAAGAGGCACCTTAAAGGAACTGAACCTGGCAGGTAGGCAGATTCCTGGCATGGCTTGAATTGATGCTGACCAGGCATGGTGGCCTATTGCCTCCTGAAGACCAGTCTCAAGTGGGAGGGGCTGATGGTGGGAAGCCCTAGAAGAGAGTCTGGGATGAAGCGGCCTCCTCCCTGTCTTGCCCTCCAAAATTGAGTCTGGCCTGATTCCTTTGAGGAGCAAATTTTACAATCATCCCTCGCCCTAACACACAGTGAAACTGGAAACCCGACAGCAAATAATGACTAGGCTGGCTCTGGTCTACATGAACAGACCCTGGCTAGGTTTGGCTGAGTAGCTTCTCTGGGGCAAGTGGGAATGGCATTGCTGTGGGGGAGTTGCAGGTGGGCAGGCAGGGTTCTGATGGGAGTGAGGCCTAGAAAGCAGGGGCTTCATGCAGATGCAGCAGGGACACTCCCACCAAGCCATCCTGGGCTTTGGTCTTGGGTCCCACACCAAGCACTTGGACAAGCCTGTTAGGACAGGGGGTGGCACATGCTCTTCCTCCATCTGGAAAAACATGGAGATCCAAGGGAGGGTGGAAAGGGTCCTTGCAACTCAGTCAGCTTAGACCCTGTTATTGCTTATTTAGTCAGAAAAGCCTAGCTGGGACCAGATGGCAAAAGATTTGGCCAAGGGCTAACCCTTAGGGTGGGGCTTGGAAGAGAGGCCCCTTCTGCAATATTAGGATAGCAGCCTAGGTCAGGCCTTGGGTCCGAAGCCACAGCTGGCTCTAAAAGTCTGAGCTCCTGCTTTCCTTCAAGAGACGGTATATTTCTGGCTAGCACATGGGATCGTTCTCCCATTAGGTACACCGGGACCCCACAGGCACCGGGGAGTGATGCTGGCGGAAATGGCCACACGAGTTCTGGGGACTCTGTTCCACTTTATGATTCCAAAGAGAAAGACAAGGCCTTATAACCTTGGGACAAGGAGGGAAGGTGGCACCACAATGCTAGAGAAAAATGCCAGCCAGCCACCGCTGAGAGCACCAAGCTGCTGCTCTACCGCCTGCTTTTCTCAAAACTTATTAGTTCCTGAGGCTGGATCTAGGGTGTGGCAATGGAAGGGATGATGGGGAAAAGTCCTGAGTGGGTGGTGTCCCTGCACCTAAAGCAATTCACAAATGTTTTGTGATACCTGCCTCCAGGGAACACAAAGATGGGAATAGGAGCGCCCTCCCACCCCAGGAGGAGGGAGGGAGGGAGGAGAGAACCCCACTCACCCCACGGAGGCCACAAATAAGGCAGTGATGCTGAGGTGGGGCTCCTTTTTGGGAGGCCCCTTGTGCTCCCAATTACAGCAGCACTTCCTCTTGTTTTCCACCCTGGGAAAACTTCCATTTTGTGGTGACTTTAATTTTAAAGCATTCACTATTAAGAACCTTTGAAAGCAGGAGACACCCAGAGTGCAGGTCTGAGGGGCTCACTCACTCCTGTTATCAGGGGCAGAAACCATGCGCATTAGGCTGGCAAATGGCAAGAACACTCATTCCCCCACAGCCCAGGAAGAGCAAGAGTTCTAAGGCCCTTAAGAGGAAAAGCAACAGCCAGGAAGGATGAAGGCTGGAACAGACAGAGCTCGGTACAGGACAGGCCCTGGAGGAACACACAACAGGAAAGAGCCCTGCCCAAGAAATGGGAGGAGCTGGGGCAGCTTAGTTCTTCCCAGCCTTTGGAACAGAAGTACAATTTTTAAGGGTAACTTGGTGGATGGGGAGAAGCCAGTGAGCCAGGAGTCCTGACTGGTCAGGGATGAAAGCATAGGGAGTCGAAGCTGTCTTCTGGCACTGAGTCGGTTCCTAGGTGGGGACTGCAAGATCAGATGAACCACTTTATCGATCTGGGTGGTGCCAGCTGATTCATCAAGTGCAGGGTCTGCAAAACATCTCAAGTGCTGATCTTAAAAGCAGTTTAGGGAGGGTCTGAATATTGTAGCCTCCAGCTGCGTGTCTCCTAAACCATAATTTCTAATCTTGTGGCTCATGTTTGTGTCTAGTCCCCAAGCAAGAAGGAGGTCTTCTCTGGGAAAGGGCTGTTATGGTCTTTGGTTTTTTGTTTTTTGAGACGGAGTCTCACTCTGTCACCCAGGCTGGAGTGGAGTGGCGCGATCTCGGCTCTCTGCAAACTCTGCCGCCCAGGTTCATGTGATTCTCCTGCCTCAGCCTCCCGAGTAGCTGGGATTACAGGCGCCTGCCACCGCATCTGGCTAATTTTTGTAGTTTTACCAAAGACGGGATTTCACCATCTTGGCCAGGCTGGTCTTGAACTCCTGACCTCGTGATCCACCTGCCTAGGCCTCCCAAAGTGCTGGGCTTACTATAAACTATGTTTCTCCCAAAGTTAGTTCAGCCTATGCCCAGGAATGAACAAGGACAGCCATGAGGTTAGAAGCAAGATGGAGTTGATTAAGATAGATCTCTTTCACTGTCATAATTTTGCAAAGGTGGTTGCAGTGTTGGCCTCAATCCTTTTTAATATAGTTAAAAATTTCCATCTGATATGCCACCTATTTATCTCATTGACACCCAGTTTTGTTTGTTTTTCTTAAGGCTTTAGAATTGGTTGATTGATAGGTTGTGTTTTACATGGCTTTTTCCCCCTCTTTGGTCTTCATCCACAAATTGTTTATTAGTACTTCTAGTTCTCACTTCTTCTGTCCCCCATACACACACATAAACACACCACACACACAAAGACACACACACACACACATATATATATATATATAAAACACAGTAAGACGCTGTCTCAAACAAAACAAAACACCATTTGCTATTCAGTCTTTTCCTCTCCATTAATTTATTCTCTGAAATCTTGCATTCTACTTCATTGGCCTTTGCCAGGTCAGAAACTTAAACATGAGACATGGAAACATGAAGTTTTCCTTCTTCCTTGGCCCTGCCTCAGAGAAATCACCATCTCTGCTCTCATCCTCAAAGCATCTTTAAGTGTTTTTTTTTGTTTTTTGTTTTGTTTTTGTTTTGTTTTTTGAAACAGGGTCTCACTGTTGCCCAGGCTGGAGGGCAGTGGTGTGGTCTACGGCTCACTGCAACATCCGCCTCCTGGGTTCAAGCGATTCTCCTGCCTCAGCCTCCCAAGTAGCTGGGACGCGCACCACCATGCTCGGCTAATTTTTTTATTTTTTGGTAGAGACGGGGTTTCACCACGTTGGCCAAGCTGGCCTCCAGCTCCTGACCTCAAGTGATCAGCCCACCTCGTCCTCCCAAAGTGCTGGGTTTACAAGCATGAGCCAAAGCGCCCTGCCTGCATCTTTAAGCTTATAATACCCCCACGTGGTATTAAGACCAATTAAGATGCCAGGTACGGTGATTTGGCTTATAGTCCCAGCAACTCCAGAGGCTGAGGGGGTAGTATTACTTGAGCCCAGGACTTCGACGTGTCAGTGAGCTACAATGGCACCACTGCACTTCAGCGTGGATGACAGAGTGAGACCCTGTCTCTAAAAAAGCAAAACAAAAAGACCAATTAAAGAACTTTGAAGATACCGAATCCACTGCCCTTCTTGATTTCTCTTTGTCTTACCGTGCCCTTTTATTATTATTATTATTATTATTATTATTATTATTATTATTATTATTTGAGACAGATTTTGCTCTTGTTGCCTAGGCTCCAGTGCAATGGTGGATCTCAAGGGATTCTCCTGCTTCAGCCTCCGGAGTAGCTGGGATTACAGGTATGCGCCACCGTGCCTGGCTAATTTTGTATTTTCAGTAGAGACGTGGTTTCTCCGTGTTGGTCAGGCTGGACTCCTACTCCCGACCTCAGGTGATCCACCTGCCTCAGCCTCCCAACGTGCGGGGATCTCAGGCGTGAGCCACCGAGACCGCCCTCCGCCCTCTTGCCTGACGTTTACTATGCCATATGTTCCATATTCTTTGAGTGCTTATGGCTTTGGTTTTTTGGAGACGGAGTCTCGCTCTGTTACGCAGGCTAGAGTGCAGTGGCGCGATGTCTGCTCACTGCAACCTCCGCCTCCCAGGTTCAAGCAATTCTGCCTCAGCCTCCCGAGTAGCTGGGACTACAGTCGCAGGCCGCCACACTCTGCTAATTTTTTGTATTTTTAGTAGAGACGGGGTTTCACCGTTTTGCCCAGGCTGGTCTCGAACTCCTGAGCTCAGTCAACCCACCCAAAGTGCTAGAATTACAGGCGCGAGCCACCGCGTCTGGCCGAGTGCTTATGGTTTTAAAACTGACTTGCAAAACTCTTTATCAGGAAACCTCTTAGTTTCTCCTGAAAGTCTTTCAACCTATCATTGAAAGGGTCAGAATTTAGTTGTAAAGAATTTATTTGGCTGGGCGTGGTGGCTCACACCTGTAATCCCATCACATTGGAAGGCAAAGGCGGGAATGTCAGAGGCGTGTGAACCAGAACAACACCATCTTAAATAGGAGCTGGTAAAATAAGGCTGAAACCTCCTGGGCTGCATTCCTAGACGGTTAAAGCATTTTAAGTCACAGCATGAGATAGGAAGTCAGCACAAAATACAGGCCATAAAGACCTTGCTAATAAAGCAGATTGCAGTAAAGGAGCCAGCCAAAACCAAAATGGTGATGAGAGTGACCTCTGGTCGTCCTCACTGCTGCACTCCCACTAGGGTCATGACAATTTACAAATGCCATGGTAACGTCAGAAAGTTACCCTATATGGTCTAAAGAGGGGAGGCATGAATAATCCACCTCTTGTTTAGCATATCATCAAGAAATAACCATAAAAATGGGCAAGCAGCAGCCCTCAGGGCTGCTCTATGGAGTAGCCATTCTTTTATTCCTTTACTTTCTTAATAAACTTGCTTTCACTTTGCACTGTGGACTTGTCCTGAATTTTTTCTTGCAAGAGATCCAAGAACCCTCTCTTGGGGTCTGTATTGGGAAGCCTTTCTTTAACAGGAGGATCGCTTGAGCCCAGGAGTTCAGACCAGCCTACCAGCCTGGGCAACATAGCAAGACCCCTGTCTCTATTAAGAAGAATTTTTTTTTTAAGTTTATTCAAAGGAAAGCTGGAAATAGCCATTTGGAAAACAGACTCCAGGATCAATGGAATCAATCAGAGCTCCAAAGATAAAACTAAAGATCTTGCTTATATAGATAGAAAACAAAGACATTTAATAGAATTTTAAGTTTCTGTACAAAGGTGGCTTACGAGGTACAATTTGATTAGTTACAGCTTGTTTTTATTTTCTTTCACATTTAAAAGAGTATATTTAAAATTCCATCTTATACAATATGATAGTGACGAAGTCTTTGTGTAAGAGAGAAAACAGGGAAGTTCATCTATAATAAGAATCAATAGTGAAGAGATAAGGGGTCTTCCCTGGTGTCCTGTAGTCATTTACAACGTTTTACCACAAAAGGCAGATTTATAAGAGAAAAGCCTTACAAATGTGTTAACATGCACATGGGAAACAACTACAGAGTATTTACCCACTTCCCAACAGTGTACAAAGGTTTACAAACATTCTTCTTGTTTTTTTTTTTTTAGATGGAGTCTCGCTTTGTTGCCCAGGCTGGAGTGCAGTGGCGCGATCTTGGCTCACTGCAAGCTCCACCTCCCAGGTTCACGCCATTCTCCTGCCTCAGCCTCCGGAATAGCTGGGACTACAGGCACCCGCCACCACGCCCAGCTAATTTTTTGTAATTTTTAGTAGAGACAGGGTTTCACCGTGTTAACCAGGATGGTCTCGATCTCCTGACCTCGTGATCCACCCGCCTCGGTCTCCCAAAGTGCTGGGATTACAGGCGTGAGCCACCGCACCCAGCCTACAAACATTCTTTTTTTTTTTTTTTTTTTTTTTTTTTGAGACACAGTCTCGCTCTGTCACCCAGGCTGGAGTGCAGTGGCGCGATCTCGGCTCACTGCAAACTCCACCTCCCGGGTTGACGCCATTCTCCTGCCTCAGCCTCCCGAGTAGCTGGGACTATAGGCGCCTGCCACCACGCCAGGCTAATTTTTTGTATTTTTAGTAGAGACGAGGTTTCACCGTATTAGCCAGGATGGTCTCGATCTCCTGACCTCGTGATCCACCCGCCTCGGCCTCCCAAAGTGCTGGGATTACAGGCGTGAGCCACCGCGCCCAGCCACAAACATTCTTAAGCTAGAAAAAGGTTACAGAAAGAATGAGGGCTTGGGTCATAGCTAAACAAGTTACCGGCGGGTTGTGAGAAGAGGGATTCTGTTGAGGAGCAATAAATGATTACTAGGTAGAATGAGTGGACTGGGGAAAAGAGATTAACTTGTAAATAGTTCTCTTTGGAATTTGAATGCTCCTGGGAGACAACATTATCTTGTGAAAGGGTCTGTTCAGGTATGGTTACTTTTTTTTTTTTTTTTTTTTTTGAGTCGGAGTTTCACTCTTGTCACCCAGGCTGGAGTGCAATGGCGCAATCTCGGCTCACCACAACCTCTGCCTCCCGGGTTCAAGCGATTTTCCTTCCTCAGCCTCATGAGTAGCTGAGATTACAGGCATGCGCCACCACGCCCAGCTAATTTTTTGTATTTTTAGTAGGGACGGGGTTTCTCCATGTTGGTCAGGCTTGTCTTGAACTCCCGACCTCAGGTGATCCGCCCACCTCGGCCTCCCAAAGTGCTGGGATTACAGGCGTAAGCCACCGCGCCCGGTCAATGGTTACATTCTTGATATTTTTTTTCTATAATAGGTAATGAGATTACAGGGAAGAGAATAAAAAACAATTGTTCTCGTTGGTGGGCTGGGACATTAGGCAGATAAAAGAACTTCAGAGAACAACTTCATCCAGTGCTTTGAGATAGAGGATTTAGAGATTTTGGAAGGCATGGTCAGAGAGAACTTGAAGCTTCTTCAGTTCAGCATGTCAACCCACAATATTTTTGGTTATTAGTTTCTGAGCCTCAAGAAGATGTAACTGTCATTAGGTCTTGAGCATCATCTGGTCTGAGTTAGGTAAAGGACAGTGAAGGAGGCAGATAATGCACAACTAAGATCAGTGATTGGAAGTGGGGACGTCTGATCTCTGCTAGACATTTACAGAACAAGAACAATGAGGAAAAGAGTTAAACTATAATCTGAGAAGCAGAATTGAAAATATGCTACATGAATCAGTCTTCAGGGCTTAAGTTCCCCTTTGGCATAATAAATTTAGAAGTCCCTCAAATTTTATTTATTTATTTTTTATTTTTGAGATGGAGTCTCACTGTCACTAGGCTAGAGTGCAATGGCACAGTCTCGACTCACTGCAACCTCCACCCCTCTGGTTCAAGCGATTCTCCTGCCTCAGCCCGAGTATACAGGCGCGCGCCACCATGCGCAGCTAATTTTTTGTATTTTTAGTAGAGACGGGGTTTCACCATGTTGGCCAGGGTGGCCTCCATCTCTTGACCTCGTGATCTGCCTGCCTCTGCCTCCCGAAGTGCTGGGCTCACAAGCGTGAGCCACCGCGCCCAGCCCTTTTCTTTTACAGTATGAATTGAGTGGCAACAGTAAGGTTGATGGGGTCTTGAGTTCAGCTCTTGTTTTTGACGTTTGCTTATATCTTGACCTCAGAAAAGAGAGCATTTGTTAGTATTCATCCACTATATTTTACTTATTCATTCACTTAAATTACCTCTACTTTCATGTTATTACAAATATCACTTTGATGAATATTCTTGATATGTCCTCATATGGGTCTATAGGAGAGTTTTCTTGGAGCATAGGCCTGGGCACAGAAGGAATGGTTCTCCAAAATGTCTTTTGCAAAGCCACCATCAGTAAACCACCACATGAGAGTGTTTCTCCATCTCCCATCCAACACTAAGTTATACCCAGTGCTATAAACTGAAAGTTTGTGTCCTCACAAAATTCAGTGTTGAAGCCTAGTCTCCAATGTGGTGATATTAAATGTGGCCTTTGGGGGGCGATTAGGTCAATTTCCCAAGAGAATTATTTACAATTAATCTCTGTTCTCCGAGCCATTTATTCTCCCTACTAATTATTTATTGCCCGTAAACAAAATTACCTATATTTCCCATCTTTCCTCTCCCTTCTGAAATAAGGCTATATAAGTATTTGGGCCTTACTGGGATATTGGATGATCACTCAGTGATTCTCTCCCATGTATACATCATAAATTCATTTGCCATTTCTCTTATTAATCTTCACTTTGTGAGATGATTTCTCAGTGAAACTTCAGAGGGCAAAGGGGAAGTTTTTCTCTTGTTTCTCTACACTACTTATGTAGATTAAAATTTTAATGTAGCTTGTACTAGTTTCTGTCTGAGAAAATTCAGTATTTCTAGTCTTGTGCAGATAACAAACCTTATTATTATCAGCAGATATATAGAAAAACATGTTTTTTACATTTTAGAATCTTTTTTTTTTTTTTGAAGCGGAGTCTCACTCTGTTGCCCAGGCTGGAGTGCAGTGGTAAAATCTTGGCTCACTGCAACCTCTGCCCAGGCTGGAGTGCAATGGTGCAATCTTGGCTCACTGCAACCTCTGCCTCGTGGGTTCAAGCGATTCTCTCGCCTCAGCCTCCTGAGTAGCTGGGATTACAGGTGTGTGTCACCCCATCCGGCTCATTTTTGTATTTTTAGTAGAGACAGGGTTTTGTCGTCCTGTTGGCTAGGCTGGTCTCAAACTCCTGACCTCAGGTGATCCACTCACCTTGGCGTCCGAAAGTGCTGGGATTACTTGCCTGAGCCACCGGGTCAGGCCTAGAATCTCTTTCATATTGAGAACCATATTTTTGGGAAACAGTTTTTGTAGCAGATTCCGTTTGAGTGGAAATCTACAGAAGTTTTATTTATAGGCTGGGCGCAGTGGCTCACGCCTGTAATCCCAGCGCTTTGGGAGGCCGAGGCGGGGAGATCACGAGGTCAGGAGATCGAGACCATCCTGGCTAACATGGTGAAACCCTGCCTCTACTAAAAATACAAAAAAATTAGCCGGGCATGGTGGCGGGCGCCTGCAACTCGGGAGGCTGAGGCAGGAGAATGGCGTGAACCCAGGAGGCGTAGCTTGCAATGAGCTGAGATTGTGCCACTGCACTCCAGCCTGGGTGATAGAGCAAGACTCTGTCTCAAAAAAAAAAAAAAAAAAAAAGAAGTTTTATTTATATTTTCGGTGACTTTGCTTGCTGTCTTGTTTTATACCCTTTCAGGGCTTCAACACTTCTGGGGAGGAAGGAGTGGTTCTTAAGCATTTATTCTCATCTTTTCTGCCTCCTAAACAGAAATGTTTCCTGTTTTGGAACACAAGATTGGAAAATGTTGCTTTATGAAGCAGAAGCTAACCGAAATCATAAAAATAAATAAATATAAAATAAAAAATAAGAAAGACTGGCCATTAGCAGAAGTGACATCATTAAAGTGATTTGTTTCTGTGTTACTGATCAAACTGGATTATTTCCCAAATCTTGACCAGTGTGACTTCTCAATCCAATCTTATCAGAGAATTTAGGTGTATTTCCCCATTTCTGAGGGTGAAGGTCATTTTAAACTTCTGCTTTGATTTCTGAAGTTTCAATAATTTGAGTCTCTGGAATTAACCAACAGTAGAAAGATAAACAGGAAAAAAAAAAAAGGCATACAAATTTATTACCTGCATATGCACAGGAGCCTCACAAAATACAGTACTCCAAGAAATGATACCGGTGGGCTAGGGGAGGTACCCAAATGCCATTAGGATGTTGATCCCAGCCAGTGTCCAGGCCTTTGCCACTGCTGCCAGAAAGAATCCAAGGACAAGTCAGAAAAAGTACAGAGGTTTATTGCAAAGTGAAAAATACATGCTCAAGGAAGGGAAGTGCAGGCTTACTCAAGAGAGTCAGTCTTGCCCAGGAGTGATTGGGGCTTCTAACTTTATGGGTTTCCTTAACCAAGGGGTGGAATATCCATGAAGATTTCTGGAAAAGGGTGACAATTTCTCAGAACTGTGGTGCCATCCATTTTTCCATGAAATATGGGTGTTCTCGGAACTGTCATGGTGTTGGTGGATGTCTGATTTGTATGTTAATAAGTGTATAATAAGGTCCCAGGTGAAAGCTAGGTCAAATCCAGTGCCATGTTGGGTCAAGTAGGACTTAGCCAGCTTGGCAAACATTTCGGTTTTCAGGGTCTCTTTGGCTCCTAGTTTGTGCAGCTATTTCAACAGTTTCCTTTTTGCTAGTCATGTGAAACTACTGCATGGAATCTTCTATTCTCTTGTGACCACCCTATATTATTTCTCTCTCAGAAGGGCCAAATAATTGACGTTTTTATGCCATTCTGAGACTACAGAAAGAAAAAAGGTCTTGAGACTTCTGGGGGTTTGGAGGAGGTGGTGACACATGTTGTAGGAGGGTGAAGGAGGAAGGGCAAAGGCACCAGGGGAGGAAAGGCAAAGGTTTTCTTGTTATGTAGATAAAGTCTCTCAGGTAATCGCAGAATAGCTGACAGCCTGTGACAAAGTAGTTTTCTCTCCTTTGAGTCAGTCTTAGATTCCTCTTTAGGCAGGAAAGGGAGCCTCAGAGAAAGCCAGTACTTGCATCCACTGTTTACTAATGTAGATTTCCTTGATAGGTATACAATTCTTTTACAAAAAAGAGCTTTTCAGAGCTATTCCTATTTCTGCAGTTTCTCTGAATAGCCATCTTGAAATATGACAAAGTATACTTCGGGGTGGCATATTTTAGTCTCCCACAAGAGCCACTCCAAACTAAGATTCAGAGATAAAATCAGGTTCAATAAATATTTTTTGTGTACCTAATGTGTTTTCTGGGGCACTGTCCAAGGCCCTAGAATATATTACTGCATTTAACCTTTAAAGCAGTCTCTTGAGGAAAGTAAAGTGAAGGAAATAAAAATATTTTACCCCAAAAGATATTTCTTTGCCCTATTTTGAAATGGCTGCCTCAGGGCCCGGAGACCGATGAGGCCCTGCAAATCAGTCTTTTGTGGGGGAAATTTCCATTTGTTGCCAGGCTTTCCCTTTCTAGTCCTTTCCTGGATCTAGGAGAGATTAACTGAGAGTCTGATCCTTTTTTATTTTTATTTTTTAAGAGACTGTCTTGCTCTGTCACCCAGGCTGGAGTGCAATTGTGCAATCATAGTTCACTGCATCCTTGAACTCGTGGGCTCAGGCAATCTTCCTGCCTCAGCCTTCTGAGCAGCTAGAACTACAGTTGTGCGCTGCAACACCCACCTTTCTTTTTATTTGTTTTTCGTAGAGACAGGATTTTGCTGTTACCCAGGCTGATCTCAAACTCCTGGGCTCAGGGAATCCTCCTTCCACTGCCTCCCAAAGTGGAGGGCATGAGCCACCACGCCCACCCTGACAAGAGACATTTACCATCTATTTTTTCTGAGGACTACTAGCTATGTGTTTTCATCTACATAACAAGACCCGCCCCCCTTGCTAGCCAAGTCTCTTCCTTTCTCCCTCCTATAATCTGTTTTCCCAGGTTCCAAGCTTGCACTCTTTCTATAATCTCAAGGTGATATATAAACTTCTGTATCTCATTGGTGGGTGGGTCCTCATTTTGAAGTCTCCCGTGTCTATGTGCTAAATCAACCGGCCTCATGTCCGTGATTTTCAGCAAGCTTCCAGGGGACCCAAGGGCAGTGCCCGTTTCAGTTAAAAATGGCATCTCATTTAACCTGTAATCTAATTGTTAGTTATGGGGTTCTGGAGATGCTATCCCCAAAGGACAGCATGTGCAGGAAGGACTTTGGCTTTCCCCTTGAAGCGGATTGACCTTGGATATAGATTTGCTGACTTTCCTCGGAGAAAGTGAGACCCTTGTGAGATGGGTCACAGAGGACAAGTGAAAAGGACCGTCTTAGAAGACAAAGGACACTGCAAGGAATCAGAATGAACAACCCTTGACGACTTTCCGCCAGTTTATCCCTGCTTTAAAGTTGATTTAAGACAGTCGACCAATGGTGTGACAGCTATCCTCAGTGAGAATGTAAGTGGCTCTGAAAAGAGCCTTTGGAAGCTTGGAAGCAATTAAGAAACCCAAGATAGAGCAGGGGATTATGCTCGCTCGCCACGGATACGACGCGCAAGCTGGATGTCCTTAGGCATAATAGTGACACGCTTGGCGTGAATAGCACAGAGGTTGGTGTCTTCAAAGAGACCCACCAGATAGGCCTCGCACGCCTCTTGCAGCGCCATCACCGCCGAGCTCTGGAAACGAAGGTCGGTTTTGAAATCCTGCGCGATTTCTCGCACCAGGCGCTGAAATGGCAGTTTGCGGATGAGCAGCTCAGTCGACTTCTGATAACGGCGGATCTCACGCAAGGCCACGGTGCCTGGCCTGTAGCGGTGGGGCTTCTTCACACCGCCAGTCGCTGGAGCGCTTTTGCGCGCTGCCTTGGTGGCCAGCTGCTTCCGCGGTGCCTTGCCGCCGGTAGACTTGCGAGCTGTCTGCTTCGTCCGGGCCATAGTTGAGAAAGCTATGCTCTGAAAGCAAGCAGCTGAATGAGCAGTGGCTTCTACCAGAATTTATAACGATGATCTGATCCTGATTGGTCAGAACTGTTGTAGGAAAAACCTGGTTGGTTGTTAATACTATCTTCATTTGGTTCCTGCCACTTTTTTTTTTTTTTTTTTTTTTTTACCTGACGGCTTCTAATTCTGTCGCCTAGGCTGGAGTGTGGTGGCGCGATCTCAGCTCACTGCAACCTCCGCCTCCCGGGTTCAAGCGATTCTGCCTCAGCCTCCGGAGTAGCTGGGACTACAGGCACTTGCCACGACGCCCGGCTAATTTTTTTTTAGCAGAGAAGGGGTTTCACCATGTTGGCCAGGCTGGTCTCAAACTCCTGATCTCAAGTTATCCGCCTGCCTCGGACTTCCAAAGTGCTTAGATTACAGGCGTGAGCCACTGCGCTCGTCCTCCGCGCCACTTTTATTTATTGTTTTCAACCAATCATGTTAAGATTCCCCCAATGAAAAGATAATCTGACCTAGAATTTGTGTAGGTCAGTCGTAGTCTTAAACTCATTTCCAATGGGTCATTTTTCCTATTTCGGATCGTGTAAAAATACATACAGTAGAACAACGTATTTGCTAGTATTTCCAAAAAGTAGTTCCGTTTTGTAACTGCTTAATTAAATCTTTTAATGACTGTACCAAGACCCAGAACAAAAACAATTTAAACTTAGGCTGGCACATTCTCTAAAACACCAAAACTTTAGTTTTGTCCAGTGTGGTGTGGGGAAGGAGTTTGATAGGTGCTTGACTAAATGATACCAATAAATGGTATCTGACCTCTTCATTAACTGAGTTTAATGCAATCCAATGGCTGATTGGATTAATTATGTAAATTATTGCTTAATTTCATTAGCATGCGCGGAATTACAGGTTTGGGTCAGTGATTAGATTTTTGCCAGTGAATCTGGGTAGTTCTGACAACAGCATTTTATTAGGATGGAGATTTTAGTTGATCAAAGAACTACCAGGTTCTGGTATTGATAAAGACCCATAAAGACAACAAAAAGGTTAGTTTAACATTTATTATATTCACAGGAGCAAATGATCACCAGAAATACTTTTGTTTGGGTTTTGTTTTTCTTTTTTTGAGACGGGGTCTCGCTTTGTCACCCAGGCTGGAGTGCAGTGGCGAGGTCATGGCTCACTGAAATCTCAAATTCCTGGGACTCAAGTGTTCCTTCTGCTGTCAGTCCGCCAAATACAGGCGAGGGCCTCGCGCCTGGTATTTTTTTTCTTTCTTTTTTTTAGATGGAGTCTCGCTCTGTCGCCCAGGCTGGAGTGCAGTGGCGTGATCTCGGCTCACTGCAACCTCTGCCTCCTGGGTTCAAGCGATTCTCCTGCCTGTCTCCTTAGTAGCGCTCGCCACCACGCCCGGCTAATTTTTGTGTTTTTAGTAGGGACAGGGTTTCACCATGTTTGCCTGGGTGGTCTCGATCTCTTGACCTTGTGATACACCCTCCTCGGCCTCCCAAAGTGCTGGGATTACAGGCGTGAGCCACCGCGCCCAGTCATTTTTTTTTTAAGAGGCAGGGGTCTCGTTATCAGGGTGGTCTCGAACTCCAGGTCCCTAGAGATTTCTCCCCTCCCCACCCACCTGCCTCAGTTTCCCAAAATGCTAAGGACGCATAAACCACCGCGCCCGGCCCCAAGTTTTTTAAAGACCCAGGACAGTTTGTGGGGAGGGGACAATTAAGGAGGTTCCTTCATGTTATAAGGTAGCAGTTGGATAGTATTTACTAGGCCTGATTCAATACTTTTATTTTACCCAATAGGAAAGTAATGGCCTCAGTGCTTGAACTCGGCCACAAATTTCTGATAGGTTTGGAGAACAGAGTGCTCAGTTCTTCCGTAGAAATGGTGGGTGGCTCTGAAAAGAGCCTTTTGTCTTGTAAGTTTACATTTTTAAAGTTCAGCCCTTACTTGCCCTTAGCTTTGTGGTGGCTCTCAGTCTTCTTGGGGAGCAGTACGGCCTGGATGTTAGGCAGAACACCGCCCTGAGCGATGGTAACTTTACCAAGCAGCTTGTTGAGCTCCTCGTCGTTGCGGATGGCCAGCTGCAAGTGGCGCGGGATGATGCGGGTCTTTTTGTTGTCGCGGGCTGCGTTGCCCGCCAGCTCCAGGATCTCGGCAGTTAGGTACTCCAGCACCGCCGCCAGGTAAACCGGCGCGCCGGCCCCGACCCGCTCAGCGTAGTTGCCCTTGCGGAGCAGGCGGTGCACTCGTCCTACAGGAAATTGGAGCCCAGCTCTAGAGGAGCGGGTTTTGGCCTTGGCGCGAGCCTTGCCGCCCTGCTTGCCACGTCCAGACATGGTAAAACGACCTGTGGCCTAAGTCAGAAAGTGAGTGAAAGGAACCTACAGGGACGCGCATTTTATAGCAGCTGCTGGGCGCGAAAAAGAAGCTGGGCCATTGGCTAAGCTTGCAGCTTCCTCTTAATGCAAATGAGCTTTCTGAATATACGTGTTTTGATTGGACTATATTGATATTAACGTCATCTGAGTAACTTCCAATCAGACAGAAGAATTTCTCAATCTCATCTGCATATAGACTTGTAAATAAATAGGGCATAACCCAGCTTGTCCTCATTCTTGTTATTTGAGTGCTCTTTCACTCTCCTCCGCCATGCCCGACCCGGCTAAATCTGCTCCTGCCCCCAAAAAGGGCTCCAAGAAAGCCGTAACCAAGGCCCAGAAAAAGGACGGCAAGAAGCGCAAGCGCAGCCGCAAAGAGAGTTACTCTATCTACGTGTACAAGGTGCTGAAGCAAGTCCACCCCGACACCGGCATCTCATCGAAGGCCATGGGCATCATGAACTCCTTCGTCAATGACATCTTTGAGCGCATCGCTGGCGAGGCTTCCCGCCTGGCGCATTACAACAAGCGCTCGACCATCACCTCCAGGGAGATCCAGACGGCCGTGCGCCTGCTGCTGCCCGGGGAGCTGGCCAAGCACGCCGTGTCCGAGGGCACAAAGGCCGTCACCAAGTACACCAGCTCCAAGTGAGCTCTCGCAGCTGCCAGCAATCCAAAGGCTCTTTTCAGAGCCACTCACGCTTCCAGAGAAAGAGCCTGTGCATTTTGCTTGTAGTCTTTTGGGTGGACTCCGGCCGGCCTCCATTAGGAGGGAAGACGGCGGGAAAAGGTAAGCTAAGCTCCCTAGGCTTTTTGCGTGTGAGTATAGACGCTCCATCAGACAAATTTAGCTTGGGTTCTTAGATACCCTTGGGGAAAAAGGCTTGCAGTTGTGCTTTAAGCTATAATTACAAGTTTGCTTTCGGTTTTCGGTTACTCTTTCCTTTTGTGTTGTTTTTTTTTTTTTTTTTTAAATGGAGTCTTGGCTCTGTCGCCCAGGATAGAGTGCAGTGCCGCGATCTCGGCTCACTGTAAGCTCCGTCTCCCGGGTTCAACCAATTCTGCTTCGGCCTCCTAAGTAGCTGGGATTACAGGCGCCCGCCACCGTGCCCGACTAATTATTGCATTTTTAGTAGAGACGGAGTTTTACCGTCTTGACCAGGCTAGTCTCGAACTCCTGACTTCGTGATCCACCCATCTCGGCCTCCCAAAATGTTGGGATATCAGGCGTGAGCCATCGCGCGCGGCCGGGTTATTCTTTCAGTGCCTGTAACGTCCCCCTTCTTTGATTGGTCAACGCTCTATTTGAAAAGCCCGCCAAGGGCTGCAATTTGCCAGATAGTCTCATCCGGGTTGTTTTTCGAAGAGGTTCTCCCGGAATGGAAATGACCGTTATCTGCAGGAGTGCATCGGACTCTGGCGCCAAGAGCTGGAAGCTGTGAATTAACCGTCCCTCTTACTGCAGTTGTACGGATCCTGGGTGACATTGACTTACCGGTGTCCATTTTCCATACACTTTAGAGAATAGGCATCTCGTCTGGCATCGCTGCAGATATGTTAGGGTGGGTTGAAATTATTGGTGTCAAAGCGGGACGGGAAACATTAAAGGCTAAGGAAGCTCCTTTAGGATAAAATGTTGAACAAAGAACCTGGCAACTTGGGAAAGCCGCTTTTTTGCAATGTTAATCAGTTGGCCTTGGGGAGGGAGGTGTGCCAGGATTAGCTGGGGCGGGGGCAGCGTTCAGGCTGGGATTTTAAAGTCCATGATTAGGAATCCTGAGATAGAAGTTGGAGAACCCCGCGTTTAAAGAGAAGCGGACCCCAGAAGAGATCACAGAAATAGGAGGTAAACCAAGAGCGTGCGAGTACAAGGGAGTGGAGACTTTTCAAGGCATGATCCCCTCTTCTCAACAGTGCCTGAATTCTCATAGCATTGCATCCTCTGCCACTGCGTTATCCCCTCTTCAATAAATTACTTCTATTGTAAATCTTTAGCAGCAAAATAGCAAGCCCCTCCACAATTCCACTCCAGGCTTTAAAATCACCCCTTAACTTTTCCTTTATTTTCCTGACGTCACTTCCTTTGCAGCTATGGGTGGAAGGCTATCTCGGACGAATAGTCTCGTCTCTGTCACAGGTGACAAACAGCCCCGAATTATGCCAATTGGTTAGTGGGTCGTTCAAAATACATTGTAGGATTTGCCGTTCACTTCCCTAAAATGTTCTCTTCCCCAGTCCCCGTACCTTGTCATTAAAGTTTGGTGCCTCGGGCTTGGCGACAGAGCTTATCGACAAGCTAAGTTACTTGGAGAGCAGTCCCCTGATTTCATCATGTTCTTTAACTTGGCATCACATTTGCCCCCTCCTTTCATTCCTCTTCGCTCTCTTTTTCGAGATTCGTTTCTCCCTGCCCATCCCGCGTCCTTGAGAGAACATCTGAGGGGTGATTATCCTCCGAGTGGGTGAGAGAGTACGTGTGGCCTTCTCCTGCCATCTTGTGGCAAAAAAGCAAAAGCACAAGTTCAAGGCGTTGTGTTTTCCAGCCCCAGTTAAAATGCTTTCTTCTTAACTTTCTACTGAGTCAGTGGGCTAGGGCAGGGTTTCCATTTTTCACTCCTTTTAATTGCAGGATTCAAGTTTCTTCAAGAGTTGTTAGTGCGGAGGTTAAAAGGGAGCGGGAGGGGGGCGGGGGAGTTAATAGGAAGAGCGAGGAGTGGGTAAAGGAGAAAGTCCTGTTGAGCTTTGTGATCTGGTCAGAGCTGTCCAAAAGAAATAAACAAATAAAAAAAGCCAAAATGCTTTATACCCTAAAATAAATAATAATACGATCGTGCTTTCTAGTTCTATTAGATTAAGTCCCCACACTTACAACTCAATTTAACCTTAATTATCTGTTTAAAGGCCCTGTCTTCAAATACCAACCACACTGAGGGCTGGGACTTCGACATGAAGTTGTTTTCTTTTGTTTTGTTTTTTGAGACAGAGTCTCACTCTGTCGCCCAGGCTGGAGTGCAGTGGCGCAATCTCGGCTCACTGCAACTTCCACCTCCTGGGTTCAAGTGATTCTTCTTCCTCAACCTCCTGAGTAGCTGAACTACAGACAGGCACCTGCCACAGCGCCCAGCTAATTTTTGTGTTTTTAGTACAGACAGGGTTTCACCATGTTGTCCAGGCTGGTCTTGGACTCCCAAAGTTCTGGGATTACAGGCGCGAGCCACTGCACCTGGTCTGTTTTGGGGGAACACAATGAAGTCCATAACAGCACTTAAGACCATTTTCCATGCTTTCATCCCGACTTTCTATTCCAAGTTCTCCTTTATAAAATATCTACATTTAGCTTAATTTGCAGATAAGGTGACAGTTATGATATTCCTTAAACCAGAAGTTAAAAGTCAGTTGCTAACAAAGGCCCAGCACATTAGAGCAAAAACAGCTGGATATTAAAAAGCACGCCTTATCTCTATAAAGAGAGGTGCTATTTGCTATTTTTCTTGAAACACCCAGACTTCTGGCATATTTCATTTTTCCAGTTTTGATAGAGATACTTGACCAAGATATATTTCACTGTTTTCTTAATTCTGCTGTAAGAACAACCATAGCACAAGCATATTGATAAATGCCAACTAATATGGAAACTAACAGGACCAGTGGTAACTTGAGAACTGAAGACAAAACCTGTGCAATTTGATTTCACTGATTTCTCCCTTCTAGCAATGCAAGCACAAGGACAGTGTGACTTCCAATTTTTCAAGAGTATATGCAGCTTAATGTGAAATATTATAAATTTTCAATACTGAGAGCTAATAAAATATATATATCATGGTACAGACTATTAAAAAAAAATGTCTGTTGACTTCATCAAGTCCTTCACCTCTAAAGTAGAGATCTCATGAAGCCCTTCATCCTTGAAGTTGAGATCTCTGGACATTAACAAAGACTCCTGTATCCATGACAAGCTTTTCACCAAGCTGCTCTTTCTGCCATCAGGGCCCAGATCAAATGCCCCGGCCTTCCCAACTTTCTAAATTCTCAGCTGAAAATAATTCATTCCTCACTTGGCCCCTCTGGATAAAGCATCAGGCCTCACATACATCAGGCATTGAAGAGTTATTTTCTGCTAGTTAAGTAAACAGATACAGTGAACTAAAAGAAAAAACAAAAAATTCAGTTCTCACAGCTATGAGGTAAAAGTGGTGAAAGGTATTTGGAGTTGTTCATTGTGGATTGAGTAGTTACCTGGGTAAATAAGCCAGTTCTTTTCTATTTATGTTACATTTTCTTACTTTTTTATTAATGTTATTCTTTGTGGGGGTGGGGACTTCCCAGCAAAAACCAGAAGGCCTGCTAGACAAATTCTAAAAGAGCTGTAACACTATTTTTTATTATTAATATTATTCTTAATTGACAAATCATAATTGTATACATTTTTGACAGAGTGTGATGTTTTGATATATTGTTGGGGCTCAGAAACTATAACCCAAAATGAAGGCCTCAGCAGCAGCCTCAGAAGCAGAAGCTTTTCCCTGACCTCCTGCCCTTCCGTCTCTGATCTATCATTCTCCCTCAAGGTTAGCCACAGAAACTAGAATCTCTCTTCCCCAAGGCAGGTCATAAAAACCAGAATCCTTTTTCCCCAAAGCCAGCCGTAAAACCTACAAATATTACTCTAGCTCCCCTCACCCACCCTATTCCCCAAGGCTTTTTGTATGAAAACTGGCCATTTATGGTCAGAAATTATCTGCCCTACCTTGTTTGACTGTAGGTCATAAGACCCCTATTCCAGAGAGGGACCTGCCCCATACCCAGAAGGAAGGAATGCTGCTCAGAGAGGCCAAGAAGAATCTGGACAGACAGGCCTTGCTGGGTTTCCCTACTCTGTTTACTATCATTAGATCCTACCCTTCATGTCCATTCATTTCTACAAGGCTGTCCATACTTTATAGAACCTTAAAAACAATGGACAATTTCCCCTGTATCTTTAGGCCTTCATTTTGAAGGGCTCCCATGTCACGTACAACTGTGATCAAATAATTTTTTTTTCTTCTATTCATCTGCCTTTAGTCAGTGATTTTCAGCAAACCTTCAGAGGGTGAAGGGGAAGCTTTCCTTTACTGTGTAATGTAATTCAAGGAGTTTTTCTTTCTTTTCCTTTTTTTGCCTTCACTCTGTTGCTGAGGCTGGAATGCAGTGGCATGATCCCGGCTCACTGCAATCTCCACCTCCCAAGCTTAAGCCTCATGTCTCAGCCTCCCAAGTAGCTGGGACCACAGGTATGCACCACCATGCCCAGATAATTTTTGTGCTTTTCATAGAAGGGGTTTCACCATGTTGGCCAGGCTGGTCTGGAACTCCTGGACTCAAGTGATCCACCCACCTTGGCCTCTGAAAGCTGGGATTTTCATGTGTGAGCCACCGTGCCTGGCCTCTTGCCTCTATAATGTATACTGAAGGAGTCCAGGAAATATCATCCCAAAGTATGCCGCATTGTTATGCTGATTACTTCCCACTAAAGTTATTTGGGAAATAGCAAATGCACAGAGAGGGGCTTTTTCTCAATCTCCTTTATTTGACTAAATGCAGATTCTCCAGGAGAAAGAAGTCAATTAATCATGAAAATTCTTCCTAGGAATTTTTATCTATCTTGGGAAGTTTAACAGCAACAGAATTGGAACTGAGAAAAGACTAGAAATTGGCTCCTCCTCCAGATAGGCCACTATCTATTCTGAAAGTCCATTCCTGTTTTCATTATAGTACCCTTCCTAGGTCGCTCCAACTCCCCTTTCTCCTTACTCCTGTATTTAAATAGAGAAAGAATTTAAGTTATAAAGAGTTGATAAAATGCTGAATGATTCCGGTGATGAATGTGGAAAGGAGGTGGGGAGAGAGGAAAGCTAGTCTCAGTACCCTTTTCCTCCAAACCTGACCAGTTCTTGGCCAGAGAAATAGTCTCCCACACAAGGAGTCTCCAGGTGTGTCTAAGAAATTCTGAGGTTTGAAAATCTCTTTAGTTGGCATCCAAAAGAATAAAATGGGCAACTGAGGATTAATAATTTGAGGAATTAGAAAGTTTAAGTTCTATCCACTACTCACCCTGGCTGCCATCACCTCATTTTATGTAATTTACTGGATTGTCTGTTCTTCCTGGTCTCTTTTTCCTCAACTAAAAGTGATTTCCAAAGTCTCTTCCAGAAGAAATAGTTGGCTTCTGAAAATAGATCTCATCCATATGGATCACATGAAGCTATCACTAACAAATGTGACATATGATAAGATTTGTTTCAATCATGGAAAAAGTAGTTCTACACTGCCAACGTAAATAACAGAGGGAGGCTCTCTAAAAGAAAATATATTTTGGGGGAATAGAGCATTGTAATGGGAATATGCATGCCAGAGTAAACAAGTTGAGTATATAAGAAGGTAAAAAAGACAAGGTTAAAAAATCAATTATTTACATAATTGTTTAGAAAGAATTATCCTTGACTATAAAGATTGAGGACTAAACTCTGATTTTTATCTTGCCCAAATTCCCATCTAAGGGGTCTGGGGAGTCATACCCTACAAATCATAAATTCTCATCAGATGGGTTTTATTTAACCCTATATATCATGACTTACTTTCCAACCTGACTCTGGCATAAAACATTATGAGACAAGGAAGAAAATCAAAATATTTTACACCAAAAAACATGTTTCTTTGCCATATTTTGAAATGGCCCTGCAAAATTGTTTTTTTGTGTGTGGGAAAATTTGTGTCTGTAAAGAATCTCTATTAACATAGCTAGATCTTTTTCTTCCAGACCCTCCCAATCCTAAAGAGATTAACTAAGATCTGAGTAGGAAACATTTGTTATCATCTATTGTCTCTAAGGGCAGCCACTGTTAAGACTTCAAAAGAACTTGGTCTCAGGTTCTTAACCTGAACACTCCCTTTCTATCAATCCCAGGTCTTTAGACAAATTCAACCAATTGTCAACCAGAAAACGTTTAAATTCACCTGTAGCGTGGAAGCACCCCACCCTGACCCCCCACCCAATACTCCTGCCCCGCCTCGGCGTCCTGCCTTTCTGGACCAAACCAATGTATTTCTTAAATGTATTTGATTGATGTCTCCTGCCTCCCTAAAATGTATAAAACCAAGCTGCGCCCCGACCACCTTGGGCACGTGTTCTTAGGACCTCCTGAGGGGTGTGTCACAGGTCATGGTCATATTTGGCTCAGAATAAATCTCTTCAAATATTTTACAGGGTTTGACTCTTTTCATCGACAAGATCAATAACAAAGGTAACACCAGTTCAAGGTTAGACAGACAGTTACTGGATGGATGTCCTTATAAAAATATTTTTGTGTAAATTTGCAAGGGCCTTTATACAAGGTTGAGGTTTTTACAATGTTTTGTGATAGTTTTTATGATCAGACATACAAATATAAAAACCCACTCCTCATGGCCTTCCTGGGATCTATTTGTCAGAGTTTTCTTAACATTAGTGATTACATTTTGATTCTGACAACTTTCACAATACAGTGACAGTGTGCTCTCAGGCCCCAAAGTGTCTGTCTTTACAAAATGACTATCTCTATATAGCTGCTCTCTTTTCAGTTTCGTGCTTGCTAATAGGAAACTATATACAGAAAGAAGAATGGCAGCCTTGTACAAGATTAGGAGGTAAATTGAATTCACTACTTTGCAAGGAGGCTCTGTCTGCAGTCACAATATCCAAGAACAAACTGAAAATTCATTTCTTAAATAGGATCCAGGAGAAAATAGAAAGTAGAGTTCCATTTTTCTTGGCTTTTTTTTTTTCTTTTAGATAAATCACATGTGCCTCTGATTATCTGTGTGATTAGAAAGTTTCTTATTGAGAACAGTGTTGGAGTTTGAGACCACCCTGGCCAACATGGTGAAACCCCGTCCTTACTAAGAATAAAAAAAATTAGCTGGGAGTGGTGGTGCTCACCTGTAATCCCATCTACTTAGGAGGCTGAGGCAGGAGAATTGCTTGAACCCAGGAAGTGGAGGTTGCAGTGAGCTGAGATGGTGCCATGGCACTCCAGCCTGGGCGACAGAGCAAGACCGTCTCAGAAAAAAAATTGTATTGCCATGGGCCTATATATAAGCAAGAGTGAAAATGAAATGGGACAGATGAACATCAAAGTCATAATAGACTTGACCTGAGAAAGTCGATAACAGGTCTGGGGATGGAGTTGAAGAATACTTAAATTTCATGAGTGTTTTCCTCTTTTCTCTAAATATAAAAGAGACTTGTAGTTTACATGTCATGATGTTAAATAATAGATCAAATCCATGTGGTCACTTTTGAACTGTTCTATACTTTTTTAAAAGGTGAAATAAGATCGTGAGTAATGAGGAATACTGATGTTTCGGTTTGGTGAATTGGAAATTGTGGCTATTAACTAATATTTACCAACTCACCAGTATCTAAGATGTGCCAGGACTTGTTCTAGGTATGATGGCAACCACAATGCCAAAACACAAAAATCTGTCCTTGTAAATTTACTTCCCATGAGAGAGAAAATACTAAATCAATAAAGACACAATATGCTGCATAGTAATAAGTGCTAAGGAAGAAAACAGACTAGGAGCAAGACATTTTTTGGAAGAGTTGTTATTCAAAATAACTTCACGGTCTGGCGAGAGGGTTCACGCCTATAATCCCAATACTTTGGGAGGCCAGGGCAGGATAATCATCTGAGCGCAGGAGTTTGAGACCAGACTGGGCAAAAAAAGTGAGACACCTTCCTCCCACCCCACATCTCTCCAAAAAAAAAAAAAAGAAAAAAATTCAGCTGGGCTAGGTGGGGAGCACCGGTAGCTCCAGCTACTCAGAAGGCTGCTTAAGCCCACAAGTTCGAAGTTGCAGTGAGCTATGATCGCACCACTTGCACTCCAGCCTGAGTGACAGAGTGAGGCCCCGTCTCAAATAAAATATAAAATATAATATAATATAAAATAATAAAAATAAAATAAATACTTCCAGTTCTCTTTAACTGAATCTCTAAAAATTAGCTACCTGTAAACTTGGAACTCTAAACTAAATTATAGTTTACAAACTGGTAGTATGCTGAGGTGGAGATATTTCAGCTCATGGACTTAGTATCAATTCCTGCTCTTTAAGATGGGGTACCTCTAATTTCTTAACTGAAAGCTGCTTCCTGATTTTCTCCTCAAAGGCATGTGAATACTTCCATTTGCTGTCACTTTTCCTTTGAGTGAGCTGGCAAGGGAAGGAAGGTTGGTGAGAGTAAGTCGTAAGTATCTTTTTAGAAAAAGAAAAAAAAAAAAATAGCAGAGGATGGTTTCGATCCATCGACCTCTGGGTTATGGGCCCAGCACGCTTCCGCTGCGCCACTCTGCTCTATACGGTAGTGATATTTGCAGTGAATTCTTTATGATGTTTTCCTCAAAACTTGGTGGGGATTCTGGTTTTTTGGTATGGTTAAACAAATCTGATTTCCACACCCCACCAAGGGCCACTAGTTCTATTTATGCTGCAAACATGAGGATGAGTTCAGCGTGTATTGGTATCAAACATTATGAAAGCAAAAAAAACCCTCGATGTTTCTGTAAGAAAACAGCATGTCGCTGGCCTGCCTGCTTTATCATGTAGTCAAAATGTAAGGGTAAGGCAAAAAAGGCATAGGGAAAATATCCACCTTCTGAAATAGAATACGTAGTTTTCAAGAATAAAACGTCATCGTTGCATTGGCCGGGAATCGAACCCGGGCCTCCCGCGTGGCAGGCGAGAATTCTACCACTGAACCACCAATGCCTCGCGTACAAAAGAAGCCTTGTCGTCTCTAGGAAGGCTTTGTCGTCTTTCAGGAATCCAACTAATACCATAGGCTGTGTTTTCAAAAAGATATTTAGGTGGCTTTCCGTTCTTATTGAATAGAGCCTCTTAATAGAGCCTTCTTCCCTTCTTTTCAGGAAGAAAAAAATCCCTTTCACTGTAACTTCAAAGCGTCTCCTGCAACACTGGAGGCTGGCCCACGTGTGGGCGGCCCGGCTCCCGCACGGTCTCTGCGGCGAGGTTGGACTGCTCTGGCTGGGCCAGCACCTCCGCCCCGCGGGTCGCGGGCGCCTGCTCTGACTATATATAATAATATAGCCAATTCTTTTGATTAATATTATTGTGGCTACCTTTTCCAACCTTTTACTATTTACTTATGTGTGTCATTATATATACATTTATATACACATACACACACACATATGTATTTTATTTTATTTTATTTTATATATTTTTTGAAACAGAGTCTCCCTCTGTCACCCAGGCTGGAGTGCAGTAGCACGTTTCATGGCTCACTGCAACCTCCGCCTCCCGGGTTCAAGCGATTCTAGTGCCTCAGCCTTCCAAGTAGCTGGGATTACAGGTGTGCTGCTACCGTGTCCTGCTAATTTTCATATTTTTAGTAGAGACGGAGTTTCCCCATGTTGGCCAGGCTGGTCTCAAACTCCAGACCTCAAGTGATCCACCCACCTCAGCCTCCCAAAGTGCTGGGATTACAGGCGTGAGCCACCATGCCCGGCGAATGTCCTTATATTTAAAGCACCTTTCTTATAGACAGCATATAGTGGGCCTTGCTTTTTTATCAGTCTGATGATCCGTGTCTTTTTGTTGGAGCATAATGTGGGACACATTTTGGTACTGGAAATGATGTTTAAAGAAAAAACCTGTGACATATTTATGGGAATATGATTGTTACTCAATGTAAATAATTTAGAAAAGTAAAATACGATAAATATGACAGTGTATTTTGTGTCTATATTTAAATTATACACAGAGAGACAGACGGTATTATCTTCCTAATAATTCCACTATCCATATGGTGCTAATACTTATGCACCTTTTAAAAAACTATATCGATCTCTTATATCTGCAAAAAAGATTTTATTTTTTCACCAATTTTTGCCCTGTGGTCAACTCAGTGTATGTACTGAAAAATGATATAATCTATGTGTTTGTTGTTTTAAACAGGAAAATGTATACAGTTTACAAATTCTCATGATAGATAGTAATTATACTACAAGTAGGAATAAAGTTGGATTCCTGCTAATTTCCTTAAGAATCTAAAATTTAAAAAATCTGATCCTTCAAAAGTAAATTTTATGCTCTTTTCTTTGGAAGATGATGGACTATATAGCCCTAAGTGATACAGATGATGCAGTACCATGAATGATGGCCCTTCCCAAAAGATATGTCTACGTGATAATCACTGGAATCTGCAAATGTTACCTTATATGGAGAAAGATGTGATTAAGAATCTTGGGAGGAGGGATTTATTCTAGATTATCTGAGTGAATTCTAAATGCCATCATGAATCCCTGTAAGAGACAGGTAAAGAGGGATTTGACTGAGGCTCACACAGAAAAGAAAGAGATGAAAATGAAGCCAGAGCTGAGAGTGATGTGGCCACAAGACAGGGACGAGCAGGGCATGCCCATAGTCACTAGAAACCAAAAAAAGCAGAAACAAGTTCATCACCACCACCACACCTCGTCTGCCCACCCACCCACCACCCTCCAGAGAGAACATGGCCTTGCTAGTACCTTGATTTCAGACTTCTGGCTTCCAGAACTGTGAGATAATAACTTTCTATTGTTTTAAGCCGTCAAGCACATGGCAATTGGTTATGAAAGCCCTAGGAAACTGATACAGTTGATTACTTCATTGTATCCTTTATTTAAATATTCCATTATACCCCATTTTTTATCTTCAGGAAGTTTTTTTAAAATCTAACCAAATTTCTCCTATATTGTAGTTGACAGAGCCATACACTTTTTGGATGGAAAGGGATCTTGAAAGGGATCTTATAAGTCACGCAGTCCAACTTCCCTTGGGCTGCTTCTCATATTTGAAAATCATCTCCACAGATATTTACCCATTCAAGCCATTTCATGTTTTCTAGCGTTGACTTCTGTATGCTAAATCAGAATAGCTTCCATCCAGTTCTTTCCTTGGAATCAACTCAATTTCTTTTACATGACATTATTCCAAAGGTTTAGTTATATCTATCATTTTCTCTGCTGCTTTTGTTTCTTTGGTCATTAACAGAAATTGTTATCACAAATGTTATTTCACAAAAGGAAATTCCTAAAACAGAATTTAAAAAGGAAAGACATTAGGTAGATTGTTTAATTCAATCTCTATTTTATATAGAATTCTATTTTCCCTCATTGCCAGAAATGGTCAGCTATTTCATCATGGTATAACATCTATTTGTGTGTGTGTGTGTCCTTATATCATGCTCAGATCTACTTTTTAATTTTTATGCATTAGTAGAATTTATAACCTTTATGAAACAAACTAAGCTATGCACATGATTTCCCTTTAAATAGCTGAAGAAAGCTACTGCTTCATGATTTGACAAAGCATTTTCTACCCAGCATTGAAAAAATCAATGCCTTCAATAATTCTTCAAGAGGCATGATGTTCTGATTTTTCAATTCTCTAGTCATTATTTTGTGTAGGCATTTTAGTTTTATAATGTATCTCTTAAAATATAAATCCTCAAACTAAAGCCAATAATCTACATGTTTTATTATCCATATGTCTTAGCTGGTATGGGATTCACTGCCAATCATATTTCTATTAATACTATTATGTAGTATATAATTGAAGTAAATGTGTTTGTCTTGATTTACGTGAAATTTCATCCTTTTATTTATTGCTTTTAGTTTTTAATTTTATTTCTGACTTCTTTGGAATTATTACTTTCCCAAAGTTTAGTGTCATTTTTAACTTATGAAGTCTGTTCTCTTTAAATTCATGCAAGTTATTTATAAGTGCATATTCTAGTAGGATAAAACATTTAAGTCTTATAATAATAATATTTTCATGGTGATAGTGTTTTATTAATCACCTTCTGAGTGAGGTTTTACAAAAAGATAGGGACAAATGGAACTGCTTTCACATTTTGGTCATTATTGCTCCATATTGTACGGAAGTAGAATAAGAATTGTTTGCAAATTCTATTCGGAAATCAAGATTTATGGAAGTCCTAGCCAGAGCAATCAGGCGAGAGAAAGAAGTAAAACACATCCAAATAGAAAAAGAAGTGCAACTATCTCTGTTCACTGAGGATGTAATTCTATCCCTAGAAACCCTGAAGACTTTGCCCAAAGTCTCCTGGAACTGATAAACTACTTCAGTAAAGTTTCAGGATCCATTTACATGCAAAAATTAGTAGCATTTCTATACAGAAATAATGTTCAATCTGAAGCCAAATCAAGAAGGCAATCCCATGTACAATAGCTACACACACACAAAATTACCCAGGAAGACATCTAATGAAGGAGGTGAAAGACCTCTATTAGGCCGGTCGCAGTGGCTCACGCCTGTAATCCCAGCACTTTGGGAGGCCGAGGTGGGCGGATCACGAGGTTAGGAGATTGAGATTGAGATCATCCTGGCTAACACGGTGAAACCCTGCCTCCACTAAAAATACAAAAAAATTAGCCGGGCGTGATGGCAGGCGCCTGTAGTCCCAGTTACTCTGGAGGCTGAGGCAGGAGAATGACGTGAACCCAGGAGGCGGAGCTTGCAGTGAGCCGGGTGCAGTCAGTGAGCCGGGATCGCACCACTGCACCCCAGCCTGGACGACAGAGCGAGACTCTGTGCAAAAAAAAAAAAAAATTCTCTATTAGAAGAACTACAAAACACTGCTGAAGAAATAATAGATGACACAAACAAATGGAAAAACATTCCATGCTCATGGATTGGAAGAGTCAATGTTGTTAAAACGGTCATATCACACAAAGCAATCTACAGATTCAGTGCTATTCCTACCAAACTACGAACATCATTTTTCACAGAAGTAGAAAAACTATTCTAAAATGCATATGGAACCAAAAAAACGCCCCACTGCCCAAAGCAATCCTAAGAAAAAAGAACAAAGTTAGAGTCATCACATTACCCGACTTCAAACTATCCTATAAGGCTACAGTAACCAAAACAACGTGGTACTGGTACAAAAAGAGACACATAGACCAATGGAACAGAATAGAGAACTCAGAAATAAAGTCACAAACATATAGCCATCTGATCATTGACAAAAATAAGCAATGGAGAAAGGACTTCCTATTTAATAAGTCATGCTGGAATAGCTGGCTAGCCATATACAGAAGAATGAAACTGATGAAACTGGACCCTTATGTGTCACCACAAAGATTAACTAAAGATGGATGCAAGTTTTAAATGTAGGACCTCAAACTACAAGAATCGAAGAAGAGAAAACCTGGGAAACACCATTCTGAACATGGGCCTTGGGAAATAATTTATGACTAAGTCCTCAAAAGCAATTGCAACAAATACAAAAATTGACAACTGGGACCTAATTAAACTAAAGAGCTTCTGCATAGCAAAAGAAACTGCCAACAGAGTAAACAGACAACCTACAGGATTGGAGAAAATATTTGCAAACTATGCATCCAACAAAGGCATAATGTCCAGAATCTCTAAGGAACTTAAACAATTGAACAAGCAAAAAGCAAATAACACCCATTAAAAATGGGCAAAAGAAATGAACAGACACCTCTTGAAAGAAGACATACAAGCAGCCAACAAACATATGAAAAAATGTTAATCATCACTAATCACCAGAGAAATGCAAATCAAAACCACAGTGAGATATTATCTCACACCAGTTGGAATGGCTATTATTAAAAAGTCAAGAAACAACAGATGCTGGCAAGGCTGTGGAGAAAAGCGAATACTTATACACTGTTGGTGGGAAAGTAAATTAGTTCAGCCATTGTGGAAAGCAGTTTGGGGATTTCTCAAACAACTTAAAACTGTTCCACTCAGCAATTCCATTACTGGGTATATATCCAAAGGAAAACAAATCCTACCAAAAAAGCACATGAACTCATGTGTTTATCACAGCACTATTCACAGTAGCAGAGACATGGAATGAACCTAGGTGCCCACCAACAGTGAATTAGATAAAGATATACGTGGTATACATATATACCACAGAATACTATGAGTCATAAAGAAAAAATCATGTCATTTGCAGCAACATGCAGCTACAGGCCATTAACCTAAGTTAATTAACACAGGAATAGAAAACCAAATACCATATGTTCTCACTTATAAGTGGGAGCTAACCATTGGGTACTCATGGACATAAAGATGGCAACAGTAGACACTAGGGACTACTAGAGTGGGTAGGCAGGGTGGGGGACAAGAGTTGAAAATCTAACTGTTGGTACTGTGCTGAGTACCTGGGTGACAAGATCAATCATACCCAAAACCTCACTATCACAAAATATACCCAGGTAACAAACCTGCAAATGTACCCCCGAATCTAAAATAAAAATTGGATTTAAAAAAAAGAAAACAGAAATCAAGAATTGTAGGCTGGGTGCAGTGGCTCACGCCTGTAATCCCAGCACTTTGGGAGGCCAAGGCAGGTGGAACCCCTGAGGTCAGGAGTTCAAGACGAGCCTGGCCAACATGATGAAACCCTGTCTCTACCAAAAACACAAAAATTAGCCAGGCTTGGTGGTACTTGCCTGTAATCCCAGCTACTTTCCATAGGCTGAGGCAGGAGAATTGCTTGAACCCAGGAGGCGAAGGTTGCAGTGAACTAAAATCGCGCCACCATACTCCAGCCTGGGTGACAGAGTGAGACTCCATCTAAAAAAAAAAAAAAAATTATTATACATACCTCTATAAAATAGTTTAGTAATTGTCGTTCTAAATGAAGCCAGAATATATATGTATATAGTCACAAGTAACTGATGGCAAAATATACATAAAATTTTGTCATATGGCTTTAGAACTTACCAATATGCAATTTATTAGATCAATTGATGGCTCATTTTAAAAAATGTAAAATACTTCAATCTCCATCACTCTGGTTTCTCTACTATTTTCTCATAATTCTTTAAAGGACCCTGACATTGCCTTTGAGCTGACATCAAAATTTGTCTCTGGAAATCTGGTATATCATTTAGTTGGACTTTAAGATATGAATGCATTTTTATTAAGGAATGTCCCCTCATATTTCAATATACTCTATTAGTGTTTTGCTCCTATTTTTCCTTTAAGTTATAACTCATTTCTAAAAATAAAGGATAGAAACTCAACAAGCAACATAACTTTATTTATTTTAACTGTTAGCACAGCTGTTCCTAAAGTGTGGTCTCCTGACAGGCAACATAAGTGTTACCTGGAAATTTGTAGAAATGCAAATTATCAGGCCCCACCCCAGACTTACTACATTGGAAGGTCTGGGGGTAGGTGACCCCCACCAATCTGAATTTTAAAAGCTCTACAGATGATTCTGATGCAAGTTAAAGTTTTAAGATCCACCATGTTGGGTTAGAATTATGCTGAAATTTATGTTGTTACTGTAAGGTTTTCAAGTAAAACATTCTAATTGTATTTCTTAGTTATTGCATTTTATACTTTTATGACATATTTGATAAAGGAAAAAATTGGAAAAAGAATAATAATGAAGAAGCAGTTAATATAATTATAGCGTAACTCACAAAGTCAACGAAATAACAAACTTATAGTGTTTATTTTCTTTAGCACTTTTATGGGCTCTGAAGGCCATATGGAAGAAGTTGAAATTATGATCTATGCTACCTCAAGGGAACTAACATGAAATTAATAAGCATTTCTTTTTGTACAAGAAATGTGCATTAAACAAGCTGTGGACATCATTATATAATGTGCTTTTTTAATGACTTAACCTGTAAGTGCTTTCTTTTTTTTTTTTTTTGAGATGGAGTCTCGCTCTGTTGCCCAGGCTGGAGTGCAATGGCGTGACCTCAGCTCACCGCAACCTCCGCCTCCTGGGTTCAAGCGATTCTCCTGCCTCAGCCTCCCAAGTAGCTGGGACTACAGGCGCACGCGGTCATGCCTGGCTAATTTTTGTATTTTAGTAGAGACAGGGTTTCACCATTGTTGCCCAGGCTGGTCTTGAACTCCTAACCTCAGGCAATCCGCCTGCCTCGGCCTCCCAAAGTGCTAGGATTACAGGCATAAGCCACCGCGCCCGGCCCCTATAAGTGCTTTCGAGGTTAAAAGGAGAGAGATAATATATACAGTAGAGGAATCATTTTAAAAGGTCAAAAGCAGGCATTCGATTTCAGTCTAAAATGTAGCTACAACTTTATTTGATAGATGGAATAGGACACTTCAACTTAGAAGTGGGAAGTACAGAAACAACAGAAGATCTAAGTAAAACTGGGGAGTGCAGAATTGTTGTGGATTTTAGTATTGTGTTGATGTGCGAATAGTGTTAAAATTTAAGCTAGGGCTGTTAAACTTATAGAGAAAATTAAGACAAGGTTTTGGATACTTCTGTTAGATCTACAATTGTCTGAAAAATAATTTGTGCCATGGAGTTTGTGTGTGTGTGTGTGTGTGTGTGTGTGTGTGTAAGGATGAGGACATGTGTATATGTATCAAAATGTTTTGTTTCTGGCTTTTATTCTGGTTTCAGAGAAGTCTAAGTCTCTTCCCGATGTATACAGACTAGTGCTAAGATGTTTGAGACCTTAAAGATTTCAAGGCTATGCTATTTTGAGAGTTCATAAAAGATCAGTTCTTAAGACTTGTGCAATGAATATATTTAGGCAGTAGAAAACAGATATAGTTCTCTGTCGACATTTTATTTGAAGATCACTATAATAGTTTTTCTAAGAATAGTAATAATAAAGCAATTTGGAGAGAATTAAATTATAAGCTATGTAAAATTGAAGTCTTTAAAAGGCCTATAATTTGAGAATTCCTTTTTTTTTTATTAACACCCTTGCAAGCAACCTCTCAAAAGCTCCCTTTACATCTTTGTTTCTATGTGTGTGTGTGTATGTATGTATGTGTGTGTGCGTGTGTGTATTACTGAAGAGATGATTTCTGGATCAGAAAGGTCTAGTTTACACTGAATTGTACAAACATTGATGTAAAGTGTGACAACCCTTGAAAATGTTGTGATTACAGTTTTTGGTGCATTGGAAGGCCAATTCTGGGGGCTTGTTCAATGAAAATGTTTAGGCAACAGAAACAAATATAGCTTTTTGTCAAGGAAATTTTCTTTGAGGGAGATTACAATAGTTTTCTATAGTAATGACAAAAATAGGACAACTTGCGGAGAAGTTAGTAAGGTAAGTAAGCACTGTGTCTTTAGCAAAGCTTATCATTTGCATATTTCTTATTTCTTGATTAAGAAGACTCTTTGCAACCAACCTTTTAAAGGCTTCCTTTACCTCTTTGTTCCTAAGTGTATATATAAGGGGATTCAGCATGGGTGCAATGATTCCACAGAAGAGAGAAACCATCTTTCCCCGGTCTTTGGAGCTGGGTGAAGGTGGTTGCAGGTACATGGAGATAGCTGTACCATAAAAAAGTGACACCACAATTAGATGGGAGCCACATGTCCCAAATGCCTTTCGTTGACCTTCAGCAGACTGGATTCTCAACACTGCTTGGACAATAAAAGCATACGATATAAGGATGAGTGTCACGGGTATTAGAAGGAATAGCACACTGATGAAGAATAGTTCAGCCTCATTTGCTGTTGTGTCAACACAGGACAACTTGAGCAGAGCAGGGACTTCACAGAAGAAGTGATCCACTTCTTTGTGACCACACAGTGGCATCTTAAGTGTCCAGGTGGACTGTAATACTGAATTGCTAAAGCCACTAATCCAGGATGCAGCTGCCAACTGGAAGCAGAGCCTCTGGTGCATGATAATTGAGTAATGGAGAGGCCGACAAATAGCTACAAACCTATCAAAGCACATGACGGCCAGGAGAAGACATTCTGTGGAACCCAAGGCCAGGAAAATGAAAAGCTGGGCCACACAGCCACCATAACTGATTACTTTCCTGGTGTTGCATATGTTTACCAGCATTTGTGGAACTGTACTTGTGGTATAGCAAAGGTCCAGGAGTGAGAGATTGCTAAGAAAAAAGTACATAGGGGTGTGGAGTTTGAAATCCACATGTGACACAAGAATTATTGTCAGATTGCCAAAGATTGTCAAGATATAGGAAAACAGAAACATCACAAAGGGTGGAATCTCTAGCCATGGTTGATCTGAGAAAACTAACAGAATGAACTCCTGTGGGACACTCTTATTTACCCAATTCATGTTAAATGGTTCAACTCTTCGTTCTCTGAAATATAAGAAGTCAGGAAGTTAACAACACACTTCCTGATTTTGTCAGCTATAATCATTTTGCTATCAATTTACATAAAATTACAGACTGATCCAATTAATAATGTGAAAAAAGTATTGATAAAAATATAAATATTTATCCATCCAAGTATTTAAAAAGTGTTTATATATCTGTAACAGCATATTAGCAAATTGAATCGAATTTCAAGAATCTTTTTTTTTTTTTTTTTTTTTTTTTTTGAGGCAGAGTTTCACTCTTTTGCCCAGGCTGGAGTGCAATGGCGCCATCTCGGCTCACCGCAACCTCCGCCTCCCAGGTTCAAGCAATTCTCCTGCCTCAGCCTCCCCAGTAGGTGGGATCACAGGCATGTGCCACCACCCCGACTAATTTTGTATTTTTAGTAGCGATGGGGTTTCTCCACGTTGGTCAGGTTGGTCTCAAACCCCAACCTCAGGTGATCTGCCCACCTCAGCCTCCCAAAGTGCTGGGATTACAGGCGTGAGCCACTGTGCCCAGCCTAATTTCAAAAATCTTAAGCCATATTTTCAGTTTCCAAATTCACATAATGTATCCTTTGATATTTTACTGTTTGTAAATGTATTTTTCTCATTCTTCCTACCTAGATATCTACTGTGAGGTAGATGTAGATACAGTTTCCTGTCATTTGAATTCATTCTAATTTCTCTTCAAGGCCAGCGAGATTCCCTGATTGTAGAAATCAGTTAACATTAGTTAAAGCCACCTCCCATTATTCCCCTTCCCTCAAAAAAGCCATGTAGACAGTATCTAGTAAGTTATCAGACACAATTTAAGGAGACATATCCTTTTCGTTCTAGAAGCTCATAGAATTTGTATAGATTCCTTAGTAATATGATATTTGAAGGTGACAGGCTGGTCTCATATCCCTACCCTCTCTAATTAGTTACATTCATTATATTGGAATGCTTCTAACCCTTTGATCTCCACAATTCTCATTTGTAAAATGAAGATGATACAGTGGTTCCCCCTTTATCCATGGGGGATACATTCCAAGACCACCAGTGGATAGAAACCTGAAACTGTGGGTAGTACCAAACCCTATATATACTATGTTTTTTAATACATACACAACTATAACGTTTAATTTATAAATTAGGCACAGTAAGAGATTAAGAACAATAATTAATAAAATGCAGCAAGTATAACAGCTCCAGACCCCCATTTATTGTAATACATGTTATGTGAATGTGGTGTCCCTCTCTTTTTTTCTCTTCAAAACACCTTATTCTAGTGTACTCACCCCTCTGTGTTCTGACGATCTGATAACCGAGATGGCTACTCAGTGACTAACAGGCAGGTGGATGCTTTAAATCAAGCTTGTCCAACCTGAGGCCCACGGGCTGCATGCAGCCCAGGATGGCTTTGAACGCAGCCCAGGATGGCTTTGAACGTGGCCTAACACAAATTTGTAAACTTTCTTAAAACATCATGACATTCACTGATGATTAAAAAAAAACTCATCAGCTATTGTTAGTGTTGCTGTATTTTATGTGAGACCCAAGACAATTCTTCTTCTTCCAATGTGGCCCAGGGAAGCCAAAAGATTGGACACCCCTGCTCTAAACAGAAGGATGATTCCCATGACTGGGTGGGACAACACAAGACTTCATCAGGCTATTCAGAATGGCATGTATTTAAAACTTATGAATTGTTGACTTCTGTAATTTTCCTTTTAATATTTGCAGACCATGGTTGACTGTGGGTAACTGAAATTGTGCAAAGCAAAACCACAGATAAGGAAGGACTACTGTAATGTTTTTCTAAGTTGTCTTGATGTGAAGTATAAATGATGTGAGGTATTAACGCACACACCTACCCTAGACTTACACCTTTAGAAATGGAGAAGAGTGGATGAAAGGAACTATAGTGATCCAAGGTCTGAGGTGCTCAGAAAGGAATTACTTATGATTTTTAGAACTTTAAATTTCCTAGGGTTACTAATGGAAATGACTATGCCTGTTAAAACTCAACATCTGATTTCCTTCTTAACCCGCAAACATCAACTCCAACAAGAGGGGGTCATAGTAAGCGTATGATGTGAGTATAAATGTGATCTTTAGTGTAAATTGCCTAGCAGAGTGCTTGGCACATGGATGCACAGCTGTGTCAGAGACAGTACAACAGTTCTGCAGGAACTCTGAGATGCTTTGAGTAGAGGCTATTCAGTCTCATAAATTTCCTGGAGGGACTAATATGCCAACTCTACCAGCTAAACATGTATTCATCCCCCCCAAAATCTTAATGGGACACTTAATTATTTTATTACTTTATCAATATCAGAATATTTGTTTTTCAATTTCATTCATGTTCGGCAAAATGTTAGCAATGTGAATTTTAATTTTTCTACTTATTTTAGAACCACTAGTTCCCTAAAAAATGTCTCCTTGACTCTCACCTGAAAAGAAATTTGAGATTTGTAGTCATAGATGTGGATAAGAAATGATACTCAAAGGTATTTTTAAGTGAAAAAAGGAAGTTACTGAACATTTGTATAGCATGATTCCATCAGTTTATAAAAAGAATATAATATTAGTATAATATATATACTAATATATAAACTAAAAGCTACCTTGAATAATATAGAAGAAAGTATTACTCCTAGGAAATCAAAATGGGGGTGAGTAAAGCAGACTTTACTTATAAATTTACCTATTTTTTGTTCAAATTTTTAATAAGCAGGCATTACTTTTGTAATATATTTTTTTCAAATGACTCTGCTGACCAATTTATTCTCTGTATTCTACTTTCAGACAAACATTGCTTTAGTTAAGACTTTGATCTCCATGAGGGTGAAAATATTATAAGATATGTAATTTTTTTAGCTCTTGATAATTCCTTAAAATTCAGTCTGAATGTACAAAGAGTTTTTTAAAGGATGGATTGTAGGAGCATTTTGTATCTTACTAGTAATTTTATATATATATATAAAGTCAGACCAGGCCCTCTGTCTGACTTTTCTCCTTAGAAATCAGCTAAAAGACTGCCTTACCAAAAAGCCCTCTCACTGAGGATTATAGAAGAAGGAGAGAATCCGTTGACTCTTTTTAAATTAATTGACTGCCTCACTCTGAGATTCAGTCCTTACAAAATAAATAAACTGCTTTCTCATCAATATAATATATTAGTGTATCCTGTTATGTAATATCCCCTCACATTCTGTAGTAAGGGCACAAGGAGGGGGGAAATATTTATCACTCTAGTAGGAAGCCCTGGAGCTGAATAACAATAATGCAGCCAGAAAGCAGTGAGGGGAGGAAGCCGGAGATTTCAGAGCACTGGATTCTAATATTCTGTCTTACTTATCTTTGCATACTTTCTCATCTTCTAAACACACAGTTACCTCAAATATTTATCCACTCTTAAAAGGGTATCTTTAAATAGCTGTGGTATCCTTTTGTATTTCAGACATTTTATGTAATTTAAATTCTGATTCATATCCCTAATTTTAGGATTAAAGTGTTTGTTAACAACTAAAAAGCAAAACAAAACAAAACTAGGAAGTCCTTATCTGCATCTTTAAGATTATATCAAATAGGCTACTGAGTGCTTACCTGTTAACACCTGCTCCAATTGCTTGCAATTGTGGCTAATGTCTTAAAGGTGGTAGATTTCTCTGCTTTCCAATAAAATCACATTGCCAGCATCTCCAGATACAATTATTCTCATTTTGAATAGCGAACATTCCATTGACTAGCAAAACAAAACATTTGAATTATATGAGATATCTAGCAGATCAGAAAGAGACCATAGCAATTGGATTAAAACAGAAGTTAATGGAAGAGAATTTTAGAAAGCTGCTGAGGGGATCTTTATAGTTTTTATCTGTGATCACTTTAGAATGTTTTAACGCCTAGTTTAGAATACTTACCTAGATGAATACACATCCTTACCTCCTTTCTTACCTGTGTATTGGTTGACCTTATGTTTGTCATCTTCCTCTTGAGTTTTCTGATTATATATATATTTTTAAATTTTTTAGTTATTTTTAATTTTATTATTATTATACTTTAAGTTTTAGGGTACATGTGCACAACGTGCAGGTTTGTTACATATGTATACATGTACCATGTTGGTGTGCTGCACCCACACCAACATGGCACATGTATACATATGTAACAAACCTGCGCGTTGTGCACATATTTTTTAATATTAAAAAAGGTGAGGTTCAACAGAGTCTTCAAAGCATCTTTTTAAATTGCACTGTGGAACAAAAATCGAGACAAGAGAGGCAACAAGAGTTTTAGTCCCAAATCTGCCATCCAAAGTCACTGTATAATTGGGCGAGTTAGTTAATAGCTTTGGCCGTCAGTTTTATTTTCTGTAACATTATAAGGTTGCTGTTTTCCTCACAGCATAAAAACTGTTTACTTCTATGTTTTCTCAAAGTTTCTTATATCCCTGTGAGATAGATTTCCAGATACCATCTTTTTGCTGGAGTATGAGAATGAATCATGGGACCATTTTTTCCATACAGCTGATACATTGTACAAGGAAGTTTGTAAAATAAAAAAATTCCTGTTTATAAAAGGTTAATTTTGTAGGTAGAAACCTGAAATTATATACTCAAAGAAATTACTTTCCCAAAGTCCTAGGTCTTGTAAGCAGCAAACTGACGATTAGAACAAAAGACTGACTTTCTCTAAAGTTCTTATTTCCCATAGAGATTACAAATATGCTCAAAATAACATTATATATAACAATAAAGCGCATAAAAGATGAAGCTAAGTCAGATTTTTCCAGCAGATAATTTGGTCTTTGCTGAGATTTGAATTACAGACTATAACATGAGTGCTTACTTAGAACACTCAAATTTTAATGTAATTTTATTTCATAATTTTTAGAAATGTATTCTACTTACCTCCATTTTAAGCATTAGAGGTAGATCAATTTTTTTTTTTTTGTCTAAGAAGCCTTGAGTTCAAATAGGACTAATTTAAAGTGCACAGATACAACGTCTTCATACACTTAGTTGTATAATTGATTTCATGAAGTTTTTTGACTTATTTTAATTCCACTCAATATGCAGCAAGTCACGAAGTCTCTACTCAGAGTTAACTAGAGAATAAGGATGAAATATTGCAGACAACCGGAATGTGGTGTGCAGCATCACATCACCTGGAATTTAGAGTGTCAACTGCTATTTTGGGAGACTCTGTTGAGTCAGTTTTGCAAAATGGATAAAAGAATTTTCTCTATTGATTTTAGTGTTTGTTTTGGTCTCCAGCAGAAATCTCAATCACTGAATTGCAAAACTCTTCCCCCCCAGTTTATAGTAGTTAATAGCATACCCAGTGGGAAGAGAGAGGGAGGAGATCTCTATGAAGTGATGTTCCTATTTTAAAACTGATTTGCTAAGCAAAATCCTTTCTCTAGGGACTGAATCCTCAACTTTCTAATGCAAAAGGAATGACAATGGGGACTAAAATACTTTATCAAAGAAAACTGGAATTTTGTGCTATTGAATTGGAGTTAGTTTTCTTCTGTAAACTATTTCATGAGTTCTTTAAAGCCAATTAATTACTTCTATCAGGAAAGAATTCTTTATTTTTATTATTATTATTTTTTTAAATCACAGCTGCTGCACATGCCAAGGGAATAATTTTTTTTTTTTTTTTTGAGACAGAGTCTCGCTCTGTCGCCCAAGCTGGAGTGCAATGGCACGATCTCAGCTCACCTCAACCTCTGCCTCCCTGGTTCAAGCAATTCTGCTTCAGCCTTCCAAGTAGCTGGGACTACAGGTGTGTGCCACCATGCCTGGCTGATTTTTTGTATTTTTAGTAGAGACAGGGTTTCACCATGTTGGCCAGGCTGGTCTCGATCTCCTGACCTCGTGATCCGCCCACCTTGGCCTCCCAAAGTGCTGGGATTACAGGTGTGAGCCACCACACCCAGCCCAAGGGAAGAAATTTTTTATTTCATATGTAAAATCTCTAAGATGCAATCCGAGGTCATGTTCCCAAACCTTCGATTTCTATATCAGAAAATAAGCTACCATTTATCACAAGAAAATAGTGTATTAATTTGATTTATGGTATATTTTATATAAAATGGCTTTTAAAAAACTTAATGTACAGCAGTGTATCTAGTATATATTTTCTTTCATGGATTTTGAGTTTTCAGTCTTAGTTTCTAAGGTCTTCTTCAGTTCAGAATTGTATCTGGCCCCTTAAATTGCCTGGTTTAAAGTTTATTTATAGTAGAGTATTTAATCCAAACATAATACTTTTATTTTTTATATGCTGTAATGTGCAGATTCATTTAAATTTCTTTTCTAGATTAATAAAATTAGAAGACATACATTTATAATTCTAGAAAAAATATTTGGTATCTATTAAATAGAAAAAACTTCTAACAATTTTGAAAAAATACTACAAATAGCTCAATAGGAAAATAAATCACATAGGCAGTTCAGAGAATAGCACATTCAAATGATCAATAGATATAAGGAAATATGATCAAGTTATCAAATATAGAAAGATAAATATTTTTAGTTCAACATCTCCTTCTGAAAGAAGGATATATTAATGATGATAAAGCTCCCCACTTTCACCAGATCAGAAACAAAAGGATAAATGAATTTTATTGCTAAAGTAGATGAAGGAAGACAGTTACTCACAGATTACTGGTGGATATTTAAAGTGTTATAGGCTTTCTGGTGAGAAATACGGCAATAGTCGCTTACAAACTATATATATTGTCAATCTAGCACTGTTACTACTGGGAATCTTTCCCAGGGAAAGGAAACTAACAGTACCTAAGGACACATGGGCAATGACGTTTATTGTAGAGTTATTTTAATGACCAAAGATAGAGAAAAATGTGGTTTTTTGGTAGATAACTTTCTAAATAATACATTCACTGAACAGAATAATATGCATCCATCTAAAATAAGGAACTATAGGTCTAACAGATGGCTTGGAGATATTTTCCTGGGGTATGGCTGGGTGAGCAAATAAAGAAGCAAAAAAGGTACAAAACATGGTCCCAGTTTTATAAAATAATTATTTAAGGCACCCTAAATATGATTTTCTGTATTGCGTGTCTGTGTGAGATTACATAACAAAATACCTTTGTTTTTTTTCCCAGAATAATAAGAAAGGCTACTTCTTAGATAATTAACAAGAGTAACTTGGAGAGAGGCAGACAGCAGTATCAGGAGGAGAAGGAGGGTGAGGAAGAGAAAGAGGTAGATGGAACATGAAGTAAAACTGGAAAGAGAAAGAAATTAAGATTTCACATACATTTGATTTTTTAAAAATGTAACAGCAATGGTTACCGCTGAATAGAAGACCAGGAATAAGGGTGAGGATGGTGAGGGGGAAAATTGTACTGCTATGTGAATTTTGTTTTTTTACAATATTTTCAAAAAGGTTTTATTGATTGATTGTTTGATTGATTGATTGAGACTAGCTTTGTTGTCTTGCTTTGTTGCCCAGGCTAGATAGAGCGCAGTGGTGCGATCTTGGCTTACTGCAATCTCCACCTCCTGAGTTCACACAATTCTCCTGCCTCAACCTCCCGAATAGCTGGGACTACAGGCATGCAACACAACGCCCGACTAATTTTTTTGTGTTTTTAGTAGAGACGGGGTTTCACCATGTTGGCCAGGTTGGTCTTGAACTTCTGACCTCAAGTGATCCACCTGCCTTGGCCTCTCAAAGTGCTGGGATTACTGGTGTGAGCCACCGGGCCTGGCCAAGAGGTTGTAATTTAAATAAACAAAAGTATAGTTTGAAAAGAAAGTAAACAAAGAAGCAAGAAAATATGAATAAATATAAATATTCTGTAGAACGAATCAATTATGCATAAATGGTAATTATTTCAAAAGTTCTTAAACTTAGAAATTATGAAGTGATGTCCATTTATGCAAGTTCTGGAAGTAGGGAAAAGGATCTGCTGAATTTATTATTATTAGCCAGATATGTGCCATCCTTTCAAAGGATTATCTCACTCAGTCCTCATAAGTGCCGTCTGAGAAAGCAATGCACGATTTCCATGCTATAGATGTAGAAACTGAGGCTTAGGGTGATTAAAATAGAATGTGTCAGGAAACTGGTGACATAATATGGCTGTTCTACTTTTATTCTTTTTTTTTTTTGTATTTTGTATTTTTGTTGTTCTTTTTTTTTCATGCCTTCCTTCTTACCACTAGGACTTATTTTTCAGAAATTTACTTATTAGCATTTTAAAATAGAAAATATATCGAATATTAGAACAAAATTCTGTAAGTAGCAAGGTGGGCAAAGTGTTTTCTGTCAGATAAATGTTATAGAAGCATGAAAGACTGGATATAATAACTTTCCCAGGAGTGATGGAGATGGGATAAGGACCAAATTTTACTAATGTTTAAAATGAACCCTTAGTACTGGAGTCCAAAGAGAGTGGGTAGTATTCTAAGAAATCAAAGGGAATGCTGAAGCTTTCTCCAAACATGGCTAGTCCAACAATAATTTCCTCAACTAATTCCATGTCACCATAAGAAATCCAAAAAAGCAAAGCCTTCAATACAAAGAATCAAGTCCTGTATGTATGTATATGTTCATGTGCGTGTGTGAATTTTTTGAAGCTTTTATGTGTGTTTTGGACCTGATGCCCACAGCCCCTAAAGTTTTCAGAGTGTATATCCTCCAAACAAGAATATTCTCCATTTCCAGCATAACCATCACAATTAGGAAATTCACACTATTGCAATACTGCCATCAAATCTACACACCACATTTAAATTTTGTCAGTTGCCTTAGGAGTGTCCTTTATAATCAAACTTTTCCTTTTGGTCTAGGATCCAACTCAGAGTTATGTGTTTTGTTTAGTTGTGATGTCTCTTCAGTTTCCCTACATCAGGAGCAGTTCTTCAGCTTTTCCTCATCTTTCATGACATAATATTTTTCAAGAATGTTGGCCTGTCACTTAGTAAGTTGTCTCTCAATTTGGGGCATTTGACTTTTCTTCATTATTTATTTTTGGCAGGAATACAACAAACAGAAATACTGTTATCTTCTCATTCATCATATTAAGAGGCATCTGATGTCCATGTGTCTCATTATTTGAGTTTTTTTACTTTTATTACCTGGTTTATAAAGTGTCTGCTAAGTTTGTCTGCTATAAAATTAATTAATAAGTATTTTGCATTTATAACTGAGATGTATCTTGTAGAGAGTTACTTTGAAACCGTATAGACATCACACTTGTTATTGAAATTTTACCCCCAGATTTAGCATTTCATTGATTCTTATCTGAATCAATTATTATAATGATTATGAAATGATGATGATTTTCTAATCCCACCATTCCTCTGTATTTATTAGTTTATATTTTACCAAATGCTGACTTACTTACAACTTTAAAGCAGTATGGACTAATGGATTTCAATTAAATTCAGTTGGTTGTAATATATTGCTATCTTTATTTTTATGCTCAAGTTTTCCCACGTTAGGCTAGTGGGAACCTCTGCAAGCCAGCTCCTATATCATTTTGTCATTTTTCCTTGTTTCTATAGGCACTTTCTTACTTTAAGCACAAGAGGTGCCTGAAATCAGCTGTTTATCCAAAGAGCCCTAATTTCTTTCAGTGGAGAAGGGTAATTAGAAACCTGATCTAGGAACATGGTGGGCTTATTACTATTTTATACCCACACATACTCACAGACTCACTGTGTCTCTTTCTATGCACACACATCTACATATATTAAATATCATGAGTCCACAGTGATACTTTCAATTTCAATCTAATTCTCTAGGTTTATGCAATTCTTACTTTCCCTACTTACACCTTCTTTCTCTAGAAGAAACCTAACTTCTCAATATATTTGCTTATTTTCTCAGTCCTCTGTATGTAATCAATCTCTCTACCATGCAGGCCATCTCATTTGAGTCCTGATATCTTCACACATGTTGGGTACTCAGTATGAGCACCACACTCTTCCCCTCCACTGGAACTTCTTATGAATGAAGTCGTATACTATGTAAACTTTTTTCTCTGGATTCTTCAACTGAGTATAATGTTTTTGAAATTCATCCACATTATTGCATCTATCAGTAGTTTTTTTCTTTTTACTGCCAAGAATAATTACATTGTATTAATACACCATAATTTGTTTATCAATTCTTTTGCTGATCAATATTTTTATTGTTTCCTGTTTGGGGTTATTATTAATGGGGCTAGTGTGAACATTCCTGTATAATATCGATTGTGGACTTGTGTTTTCCTTCTTCTTGGGTAGGTATCAAAGTGTATAATTGCTATATTAGAATCTTCCAAATAATTTCCCAACTAGAGATACCATTTTACACTTACACCAACTGCGGTTTGAGAGTTCTGGTTGCTTCATATCTTTGCCAACATTTGATGTTGTCAGTCTTTTTAATTTTATCCAATCTAGTGGGTGCGTAGATATTTCTCATTATGGTTTAACATGCATTCCACTATTGGCTAATAATGGTGAGCCCTATTTTATGTGCTTATTGACCATATAACTTCTCTTGTGTCAATTTAAGCCTTTTGCTCATTTAAAAAATAGGATTGTTTGTCTTTTCATCATTTATTTGTAAGAGTGATTTTATATATATATTCTGGTTACAAGTCCTTTGTCAGATGTGCAAGTAATTTTCTCCCAGTCTGTGGTTTGCCTACTTATTTTACTAATAGTATCTTTTGATGAGCAAAAAAGTTTAATGTTTATGAGATTTGTTATGGCTGTCCACTGCCTTCACAGTGCAGAAGCATGGCAACTGACATCATCAGGCCTCTTCATATTCCTGCTCTGTGCATTACATCATGATGCTGCTGAGTTGGCAATGTCAGCAGGCAGTGTCAAAAGTCTGAGCATTCCTAGAAACCATTCCTACACCAGGAGGGCTAACAACAACTCACCTATCTGTATACATGACTTTAACCCCATAATTATATCTCTAATACACTTTCTCCTAGCCAGATGATGAAAATTCTCAAGGCCATTTCATTGTCAATTGACATGAGAACTATGATAGAGAGAAGTTGGAATGGAAAAGTGAGTGCCCCTAATGAATTAAGGATAAAATATATTTTTCCAAATTTTACATAAACATACGTTTATATGAACACATTACTAGGATCTCTCCCAGGGTCTTGGAAGGGGCCTATGCATGTGATACGCTATGAAATTATGCTACATTGGTTTCATGGTAAATCTATCTGTGACATTGCCTATGAAGCCACCCACACCAGCAAAATCTGCAGTGTTTATTACAAATTTAGCTCAAACCCAGATTATGAATTCCTCTCTCAGGCAAAAAAGAATAGTTTTTGGAAGCCTAATCATCCTTCAAGAGCTAGAAAAGTGAAAATAAATATAAAAATAATTTGCATATCAGATCACAGAACCATTGAAGCAAAAAACCAAAAAAGTTCTTATTCCATGCAGTGAAGAACTATGAAGTTGAGCTGAAGTTGCTTTTTCTCTGGGGAAATTTGCTGATTCTGAGGGGGAGTTACACTTGTTTTTTGTTTTTTCCCCCAATATACACTTTCTATGGAGAACAGCGTCTCACTGTATTGCCCAGGTAGGTCTCGAACTCCTGGGCTCAAGCTGTCCTCTCACCTCTGCCTCCCTGAGAGCTTGGATTACAGGCGTGAGCCACCATACCCTGTGGAATTTGCTGATTCTGGATGCAAGCATGAAGCTGGTAAAGGGACCACTAATAGGGAATAAACGGGAAAAGCCCAGAAATTTGTTATTTTTGCAAAGCTAAAGTCACACAGCATCAATTGAGAGCATGATACAAGGCAGTTTTCCCTTAGGCATTTGAAACATTTTTGTGTAAGGAAGAACATTTAACAAGCTATGTCAAAAACCTCTGAAAAACGCAGCTGAATTTTCAACTGTCTTAAGGTACTGAGGAATTAAAGTTTAGAATTTATGACTAACCCAGAGAATGAACCCTGGCAAATATACTAGTCTCTCAGTCGAAAGCCCTAGAGGACTAAAAAGAGATCTGCCACGCCTTTCCAATATAGCAACCGAGTACTGCCTCACCTCCGGCGTTTCCTGGATAAATTCCTCTCTGCCTAGCAAAGGAAAAGGTGAACACCCTGAATCAGAGGAAATGACCATAGACTGGATTTATGGACTCCCAGGGCCCACATGAAATGAATTTAGGTGAAAACAGTATTTATCATTTGACTGCCATGAATCTCCACACTCAATAATTGACCAAGTAGAATCTCCCTTCTGGGGAGATTTCAGAGAATAATGTTTCTGTTAAAGACTTGAAAGATGTATTGAACTCCAGTTGCATTATCTCTTTAGCCTGTGCATAAAACAAAATGAGACTGGCGAATGAAATAGATTATTATAAGCTTCATAAGGTGGCAATTTTAATTGATTGTCACTTTCAGTTTGGCTTGCTGTCCTATTTGACCACCTTGACACCTGGCAGCCTCTCACTGACACCTTGATTTTAGCCCACTGAAATAGATTTTTATGTTTTGATCTCCGAAACTGTAGGCTAGTACATTTATGTTTTAAGTCACCAAGTATGTGGCAATTTGTAAAAGCTGCCATAGGGATATAATAAACTAAGTGAGCTAAATTTCAACTTTGGAAAGAAATTAACTGTATTTGAATGTTCTGCTTCTATCTATTTCTGAATCAACTCATGAGACTGTTAGCTTTGTGTGTGACTGAAAGCAAGAGAAAGATCTTGAACCTGTCCATCTATAGGTGAGCAATTGAGGCTTTTAGCTATCATACCCAAGAAAATTCAAAAGTGCTTGATCTGTCTGAAGCAGATTGGAATGCTATATGGAAGCCGTACATGCCTTGATAGAGGTATCTTAGCAAAGGCTACCAGATTTCTGCAGCAAAGCCACGCCTTCTTTAGCAAAAAATGATCAACTGAGGGAAATAGAAAGGTAGAGAATCCTAAATTACTGCTTTAAAAACAGGACATTCAGATCTTCAGGCTCATGGCTAAAAAAAATAAAATAAAGTAAAATAAAAGGACACCTCACATTCTTAATTGTCTTAAGAAATATAGATTATAGATATATGTATATAGCTATATACACATATATCTGTGCATATTTAAGTGCAAAGCTCTTCAAATGAATTGCTCTGAGTGTATTTTATTGATTGTTAGGTTTTTATTTTGAAATAATTTTAGACTTACAATAAAGTAACAAAAATAGTTTAGAGAATTCATGTATACCCTTCAACTAGACATCTTACATAATCATAGCATAATTATCAAAGCACAGGAAACTACCATTGATAAAATACTGTTAAAATTTTGCAAACTGGGCCAGCCACAGAGGCTCACACCTGTAATCCCAGCACTTTGGGAGGCCGAGGCAGGAGGATCACCCAAGATCAGGAGTTCGAGACCAGCCTGGCCAACATGGTGAAACCCTGTTCTCTACCAAAAACACAAAAATTAGCCAGTTGCAGCGGTGCACTCCCTGTAATCCTAGCTACTCAGGAGGCTGAAGCAGGAGAATCGCTTGAAACTGGGAGGTGGAGGTTTCAGGGAGCCAAGATCAAGCCATTGCACTCCAGCCTGGGTAACAGAATGAGACTCCGTCTCAAAAAAAAGAAAAAAATGCAAACTCATTCACAAATGTCCTTTTACTATTCCAGGATCTCATCCAGGACCCCACATTGCATTTAGTTGCTGTATCTCCTTAGTCTCCTGCTCCAACCTGGGACAGTTCCTCAGTCTGTCTTTCATGACCTTGAAACTTTGGAAGATTATTAGCCAATTATTTTATAGAAGTACCTTCAGTTTGGGTTTGTCTGATGTTTTCTTATGGTATATATCGAGGTTATACATGTTTGGCAAGAATGTCACAGGAATGCTGAGGTGCCCCTTTTAGTACATCATATCAAGATATTCACAATGTTTTATTGTATTACTATGATGATAACTTTGAACACTTGGTTAAGATAATGTCTTCTAGGTTTCTCCACTGTAAAGTTACCATTTTTCCTTTTTAAATTAATAATTATCTTGAGAGGGAATATTTTGAGATTATGAAAATATTCTGTTTCTCATCATATTTTTGCTACTTATATTGATGTTCATCAGTGATTCTTGCCTGCAACAATTATTTCTGTAGCATCTATTTTCTATTTCTATTGCTAATTCTACATTTATTAATTGGAATTCTACTGTAAAGAAGAGCTGTTATTTTTCCCCCATTTGTTATTTGTTCAGTCATTTATTTAAACTCATATAGACTTATGGGTATTTGTTTTATTCTATTGTTTGTAGTCCCAATACTATCATTATTTAATTTACTGCTAAAATTGTCCTAGATTTGGCCTTTGGGAGCTCCTTCAAGTTGACTCATGTATCTTTTTAACATGCCCCATCACTATTTGAGAACTTCTATACTCTGTGTCACCACCAGCTGTTCTAGGGTCATCTTGGACTTTTACTTCCCCAGCCCTGGAATTACTAATTTTTCTAAGGATCCTTGGTTCCTTTTACTGGAAATATATTTAGAAATCAAGTTCTAGGCACCAGGTGTGTTCATTGCTACTGATTTGTTATTGCTTCCAGACTCTCTCAGTGAACAGAGCTTACAAATAGAGTGTGTGTGTGTGTATATATATATATATATATATATATATATACTGACATATACATACACATACATTTTTATTTATATACCTAGCTGTGTGTGTGTATGTGTGTGTGTGTGACCACAGTTCATACTAATGCCTCTGATTCCAATCCAAATACCACATAGTATTTGCATAAACTCCCTCCATTCCTTATTTGTACCTTCTTTGTTGAACAGTGGGAAATTTGGCTCTCATTATCCATAATATATTTACTTATTTTCTCAATTCTAATACACAAATAGCTTTAGAATTGCTAATCCACACTCTTGGGAATAACCATTTTACTAACTAGAGTACAATATTTCTGTACAGTTCTTTTTGCTTTTATCCTTAGATGAGTCTATCCTTAGCAAAATAGTCAAGATACTCTTTTTCCCAAAGTTAATTAGGTTAGTTTTTTTTCCTTCCTTACCCTCTTTAACTTGGTTTTGTTGCTCATTTGTAATACAGGTGGGTTAATTTATTATTCTCTGTATTTCTTTTGGGTACCTCCCATTCCGGTTGACTTTAGTTATTTATTTAAATTGGAATATGTGAAGCATTACTATGGCTATAAAAGTTAGAACACACAAAATGTTATATGTACTTAGAAAAGTGTCACTCCCCCTCAGCCTTTCCATTCCACTAATTCTCCCATTTTTTTATACTCTATTCCAAATCACCACCTCCTCCAACCCTGTGGGTAACTAATCTCATTAGTTTCTGGTTTATCATTCCTGTATTTCTTTTTGTATAAAGGGGCAGATATGTGGATAGTTCATTACATGTCCTTCTTTCTTATATGAAAGAACTGTAAGATAGTACATTATATGAAAGGTAGTATAGAATGGGTATAGTGGCTCACGCCTGTAATCCCAGCATTTTGCGAGGCCCAGGCAGGTGGATCACTTGAGGTCAGGAGTTTGAGACCAGCCTGGCCAACATGGCAAAACCCTGTCTATACTAAAAATATAAAAATTAGCTGAGCATGGTGACGTGCACCTATAATCCCAGCTACTTTGGAGACTGAGGCAGAAGAATCGCTTGAATCTGGGAGGCAGAGGTTGCAGTGAGCCGAGATTGCACCACTGCACTCCAGCCCAGGTGACAGTGTGAGACTCTGTCCCATCCCACAGAAAAGAAAAAAAAAAAGGAAAAAATAAAAGGTTTAATGGACTTAAAGTTCCACATGGCTGAGGAAGCCTCACAATTATGGTGGAAGGCAAGGAGGAGCAAGTCACATCTTACATGGATGGTGGCAGGCAAAAAGGGAGCTTATGCAGGAAAACTCCCATTTTTAAAACCATCCGATCTCAGGAGACTTATTCATTATCATGAGAACAGCACAGGAAAGACCTGCCCCCATGATTCAATTACCTCCCACTGGGTCCCTCCCACAACATGTGGGAATTCAAGATGAGATTTGGGTAGAAACATAGTCAAACTATATCATTCTGCCCCTGGCCCCTACCAAATCTCATGTCCTCACATTTCAAAACCAATCATGCCTTCCCAACTGTCCCCCGAAGTCTTAACTCATTTCAGCATTAACTCAAAAGTGCACAGTCCAAAGTCTCATCTGAGATAAGGAAAGTCCCTTCCACTTATAAGCCTGTAAAATCAAAAGCAAGTTAGTTACTTCCTAGATACAATGTGGGTACAGGCATTGTGTAAATACAGCCATTCCAAATGGGAGAAATTGGCCAAAACAAAGGGGCTATAGGCCCCAGGCAAGTCCAAAATTTAGTGGGGCAGTCAAATCTTAAAGCTCCAAAATGATCTTCTTTGATTCATGTCTCTCATCCAGGTCATGCTGATGTAAGAGGTGGGTTCTCTTGGTCTTGGGCAGCTCCACCCTTGTGGCTCTGCAGGGTACAGCCTCCCTCCTAGCTGCTTTCATGGGCTCGTGTTGAGTGTCTGTGGCTTTTCCAGTCACACAGTGCAAGCTGTTGGTGGATCTACCATTCTGGGGCCTGGAGGACAGTGACTCTCTTCTCATAGCTCTGCTAGGCAGTACCCCAGTAGGGACTCTGTGTGGGGGCTCCAACCCCACATTTCCTTTCCACACTGTCCTAGCAGAGGTTCTCCATGAGAGCCTTTCCCCTGCAGCAAACTTCTGCCTGGATATCCAGGCATTTCCATATATCCTCTGAAATCTAGGCAGAGGTTCACAAACCTCAATTCTTGACTTCTGTCCACCCACAGGCTGAACACCACAAGGAAGCTGCCAAGGTTTGGGGCTTGCACCCTCTGAAGCCATGGCCCAAGCTGTACATTGGCCCCTTTTAGTCACAGCTGGAGTGGCTGGTGTACAGGGCACCAAGTCCCTATAATGCACACAGCACGGGTACCCTGGGCCTGGCCCATGAAACTATTTTTTCCTCCTAGGTCTCCAGGCCTATGATGGGAGGGGCTACTGCAAAGTTCTCTGACATGCCCTAAGGACATTTTCCCCATTGTCTTGGTGATTAACATGTGGCTCCTTGTTACTTATGCAAATTTCTGCAGCTGGCTTGAATTTTTCCTCAGAAAATGGGATATTCTTTTCTATTGCATTGTCAGGCTGCAAATTTTCCAAATTTTTATGCTCTGCTTCCCTTTTGAAACTGAATGCCTTTAACAGCACCCAAGTCACCTCTTCAATGCTTTGCTGCTTAGAAATTTCTTCCACTAGATACCCTAAATCATCTCTCTCAAGTTCAAAGTTCCACAAATCTCTAGGGCAGGGGCAAAATGATGCCAGTCTCTTTGCTAAAACATAACAAGAATCACCTTTGCTCAAGTTCCCAGCAAGTTCCTCATCTCCATCTGAGACCACCACAACCTGGATTTCATTGTCCATATCATCATCAGCATTTTGGTCAAAGCTATTCAACAAGTCTGTAGGGAGCTACAAACTTTCCCACATTTTCCTATCTTCTTCTGAGCACTCCAAACTGTTCCAACCTCTGCCTGTTACCCAGTTCCAATGTTGCTTCTGCATTTTCAGGTATCTTTTCAGCAGCATCCCACTCTCCTGGTACCAATTTACTGTATTAGTCTGTTTTCATGCTGCTGATACAGACATACCCGAGACTGGGAAGAAAAAAAGGTTTAATGGACTTATAGTTCCACATGGCTGAGGAAGCCTTACAATCATGGTGGAAGGCAAGGAGGAGCAAGTCATGTCTTACATGGACGGTGGCAGGCAAAAAGAGAGCTTGTGGAGAAAAACTTCCATTTTTAAAACCATCAGATCTCATGAGACTTATTCACTATCACAAGAACACCACGGGAAAGACCTGCCCCCATGATTCAGTTACCTCTCACTGGGTCCCTCCCACAACACGTGGGAATTCAAGATGAGATTTGGGTCGGGACACAGCCAAACCATATCAATAGCCAAGTGCAACAGGAAGAATTTTTCACCTGGGCCTTGATTCTTTCAGTATTATTTTTATAAGATGAACATCCTCATCTGAAAGACCATCATAAGGAAGGAGATAAAGGAGTAATTATAATTATCAAAGAGCTACTGTATGTCAGGGACAATGCTAAATATTTAGTGTTTCTTACCTTATTTAACTTTCACAACAACTATTCAAAGCAGTTTTTCTCTCTAATGATAGTAAATGAGCCTTCCTAATTTTCAAGCCTGCAGTGATTGTTTCTGAGCTGGAGTTTGAGCCATTCTCCAAAGGCTATTCTTCTTTCTCTTTATTCCAGAGATGATTTAAATTCTTATTCTTTATGAAAAATGGTCAGTAGTTTAATGCATTTGGAGCATGCAACAAACAGGCGCTCTTTAGATAGAGTTGTAATGTGAAGTTGGTACAGAACCACATCAATATTAAAGAATATACATGTATTTCTCTAGACAGTGTCACTTCAGGACTTTAAGCATGGGCATAACAAAGCCTATATTTTAGGAAGCCTCCTTTTGTAGCAAAGCAAAAGATGGTTTGAAATAGCAAGATACTAGAGATTAACAAAGGAACAGCCTAGTGTAACAAATCATGCAAGAATTAATGAGCTACTGAGCTAGGACAAGAGAAGTAAAAACAAAAGAGTTAGTTGGAGGTATGAAAGACAGATGTTATAGGTAGGCCTAGAAACTTATTGAATGTGAGCATTCAGGGAAAGCAATGACTTAAGAAAATGGTGGTGTTTCAAGACTTGTAGACTGGACAAATCACAAAGGGATGAAAATCAAAAAGAGCAGGTTTGAAAAATAAAGTTTGAAGAAATAATGGACATTTGACATCAAATTTTATAAATACTTGTGATATAACTATTATAAGTAATCTGTTCTTCCACAAAGTCTACAATGATAATTAAATCGCAATAAAAAAGATTGAATTAAATGTAATTGCATCTGATGGAAAAGATGACTGATGTAGCTTTCATTTCTTTTCCTGAAGACATTCTATGATGTCATATTACAAAATGTGAAGTCATATGGTAACACGTTGGGAAGCCCTTCTTGCATCACATATTACCCTTTGATTGTATTATTTTATTTCACAGAAAGTAGCTTTCCATGACTATAATAGTTCCTTCAGTTACAAGTTTAAATGTATTTGTAATGAGTTAGGAATGGTGGTGGGCCAAAAGTGAATAAAAGGGGTAGAAGTGAAGTGGCAAAAAATAAATTTAAATATTCCTTCTAAATTTCTTCTTTGTTTAATAACTTAATATCCCTTCTTGAGTTAACTGCCCCATAAGGACCTCATCTCCTTCACTTCTCAGAGGGAATCATTATCTCAGATAGGAAATTCTTGAAAGCATCAAATTCTCTAGGTATTTTCTGCTAGTTTCCAAGAGAAAATATTAGCTCAGAGATAGTAATACGAGCTAATAAGTGAATCTAAGCATAGAAAGCAGTTATCAGGAGGAATAGTCACCTGACCATGCCAAGAAGTTTGTTGACATACAGAATTAATATTTATCAATTTTGACTGCACATCCATGTGTTTCAGTATTTCTGTTTAAAGAAAAAAAGTTGTATGTCATTTGTTTGTAAATTAATGGAGATGATAATATTATCATTGTTTCTAGCTAATATATTCTATCCCTACTTGTATAGTTAGTGGTATTAAGATTACATGACTTTAATAATGTTTATATTTAAAACATAGTATTTGACATAGTAATGACCAGGCATTTTCTGTTCTATTGACAAAAGTATCTGGAAATAGTCACTGAAGTTAGTAGACCATAGCATATTATTAAAATTTAAATAACATTTTAAATGTACAAAGTGCATTTATATGTTGTATCTCATGTGTATCATCAATTAAAACCTCTGACTGTGGAGGTAAAATGTAAAATTTATCTCCCTTAGAAGTCTTTGATAGGTAAATATAGAACATATGCTTTTGAGATGCAGTTGTTTCTATATTGTTTACCTTATGACTATAACAGATAATCAACTGATCTGAAACAATTGCATACTGTTATTTACTGCCTTTTTAAAAAACCAAAACTTGCTAATTTATTCTGACTTAGCTGATGTCATTTGTCAGTCAGATTGATAGTAATTCTCTTGAAATAATTTTATAGTGAATTTGGCAATTTTGAAATAAAATTGTTTTAATATTTTTGGCCTGTTTTTGATATTAATTTTAAATGTCAAAAATCAGTCTTTTTCTTTTTTTAATTCACCCTCCTCTTGATATACCTATATTTGTTTTAAATAGAAAACATTCAAGTTAAACTTTATTGTTAAGGATCTTAAAATTGCATAGAAAATTCATCTTAAGTAAACAAAATGGTAAAAGCACTTTAATAATAGCACTTCTTTGCACTGCATGCACCAAGCAAGTGGTAGAGGATATGTAACACAAAAAGAAACCAAAGCACACATATATCCTGGTACATCTTTTCCATAACTCTAGGTTCTGCTCTGAACTAAGTATAAGGTGGCCACTTTTGATACCTTAATGCTTATTACTATGTACTGGTCTTGATGATGAAAATAGACTCTTGAAGATTTGGTGCTGTCTCTTGTCTCTCTTGGGTGAATCTGCAGTGTGTGTGTGCACATCTATGTGTGTGTCTGTGTGTGCTGGGAAGAGTGATATTTCCTCTGAGGCCACACAATCCCCCAAACCTTGTTAGGGATAATTAGTGATGGGAGTTTTTGAAAAGGAAGTTTTACTCCATAGGGTGATCAGAAAAGGAAGTATCCAATCCCATATCAACTCTGAACCCTATAAGGAGAGCTTCCTTCTCAGACTTGAATCTTTAATAAGTGTTTCTTGTGCTGGGTGTACATTGGAGAACCCCCAGCTTCCCTCATGCTGCTCCTTATCTGGCTCCTTATCTGGGGCTGGGAGGTGGAGTATGTGGCTGTACCTCATATCTGTACCTCAGGTGGTGTAACTATTGTGTGCTCATCAACATTCTCTCTTCATTCACTCAGATTTAGCTCTGCTAGGTACTGTTACCCCTTTGTCTTTTTCCCATTCTTTTGGATTTCTTAAATGTCATCTTTCTCCTCTCCTTGTCTGCACTTTGGTCATCCCATTTGGACTTCCAAGTGAAGTCCCAAAAAGAGAAGCAACACGGACGTGGTGTTTCTGAGGTTGCAGTCAAATTTGGTAAGTTAATGGTATAGCAAGAAATGTGACCTAGACCTCTAAACTACCCGAGGATCTAGTTTCCCTAGAACCTTAGGCTGTGGCCAAATCACGGACAATTAAATGTATTATGCCAATATCGCACAGTCTGACTGTCTATGCACTTTATTTACATAGATTTGGTCAAATTTTAAAGATTGCGGTGTAATATCATTAATGTTGGGAGGAGGCTAGAGCGAGAGCTTTGAGCTTATTAGTGGAGTTCTTACCAAAAACTTAATTTAGAAAGTAGAACCTATTGTATTGGAAAATCTTAAGAATAAAATTATGAACTGTAGTTCTGCATTGCATGAGAGTATGTTGAATAATGAGCTCTCAGAAACTGAGTGGTAAGAATTGATACTGGGACTTTGAACTCCAACATGGAGAGTCAATGAAAGAAACAAAATGTTCTTCTAGGTTTCTTATGACTTTGAATTTGCCTCATTTTCCATTTGGCACAGAATGAGCAGCCTATCTAGCTATGAAGTGTGCCCACATGTTTCTTAACCCTGGGACTTGATAATCCATTCCTCCAAACTATCTAAGCAGTAAATCCCCATTCTGGTTCTTTATAAGCTTATTAGCTAATAGTTGGTGTTGGAGTATTATTTGCTTCAATTTTTAAAAAATATTGTGACATTTAAATTACCTGGTCATTGTTACAGAAGTCACTCAAGAAAACAAGTTTGTCTTGTTTTCCAAAACAATAGTAACACATTTAAATGCCAGAATCGATCAGCTGCTTCACTATAATTAAATAGTTAATGTGTATGGCTCTTGTGAGAAAACTGTCATGTCACTGTGTTTAGAAGCCATTCTATTGAATTCAAATAAGGATAGACATACACATATCATTTAAAATAATATTCTTGGCACATAAAGAAATTATACATTAGTTATTTAAAGTCTATAAACACAGGAATGCAATCCTCACAAAGGGAAGACTCGATAAGGAAGAGTAATAACTGAATTGATATGACCATATAAGGAGAAAGGCAGTGAACAGATGGCTTAACCACTTTGAATCGGAATGAAAAATTTATGAGGATAATCCTAGTTGAGTAATTCCTGGTTGATTTGAGAAAGAAGAAAAAAAATAAAACAACTTGGGTTTATTATATTCCACTTTATGGTCGATAAACATTCATACACATACATACAAGTCATAGGGAAAATGATGATTATGATAACTATGGAATGAGACAGTCACTGCCAATCACAGTCGCCTTGCACTTTCTTCCAGTAGGTACAGATGATGCCAGGCCTAGGCTTATTTTGGCAGAGTTTCTGTGCCCAGTGACTTAGTGTTAACCCATCCTAGCAGGGAAATTTTGACTGTATTTCTCATTTTCTGAATAAAAATGTGATTTGTTTCTCTACATCTTTGCCAGTAATACCAAGACAGCTACCTACCTACCTTATTCAATTTACAACCAATAAGTCTTTTTATGTTGAACTTTGTGCAACAAGTCAAAGGACATGAGTTTTAGTCCAATTTTACAACTTATTTAGTCTCTTTATATGCAGATTTAGTATAATTACTGCGCTGCTCAACTCTGCAGTGAAAATTGTGATTGATGAAGTGATCTTTGGAATGAAATCACAGGGGATCTAGTCGGCTCCATGACCCAGCCCTGTGATCTGCGGCAGGTTATTTCATCACTCTCAATAGCTTAATGTTGACAAATAAAACTGCTGACCTCCTGGGACTTCTTTGAGAATGAAGTGAGGTAAACTCTATTACACAGTTAACATTAGTGCCTTAGCTCATAAGAGGTACATATTGGTTACATTAATATTTAAATAACTTGTAATTTATATTTTTAAAACATTTTGAGATATTTAAAACATAGAAATTTACAAAGACTAATAGAAAAAACATGTATACTCCGATATTCAGAATTAATAGCTATTCCTTTATGGTCATATTTTCTTCCAGATATTTTTAAAGAAATAAAACATTTTAGATAAAGAGAAAGTCCAAGTCCTTAATCCAATTTTCTCTCCAGAGGTGTCCACTATCATCAGTTTGGTATATACCTTTCCAGTTCATTTATAGGTACCTATATGTTCTTCTTTAACCATTATATAACATCATCTTTTAAAATTCCCATTTTATGAGAGGTGGAGGGAATGCCCTTACTAACAATGCTGGCTTGATTATAAGTATTACTTCTTAGTTATCAAATCAAATATTTGTTTATCCAGCTAGATATTATCACATCCATCCTTCACTACTGTAGAAACTTGTTGCAGCCTCTGGAGCGATGATTTTGACAATCCTTTAATTTCCAGTGTCAACATTTGTGTATGAGTGTGTGTTTCTGCAAAGATGGTTACTTAAATTAAGTGTCAAAGTTTTAACGTATAAAATCTTAAAGCTGTTGCTGGGAACGCATGTCACAACATGATTTAATTATGGCAAAGCATTCTTATAACAGTGGATTTGAACCCTATTTTGTGCCTGTATGTACCCGAGAGATATAAAAGATTCCCTTTTAAGAGTCACAATGCTATTACTTTTTACTAACTGCTTAGTTAGAAAAATATTCAAAAATATTAGTAAGTGGGACTCTGCCTTTAGTTAATTAACATTATATAGTACATTCACCTTAAGAAGTAAAATCACCACCAAATAATTAAAAATGTAAAGAATGAAATCTTTTTGATCTATGAGATCATAAGAATCAGCTAAATACAATATTCAATTAGGCTTCTCAGAAGTGGATTCTTTGTGAGAATAAAATGCGGAATATTAGTTCCATTGGAATTGAGTTTGGGGAATTGCCTTATTTCTGTCTTTCTATCTGTATGGAAAAGCATTCCCAACATCCGAAAAGTCACCCAATCCCAGGTTTTAAATACACCTCAGTAGTATAAAACATAATTGGTCACAGAGGTTTTGAATAGGCTGAGAATATTGAGGTGATGATGTAAGCTTTTCATTGCTGTCTTGTCTGACACATCTATGTCAGAGTCATGCCCAGTAAATAAAATGAATAGGATCAGAGATGTAGATATAAATAATAATGAAGTAATCTTCTTCCTAAAATTTTGCTTGATCACTTGCACCTTGTTGAATTTAGATATGACTCTAGGTTTTCCAGTATTTATGAGACAGTATTTAGAATGAGATTTCACCTAATAGCAAGTCTGGTTCTCTGATCCAAAGATACAAACCACTATTTCTTTCTTTCTTTCTTTGAGATGGTGTCTGGCTCTGTCACCCAGGCTGGAGTGCAGTGGTGCAATCTCAGCTCCCTGCAACCTCCACCTCCCAGGTTCAAGCAATTCTCCTGCCTCAGCCTCCCAAGTAGCTGGGATTACAAGCGCCTGCCACCAGACCTGGCTAATTTTTTTTTTTTTTTTTGTATTTTTAGTACAGATGGGGTTTTACCATGTTGGCCAGGCTGCTTTTGAACTCCTGACCTCAAGTAATCCACCTGCCTTGCCCTCCCAAAGTGCTAGGATTACAGGCGTAAACTGCCACCATGCCTGGACCAATCCACTTTGTCTATCCAAGGGTCATGTATGGCTAGAAAAATTTACTACTTCTCCATTTTTAAAAAAGTTGGAAAATTTTGAGTGTTAATTCCCTCAGCTTCTGAAAGTAATTTTTTACATCCTGCCCAATTGAAAAAAAGTGATGCAAAATGTTGGTAAATCATCACAGCCAGGAGCCAAAAAAAAAAAAAGGAACTCTCCCAAATACTGGGTGCTCCTCAGACCAAATAATGATTTAATCCATACCTATTAAAATTTTGGGTCAAGCATCCCACATATCCAAGGAAGTTTCCATTCTACTATTTTACAAATCATTCAATTTTGAAGGACTATATCTCTGCTATTCACAGGCATTCATCTTTCTCTCAACAGGTAATATGTAGCTGCAGGTGTGGAAAACGATAATACAAGTTCTTTCGAAGGCTTCATCCTGGTGGGCTTCTCTGATCGTCCCCACCTAGAGCTGATCGTCTTTGTGGTTGTCCTCATCTTTTATCTGCTGACTCTTCTTGGCAACATGACCATTGTCTTGCTTTCAGCTCTGGATTCCCGGCTGCACACACCAATGTATTTCTTTTTGGCAAACCTCTCATTCCTGGACATGTGTTTCACCACAGGTTCCATCCCTCAGATGCTCTACAACCTTTGGGGTCCAGATAAGACCATCAGCTATGTGGGTTGTGCCATCCAGCTGTACTTTGTCCTGGCCCTGGGAGGGGTGGAGTGTGTCCTCCTGGCTGTCATGGCATATGACCGCTATGCTGCAGTCTGCAAACCCCTGCACTACACCATCATCATGCACCCACGTCTCTGTGGACAGCTGGCTTCAGTGGCATGGCTGAGTGGCTTTGGCAATTCTCTCATAATGGCACCCCAGACATTGATGCTACCCCGCTGTGGGCACAGACGAGTTGACCACTTTCTCTGTGAGATGCCAGCACTAATTGGTATGGCCTGTGTAGACACCATGATGCTTGAGGCACTGGCTTTTGCCCTGGCAATCTTTATCATCCTGGCACCACTCATCCTCATTCTCATTTCTTATGGTTACGTTGGAGGAACAGTGCTTAGGATCAAGTCAGCTGCTGGGCGAAAGAAAGCCTTCAACACTTGCAGCTCGCATCTAATTGTTGTCTCTCTCTTCTATGGTACAATCATATACATGTACCTCCAGCCAGCAAATACTTATTCCCAGGACCAGGGCAAGTTTCTTACCCTTTTCTACACAATTGTCACTCCCAGTGTTAACCCCCTGATCTATACACTAAGAAACAAAGATGTTAAAGAGGCCATGAAGAAGGTGCTAGGGAAGGGGAGTGCAGAAATATAGTAAGGGGTGATTAAACTTTGGGATTGTATTTTGACCCATCTTCTATATATGTTGTTAGACCTAGCAAATATAGGAATGTTTTGGCATTGCAGGCTGAAGAGGCATTTAATGAGATGGGGGAATTCAATGGTTTAGCTAGGTCAAGAAAATAGGGGCTAGGAGCAGTGGCTCCTGCCTGTAATCCCAGCACTTTGGGAGGTGGGAGTATTGCTTGAGTCCAGGAGTTTGAGACTAGCCTGAGCAACATAGTGAGACCCCCATCTGTACGAAAAATTTAAAAAGTTAGCCAGGCATGGTGGTGCATGCCTACAGTCCCAGCTACTCAGAAGGCTGAGGTGGGAGGATTGCTTGAGCCTGGGAATTTGAAGCTACAGTGAGCCGTGT